>NC_000003.12:139766180-140069210 GCF_000001405.40 Homo sapiens
TTGTCTCCCCTGCTCCTCCTCTCATGCCCCTTTGCAAGCTATTATCCACACTGCAGCCATGGTGACTTTCCTTGATTGCAATTGTGTATAAATTATAGGATTCATTACACCTAAGTCCTGGGTGAACATAGCAGGTGCTCTAGAACAGTTCCCACTAGACCCGGGTTTCTCAACCTCAGCACTATGGATGTGTTTGACCAGACTCTTCCTTGTCGTGGGAACTGTCCTGTGCATTTTAGGATATTTGGCAGCATCTTTGCTTTCTACCTTCCACAGGCCAGTAGCAGCCTCTACCTCTCAATCCTCCCTGCATCACAACAATAAAAAATGTCTCTAGAGTTTGCTGAATGTCCCCTAGCAGCAAAAACTTTCCTATCTGAGAAGCACTGCTCCAGGCCCAAAGGTGCTGAGCCTGGGGAAGAACCCATGTGACGGGGGAGCCAATCACCACTTTGCTCTTGGAGTCAGACCATCCGTGCTGGGTTTGGCTCTATGGGGGATGTGAGCAGGGGGCATTGTTGTACTTCCTGACATCTCTCTACTTCTTTCCTGAAACCTCAATACACCTAGGTAAAACATCAGGTCTGACCCACTAAAACATTTCTATAAATCTTTTTCAGCCTTCAGTTTATATAATTCTTTGGGTATTTCAAAGAATTTTAGAGTTTGCCCAGGGTAGACCAATCACTTGTGTTATAGACACACTTGTATTGCATGTGATAAAATTGAGTCCCAGCGAGGTGCAGTGATTTGTCCAGTGTGGTGGGCATTTCTTGCTTTTGTTGATCTAGTTCCCATTCCCCTCTTTCTTATAAGGTGGCATTGCTGTGATTTTCCTCAAGGATACACTCCTCTGAACTCTGCACTCTGGTGAGCTGGAGCTGACCTGACCTTCCTGATTTGGGGGTTATCACATGACCTCAAACTGGCCAATCAGAATTACTCCTGGGATTCCTGAGGAAACTCTTGGGAACAAGGCCTCATTTTTCTTCTGGGTTTGCTGAGCTGATGGGATGGAAGCCTAGAGTCTTGGGTCCCATTTGTACAGGGAGGTCAGATGAGAGTGACAGTAGTATGGAGGTAGACAAAGCTGAGGGGTCTGGAGCCTGGGTCCTCCAAGTCTATTTGAGCTCCTGATCTGCTCGGGCCTGCAGGCAAACATACCACTAGACTTGGCAGTTTTGTGAGCCTATAAAGTCCTTTTTGTGTTAGCCAGTCTGAGTTGGGTTCTTGACACTTATATCCAAATGAATCTTGACACATCTCGGGTTGTGAGTGTACTGAAGTGTGAGTGTGTCTAGATCTCCCCAGCTCCAAGCTCAGGGCTTATTTATAGCAAGACGCTGCTTGCAAAAGCTTGTGCAAGAGCTTTGATACAGCCAATTTTGTGTGTGATGGCCCCAGGAACCAGCCCCCACCCCTGGCAAGGGTCACAATGAGACAGTGGTCTGGTGTCTGGTGGCACATACTTACCACACCGCTCTGAGGTTTCTTTACCACTCATTAATGCATTCACAGGCAACATCTACCCAGAGACGCAGCAAGGAGTAGGCCTCATAAATCTTTTAAACTGACATGAAAGAAAAGCTTTGATTTTTCCAAAGGGTAGCTTCTCTGTTTCAAAAATATTTATCTTTTAAGCATCTTCAGGCCCAGAGTTCATCAAGTGAATTTTCCTTTTAGGCAATAAAGCGAGCTGTCAAAAATGGCCAGAATGGAGATATATTTCTCTTACATTTTGCTACCCCATGGCTCCAGCTTTTACAATAGGCTCCCTCCTTAGCAAGCCCAGACTCCTCAGCCTGGTGCTCTGGACTTTATGAAATCTTGCCTGGTCCTGGAGCAACTTCTATCCAGTGGGATAGACTGACAAGTAAATAGGAAATTATATTCTGGGGCCTAGGCCCGTGATATACGGATGCCGGGGAGCTGTGCAAGCCCAGAGGACGGGTGTTTAGTCCAGCTTGGGGGTCAAGAAAGGCTTGCTATTGGCAGAGGTGACATCTTACATTAGTCTTGGAGGATAAGCAAGGATTAGGGAGCTGGAGAAGGGGAGAGGACATTTCAGGCAAAATAAATAGTAGGGAAGCACACGCCAGTGTGAGGGCTAGTGGCACTTTGAGATGCTTGATGTGGTGGGTGCCCCATGTGTGGTCAGCTCACAGTTCATCTCATCAGAGGGGCCTTTCCTAACTGCCCATGTTAGGAGTATCTCCCACCAGCCCCAATCCTTTGGTACTCTATCATATCAGCCTATAATTTCCTTATGGCAGTTGTCAAATCTGCAATCATTTTGCTTTCTTGGACGGTTTATTTTTTAATTTTGCCTCTTGTCCTTTCAGAGAAGGCAGTTTGTCTGTTTTGTTCACTGGTGTGTCCCCAGAACTAAGAGCAGTGCCTAGCATAAAGCAGGCCCTCAATAATACTGTTGCATGAATGTGATGTGTGTGTGTTTGTGTGCATGAGTGTATAGGTGTGTGTGAGCCAGAGATGAGGCTGAAGCGATGGAGGGAATCCCATCACAGAGTGCCTTGAAAGACATATGAATGAGTTCACGCTGTGTGATTTGGTTTGGATCTATGTTTCTGCTTGAATCTCATATTGAATTTCAATCCCCAATGTTGGAGGTGGGGCCTGGTGGGAGCTGATTGGATCACCGGGGTGGTTTTTTTATGAATGGTTTAACCCCCTCTTGGTACTGTCCTCTCAATAGTGAGTGAGTTCTCATGAAATCTGATTGTTTAAAAGTGTGTAGCACTTCCCCTCTCACTGTCTTGCCCTTGCTCCCACTATGTGAGATGCTGCTCCCCTTTTGCCTTCTTCCATGATTGGAAGCTTCCTGAGGCCTCCCCAGATGCAGAAGCCACTATGCCTCCTGTACAGCCTGCAGAACCACAAGCCAATTAAACTTCTGTTCTTTGTAAATTACCTTGTCTCAGGTTTTTATTTATAGCAGTTCAAGAATAAACTAATACACTGTAGTTTAAAGAATATGGACACAGGGAGGGGAACATCACACACCAGAACCTGTTGGGGGAGAGGGGGCAAGGGGAGGGAGAGCATTAGGACAAATACCTAATGCATGCAGGGCTTAAAACCTAGATGATGGGTTGATAGTTGCAGCAAACCACCATGGCACATGTATACCTGTGTAACAAGCCTGCATGTTCTGCACGTCTCCCAGAACTTGAAGTAAAATTTTAAAAAATAATAATATGGGGAACCACTGAAAGAACTTATGCAGGGGGTTTCACTTAGTTAACTTTGAATCTTAGAAAACTCTGTCTGTCAGCAATGTGGAGGGTGGCTTGAAAAAAAGGAGGGCCTCGGAGGCAGGAAGAACTATTAAGAAACTATTAGGGTGGTCCAGGTCAGAAAACAGGAGGCAGGGGTTGGATTGGAGCTGACAGACATATTTGAGAGCATGAGTGAGGTCAAAGCTGGAAGATTTGGTGTGGGATAGGACATGGTGTTAGAGGAAGGATGTGTCTGATAGTGCTCAGTCTTTGATCTGGGCTCCCTGATCCATATTCTGCAGGTTCCAGGTTGGGAGAGGAGATTCTGTTAAGCAGATGTGAGGGTGTCCAGGAATATACACTCTTAGGATTTTGCTTAGAGAGAAGCCTAGGCTGGAGAGGAGTACTGGGTATATTCAGTGATGATGGACAGTTGGAGCCGCGCAGGTGAAGGGGAGCCTCCGAAGTTGATGTATGAAATGAGAGAAGCAGAAGCAGTGGATGGAGCCCTGTGAAACATTAACATTTAAGGTTACAGCAGCGCCAAGGCAACTAACCCTGATTTCATGCTGTTTGCCCTCCCCACTAAACATCTTTATAACCAGTGGATGTCAAAGACTCCTACCCCAGAGGAGAAAGCCTCAGCTAGAGAAGTGGAATCATGGGTTGGGTGAGCAGAATGGGACAAATATGTAAGCAAGAAACTGAGGAAGGAAGTGAGAGAAAAATTCTCCCCCATGCCTGTCTCCCACAGATATTTTATGCATGATATAATAAATGTGTGTGTATATATGTGTATCTACACACACAAGCACACACATTTATATACATATACACACATACATAAAACATATATCTGGATAACTTTCTTTTTTTTTTGAGACGGAGTCTCACTCACTGCAAGCTCCACCTCCCGGGTTCATGCCATTCTCCTGCCTCAGCCTCCCAAGTAGCTGGGACTACAGTCGCCCGCCACCACGCCCGGCTAATTTTTTTTTTTTTTGCATTTTTCAGTAGAGACGGGGTTTCACCGTGTTAGCCAGGATGGTCTTGATCTCCTGACCTTGTGATCTGCCCACCTCGGCCTCCCAAAGTTCAGGGATTACAGGCATGAGCCGTCGCACCCGGCCTGGATAACTTTCAACATCGGCACATAAAGAGTTCTTGCATTGTTTTCGCAGTTGCATACATTCCCTTGCGTGTATATACCATAATTTATTTAGCCCAATCTGCTATTGATGGATATATAAGTTGTCCGAGCTTCTGCTACCAAAACAATGCTGCAACAAATGATTTGGCTGCATTATGTTGCTGTGTGCATGTATACCGGTGGGATAGATTTCTAGAAGAGGAAGAGCTGTCAGCATTTCCAGTTTCGATACATATGGTTGATCTGCTCTCCATTACTAGTGTGCCGATTTCTACTTCTCCCTGTAGTGCCCAAGAGTTCCTGTTCCTCACACTCTAATCAGCACAATGTGTGATCAAACTTTGTGATCTTTGTCAATTCAATAAGTGAGATACGGCATTATAAGTTTCATTTTGCATTAAAAAATATAAATGAGGCTGAACACCATTTTAAATGTTCAAGAGCCATTTCCTCTAAAATGTTCCTAGACCTTACCCTTTTTCCTGACTTTTTGCAGTTTGTTTTGGTCTTTTTTCTTCCTGATTTCTGGGGTATTATTTTATATTAACAAATTAGCTTATTGAGTGATAAAAATGCAAATAGTTTTACCCATTTACACTTCGTTTTTTGACTTTATTCTTGCTAAGTTCCCTGCAGTACCCAGCAAGGGGCTGGACCATCAGCTATACTCAGCTGAGGTAGAGGAAGCCAGAGAAGTTTGGAGGTTCAGACTGAGCCAAAGAATAGAGTAGGTGAATTCTTGTTAGTATTCGCTTCCAAGTATTCTCTGGGAGCAAACTGTCACGTGAATGCTGCAGACAGGCAGCCACAGTGTGTGTGTCTTGGTAGGGGCAGGGGAGGTGAGCTGTGTTTATTTAGCCTCTTACAGAACACTCTCCAGGCCCACCACCCTTGGAGCCAAGTGAAATCAATATCTTTGAAATGGACTGAGACAAGTAGGGTCATAGCCTCAAGTTCTGGGCCAGAAATAGCAGGGCACAGTCTTAAGACAAATCTTATGGGGGTGGCTGTGCAGGCAAAATGGACAGGTGACAGCTGGAGGTGCAGGTGGGTGGCAGGTGATTTGTTTGTTACCATTGACAGCCCACATTTGTCACTGTTCACCATGAGCCAGGACCTGGGGACACAGGATCTTGCCTTCGAGGAATTCACAGATCAGGTGAGTGAACAGAGGATGGCAGAACTGTGTGATGCGAACTGGTAGAGATAGCACGGGGAGTTGGGAGCCCCAAAGACAGCAGTGCAATCTGCATGGAGAAGTCCAGGAAGGCTTCCTGGATGAGGTTGCATCTAAGCAGAGTCCTGAAAGACAAGTATGAGTTAGCCAGTCAAAGAAGAGTGCATGAAGGGAGATGTACCAGGTGGAAAGAACGTTTAGGGTAAAGTGCTAGACGGGAGAAGAAAAATGGTTCCTTCAGAAAATTGGAAGTGTTTCAGTGTAGCTGGAGGGCAGGGTTCCAGGAAGATGGATGGAGGTGACAAAACATGCCACTGAGGAGGTAGATTAGGACAGGTCATGAAGGGTAGTGTGGAGCAGAGACGGGGAGAAGCATTGAGAAATGTTCCACAGGCAGAATCAGCAGGACGAGGTGGAATGTATTTGATGGTGTCGAGAGGAGAATTTCAGAGTGAGAAAGAGGCCAAGGAGTTCTGTTTGGTAACAGGGAAGAAGATGTACGAGGAGCAGATTTGGGGAAAAGTCAATGAATTCAATTTCCCATGTTGAGCTGGGAAGCCTGTGGGATATCCCATATGGTGATTGGATCTGTGGGCCTGAAGATTTGTGAGGAGGCTGGGGGTGAAAGACAGTCCTCGGGGTCATTGGCAGGCAGTGAAGATTGAAGCCATAGGGTCAGTCATGTTCACAGTGGGTAGGAAGGAGGGTCTGGGAGGTGTTAAGGATGAGAAGACTGCTGGACTGGAAACAGATCTTTGGACAAGAGCAAGAGTTAAGAACTGGCCAAAGGTGATCAACCAGAAAGGAGGAGACAGACATGGAAGGAACTAGGATTGGGGGACAGAGAAGCAACAAGGGAGTGGCCTGCAGTGTCCACAACTGCAGAGAAAGGGGCTGTAGGGCCTGGCTTGGGTAGTATACATCTGCTTAGCAGACAGGCAGACAGGCCAGCACATGGAATTTAGAGGGTCTGTGTCATGCAGAAAGGACCTGGGGTCACGGCATGAGGCTTGTTCACAGGACAAGAACTGATTTGAAAACATTTGTGGTTAGTTGATTTGAAGCTGAGTCACCGTGACTGGTGGGGGGAGAGGGAATATTTTGTTGAGGAGGGCAGCTATTGCTTTTTAACTCCTTCCGCTGTTCTCTCCTACATCATGGTATCCAGATAGGATATCCAGGTTCTCTCTCTACTTCCTTCATCAGGTTCTTCACTTCATTCATTCATAAGATAATGCTTGCAGAGAGTTTAGAACAGAGCTTGGCATATACAAGAGCTCAGTAAATGTTAGCTTTTTCTTTTTTATTGTTTCTCATTTTGAGTTGCTGACTGTGGCAGACCACCCTAAGGTGGCCCCAGTGAGTCATGCCCTTGTATATTTCCCTTTCCCTGGGTACAGGCAGAACCCGTGACTTACTTCTAACCAGTAGAACATGGCAATGGGATGCCCTCCCCTTGATTAAATTACATTGTGTAGCAAAGGTGATGGGATATAACTCTCATGGTAATGTTATATTACTTAAGACTCCTTCGTAGCAGACAAGAGAGGGACAGAGACTCTCCTGCTGGTCGTGAAGGAAGATGCAAGCTGCTATAATGTTAATTTCCTAACATAGCAGGAAAATGGAGTGGCTTCTAGAAGGCCCTCAGTTCTACAACCACAAAGAATTGAATTCTGCACAACTACATGAGCGTGCTAGAGAACCCCAGGTCCAGAAAGGAACACTGCCTAGCTGATACCTTGATTGCAGTCTTGGGGAACCTCAAGCAGAGGAGCCATCTAAGCTGTGCCCAGGCTCCGGAACCACAAAAAACTGTGAGATAATAAATGTGTGTTGTTTTAAGTTGCTCAAGTTGTAGTAATTTATTATCACAGCAATTGCAAACTAATACATTGATATTCATTCGTTTAACAAATGATGACTAAGCCAGCAGCACCTGGTACACAGTGTGACACCCTATGTAGGGGAGTAGATATGTAAGACACAGTATTTGTCTTCAAGGGCTCCTAGTAAGTTCCTGAAACATTGGGTTCCCAAAGCAGGAGTTGACCTATTAGCAATGGGGCGTGAGGAGGTAAGGGGAGACTTCCAGGCAGAGGGAACAACATGTGGTAAGTCCCACAGGCCCGTAAGGGCTATAGCATCCTGGTTGTTGAGAACTTCAGTGGAAGAAAATGTGGTACCTAAAGTAGATGTGAATGGGCCTCTGTCACCTATAGCTATGACAGCCACACAAGCAAAGCTGCAGAAGGATTCTGGGCAGAGGAATAACTGGGGAGTAGATGTTGGGCTGAGAGCAGGTACACTGGTCTTTGCTGTGGGTACAAGGCCCGTGTGGCACTGATGTGCTTTTCCTGGGATGTGAGCCCTCGTCTCAGTCATGCCCTTGGAGCCCACTGTGCAGGAGGTGGCTCCAATCAACTTGAGGCTAAAGTACTGTCAGGGTCCTCAGAACACCCTATGGATGGTACTGCCCCACAGCTGTAGCTGCAGCTCAGGCATTCTGGGGTTCCTGACCATCCTAATTTGCTAGAGAATGCTCTTGCTCCATGCCACAGAGAGGAGGTGGTATGGGTCACCACTCCACCAGCAGAGACACTAGGACACCTTCTTCTGTTTCTCCCATCAGCCATACAGAAATCCAGAAAAAAGGCCTGGGTTTTCCATGTAGGTACAATTTAACTCCTGAACCCAGCCTTCCTTCTCTATTCAGAGCCTCCTGCTAAGAAGAAACACTGACTTCTGTGTTTTGAATGCACCGTTTCTCCTGCAGGGAAACATTTTATCTCTTCTCAGGCCAGACAGCATTTCCAGACAGCCTTTTTACTGGAAGGAGGTGAGTGTTTTCTCTGCTCATGGATCAGATGTCTTTCTCCTGCCTTTCCTAACAGGCAGCTGTGCCTGGTGTCTGGAGGATCAGGCTGCCCTGGAATGCGAGCAGGAGTGCCTGGGCTAATGGCTATGGTTTTGCCAGCCCCAGAGACTGACAGGCAGTTGTTGTTTTTGTTTGGAGGTCTCGGCACCAGGAGACTGGCGTCTCCTCCCATCTCAGCATGAGCCTTGGGAATCACATGCTCAGTGGCAGCTGTGTTGCTGTAGACATGACAGTAAACATCCAGAAAATTGAGTGTTTTTGGTCTTCAATTTAAGAAGTCATTTGCTGGATGGTGCTAACTAAGAACAGTCATTAAACTTGAGAAAGCGCCCTTCTGCCTCATTCCTTAATTAAATGGAAGAGAGAAACAAAATCCTGGCTTTGCAAAGCCGCAGGCTTCTAGTGGAAATGCCCTCAAGGGAAGAGACACAGAAGGATGTGTGGTCTCCAGCACACATGTGGCTGGGTGCTGGGAGTGAGTGGGCAGGCATACTCAGAGACTCAGACACCTGATTCCTGCATTATTTCCTGGCCAGAATGGAAAGGTTGTGGGGGCGGGGTGGGCAAGATGGGAATGAGGCAATCGGGAAAGGCCTGGAGAAGTGACTATTGGAGATTGAATTATGTCCCCCTGAAATTCATATGCTCAAACTCTAACCCCCAATATGACTATATTTGGAGATAGGGCTTTTATTTTTTATTTATATATATTTTTAAGACAGAGTTTTGCTCCTGTTGCCCAGGCTGTAGTGCAACGGAGCGATCTCAACTCACTGCAACCTCCACCTCCTGGGTTCAAACGATTCTCCTGCCTCAGCCTCCCAAGTAGCTGAGATTATGGGCACCTGCCACTACGCCCGGCTAATTTTTGTATTTTTTCTTAAGTACAGGTGAGGTTTCATGACATTGGTCAGGCTAATCTTGAACTCCTGACCTCAGGTGATCTGCCCGCCTTGGCCTCCCAAAGTGCTGGGATTACAGGCGTGAGTCACTGCACCTGGCCGATAGGGCCTTTAAAGAGGTAATTAAGGTTAAATCAAGACATAAGGGTGAGGCCCTAATCCAATATAACTAGTATCTCTGTAAGAGGAAGAAACGCCTGCAATGTGTGTGCACAGAGAAAAGGCCATGTGGGGACATGGCAGGAAGGTGGCTATCTGCAAGCCACGGAGAGGGGGCCTCAGGAGAAAATAACCTTGCCAACATGTTGATCTTGGACTTCTAGCCTCCAGAATGGTGGGAAATAAATTCCTGCTGTTTAAGCTGCCCTGTCTGTGGTACTTTGTTATACCCGCCCAAGCTGACAATGGGATGTCTTCCCTTGACAAAATTACATTATATAGCAAATGTGATGGGATATAACTCCCATGGTAACATTATATTATACAAGACTCCTTTTTAGCAGAAAAGAGAGAAGGAGAGAGACAAGGGAGAGA
This sequence comes from Homo sapiens, assembly GCF_000001405.40. NCBI lineage: Eukaryota > Metazoa > Chordata > Mammalia > Primates > Hominidae > Homo > Homo sapiens. The sequence continues at coordinate 139,776,058 of NC_000003.12, forward strand.
AAGAGAGACTCTCCTGCTGGTCACTGGGGGAGATGTGAGTGGCTATACAGTGACCATCCATTCCCTGAGACCAGAGCAGGCAGTGGGGTGGGTAGGAAGGCAAAGTTTAAAGGGTCAGAGGCGAGGCCAGTGAGGACCCTCACTCTACCACTTTACCCAGAGGAGGATGGCAAAGGTATAGGTACCAGGAAGTGGAGCTTTTGTGATGGCACAGGCTTTCAGGGGTCTGGTTTGCACGAGGCATTGTTCTCTGGCCTTCCCTGACCTGCAGTGTCATCCTTTGAAACTACCTTCCTTGAACACTGTTTTATAGCTTGCCTAGTGGGGTAACAGAAGCCCACAGTCCCTTCTGCCTGGGAAGACACATCTCCCCTTGCTTCCCTGTGGAAAGCAAGGGAGAAACCAACTCAAGTGTCAGCCATGCAGGGAGACCTGGAGTACCTGGCTTAGGCCATTGGCTGTGGGCTGATGGGAAAGTAAGAAGGCCCTCAAGGTAAAACAATGGGTCAAGAGCTGAGGGAAGAAGGGCTATGGAGCTGCTGGAGCTGAGCTCTTCTTAGATCTGTCTTTAGGTCCTGCGAAAGGAATCCTCCTGCTCCCTGGAGCTGGCCACAGAGGGGCTTTGGACCAAAACCTTAGAGTGGTACACAGTGTGAATTTGGCTAGAGCAGCTCCTCTGCCCCTCTTTCTCAGAAGCCTTTGGAAGTGGTGGGCCACGGGAGGAAAACACAGGTTAGGGGTCCTAGCCACTTCTATATCTTTCTAACACAGAGCTAGATTTAGGGGTCTAGAGGGGTTTAAATACTCCCTTGGGCTTCCAAAAGGTTCATTGAGCCCAGCAGTGTTTGTCCCATGGCTGGAGCACTGGTCAAAAGGACTCTGCCCATCCCCTCAGCAAGTGGTTCCTAAAGGTGACCTGGGCTGGGTGCCGTGGTTCACGCCTGTAATTACAGCACTTTGGGAGGCTGAAACAGGTGGATCACGAGGTCAGGAGCTCGAGACCAGCCTGGCCAACGCAGTGAAACCCTGTCTCTACTAAAAATACAAAAATTAGCCAGGCATGGTGGTGGGTGCCTGTAATCCCAGCTATTCAGGAGGCTGAGGCGGGAGAATTGCTTGAACCTGGGAGGCAGGGGTTGCAGTGAGGTGAGTTCGCACCACTGCACTCTGGCCTGGGAGACAGAGCAAGACTCTGTCTCGGAAAACAAATAAAGATAAAAGTAAAAATAAATAAAAGTCACCTGTCCTCTGGCAGCAGGATATTTGTGGCTAAACTGTCTGGTCTGGATGCGCAATATTCCTGGGTTCTCTGTTCCTCATTCCTTGATGCCCAGGCTTATCAGGCCCTCCTGAGATGGGCCTTCTGATCTCCGCCTGCATCCATGGCAGAGGCTTCTCCACTGCTACAGAAGGCAGGAGAAAAGAACGCAAGATCAAACATTCTGGCTTTGTCCTGTGTGTGGTGTAGGGTGGTGTGGTGCAAACCCCTGCTTGTTCCAGCTACGTGAGCCAATACATTTGCTGTATGGGACAAACTGATTTGAGAATACTTTTTACCAGCATCCTGATGAATACTATGAAGCTGGACATTTTCTTAACCTTGTCCCACCCTCAAAATTAGGATAACACAGAGTCACATTTGTGTTTAGCCCTTGTCCCTCAGCTTTCTCATCTCTTTAGTGTTTGTAATCAACCATAGCACTGGTTCTCTCTGAATCCACTTACTACGTCCTTGTCATTGCCTCACACACACAGAAGGGCCAAGCACGTTACTGGGGGTTCTGATCCTCTGCCCCGTCTTTCTGCCCTGACCATGCACTCCCACCTCCCCTAACCTCCCCAACCTCCTGCATCCCCTCAGAGGAACAGACACAATTCTTTCTTATGCCGCTTATATCCCTAAAGACTTGATAGCCTTGATATTTGGATAGACGGATAGTCCCCAACATACTGCAGTTTGACTTAGGACTTTTTGACTTTACAATGGTATGAAAGCAATACACATTCAGTGGAAACCATACTTTGCGTACTCATACAACCATTCTGTTCTTCACTTTCAGAACAGTATTCAATAAATTACATGGAATATTAAACACTTTATTATAAGATAGGCTTTGTGTTGGATGATTTTTGCCCAGTTGTAGGATAATGTAAGTGCTATGTGCATGTCTAAGGTAGGCTAGGTGAAGCTATGATGTTCAGTAGATTAGGTGTATTAAATGCATTTTTGGCTTAAGATATTTTCAACTTACAGTGGACTTATCAAGCTGTAACTCCATCAAAAGCTGAGGAGCATTTGTATTCTTTTCAACAGAGAATCTAGTATTTCAATATGTCTAAAAAGATTCAGTGTTTTATTTATTTAGCACTTGTTTATTTTCTTCAGGATTAAAATTTTCTAAATAAAATATTAGGGTCTAAAAAAGAGCAAAAGCCATCTGATGCAACACAAAGTAAAAGTGGGTGATGTTAATTGTCAATAAGTATCCTAAGTCAGATATATATATATAATTTGAGACTCACACATTTTTTATTAGGCATTTCAGGCATTTTTATTGAACCATATGGCATCTTTTTTCAGGTTCTCTGTGTTCACAGCTTTAGTTCTAAACGGTTTGCCCTGACCCATTTCTCACACCTTCTGTGTTCTGCCTCCTAATACTTGTGTCCGTGACCTGGCAGTTCATTCTCCTCTCCACCCTTTCCTTCCCTTGTCCATTAAGGTGGGTCCATGAGAGAGCAGATTTAGTTTTCCAAGCTGACCACATGCTGTCTCTGGTGGCCTTGGATAAACCCCTCTCCTGGTGGTAGAAATTCCCTTATTCCTTGGGGGCCTCCTGATGCTCAGACAGAAATTGAACCAGAATTTACATAAATGGAGCCAAGTTTCCCTGTGCTTATCTGTTCTCGTGAAACATAAAAAGCAGTTGGCTTGATTTTCACAAAGCTTAGATAGTCTGTTTGGGATGGATTGCCTCTAAGTACAGGCTGCGCGGCCTCTGTGAAATCCGTGGGAGTCCCAGGGGGCACCTCAAAGCGGTATGCAGACGGCTCTGCAGCAGCTAAAATGAGGTACGAGGAGAGATCCCGGGACTGTGAGCCAGAGGACACACACCTGGCATATCAACACATCGTGGGCCCACAAAGCACACAGCCTTCCAACATGTACCCCCAAATCCAAATCCTAAGTGCAGATCCTCCCAGGCACACGGATTGATTTACAATTGAGCTACACCTCACACGGGCAACTTTACACAGCATGATCTTGGGTGAGTATAGTAGGGATTGCATTATTTAAAAATCATGGTCCGGGCATGGTGGCTCACGCCTGTAATCCCAGCACTTTGGGAGGCCAAGGCGGGCAGATCACGAGTTCAAAAGATTGAGACCATCCTGGCCAACGTGGTGAAACTCAGTCTCTACTAAAAATACAAAAAAGAAATAGCCGGCTGTGGTGGCATGCGCCTGTAGTCCCAGCTATTTGGGAAGCTGAGGCAGTGGAATCACTTGAACCTGGGAAGCAGAGGTTGCAGTGAGCTGAGATCATGCCACTGCACTCCAGCCTGGTGACAGAGTGAGACTCTGTCTCCAAGAAAAAAAAAAAATCATGGATGAGTTGTAAACAGCACTAGGTGAAACGTAGAGAGAAATGAAAGGGTTAACCCCAGCATCCCGCAGCACCTCTCTCAAGTGGTACTGTTTTCAAGCCCAGCCCAGGTTCTCCTGTTCCCAAGAATCTTTCCCTGCCCTTTCAGCTGACCAGAAGCCATCCTCAGGGCTCCTTGCTTCTATCACTCTTTGTGGCCCTTCCTTGCATCCTCTCCTGCATTAAGAGATCATTCTGTGATTTCCATCAGCTTAGAAAGCTGCCTTGGCTGTCCTTGATATGTTGGCTTGTCCATGACAGATCGTTCACCTTGCAAAACTTTGGGAGTTTCCATTCACAGAGAATATGATGTTGTGAGAAAAAAAAAAGAATGGATAAAAGTCACATGTGACATAGCTTGTGCAATGTGGTGGTCCTGGTCCTTCAGGTGTAACATGTTACCTCCTGAACATTATGCACAATCCTGAAATCTTCTACTCCATCAGTGTGGGGATCTCACATTGGTTGGCTTAAATACCTTTGTGTCTATCCATCAGCAAAGCCCAAACAAAATTAGACAGATACAGTCTTCAACTGGACTCCAGGGAGAGGGCCACCCCCCTTCAGGAGGTTGAAGCCTGACCTAAAGTGCTCCATTCTTCTCCCCAGCACTGGCCTGTGATGTAGCCAGCTGCCCAGCCCCCACCCCATCTGAGCCAGCTGCCCTCCCAGAGGTAGGTAGTGTGACTTGGGATAACTTTGTGGGAGACTCACCTAGAGCTATACTGAAGACTACCTATCCACACAGAGAGATACTGGCTTCCTCCACCTGAGCTTCCATGACATAAAAAGACACAGACTGGTGGCCATTTGGGCAAAGGGTATACATGGTGTTCAAGACCGACTGTTCTCTCAGTAGCAAGGACTTGGAGAGGGTTCTTTTTCCTCCAAAGTCTTGTATTGTTATAGAAGATTAATCTGACCCACTAGGATTGGTCTTAAACTCCTCTACATCTACCTTCAGGAGGGACTTCTGGGTTCTTTCCCAGAAAGAGGCCTGAGAAGGAACTCCTGCCCTTGTCCCCTGGCTGCCCTCAGAAAGGCCAACTGGGACATTTCCCTTATTAGTGTTGGATTAGTTTCCTCTGACTCCTGTAATGAATTCCCACAGACTGGATGATTTAAAACCACAAAAGATTATCCTGTCCCAGTTCTGGAGGCTGAATTAAGGTAATCAGCAGGGCCACACTTCCCTGAAGGCTCTAGGGGTGAATCGTTCCTTGCCCCCAACAGCTTTTGGTGGCTCCAGATGTTCCTTGTCTTGTGGCACTTCACTGCAATTTCTGTCTCAGTAGCCACACTGCCTCCATCTCTTCTGTGTCTTCTCCTCTGTGTGTCTCTCTTATAAGGATGCCAGTGATTACATGTAGGGCCAGCCTAGGTAATCCAAAATAAGTGCCTTCTCTTAAGATCCTTGATTTAATTATATCTTTTGCCATATAAGATAATATCCAGGGCTCTGGGGCTTATGACATAGGTGAATCTTTTTTAGGACCCACCATTTGACCCACTCCAGGTCGTTAGCTCCTGGAGGGGTCTGCATCTTGTGAGTGAGCACAAGCCCTGGCACAGAGGGAATGCTTGCTTAGCATTTGTGGAATGGAGGGCCAGATGCTTGGATGAAATGCACACACACAGTGGCCATGAATCTTAAGAAGCGTCAGTGGCTAGAAAGAAGATGGTGTAAATTTTATCCCCCTCCCTGTTTCTGACAGAATATCCTCCTCTTCTGGTAACAGGTTTTGAGACGAAACATGGCACGAGTCTCTCAGAACCCTGCTTGAGCAGAGCAGTTACATTATATTCCACAAGTCATAAATATTTGGGGAGCAAAATCGATTCCTGCAGCAGTGGTGGAGGGATGGTAAGTTGGACATTTAATTTTTTTGGGGGGGTCAATCAAGAGGATTTGTATGTGTTGGAGTACAATGTTTCTGTTTCTCTTCCCAGCAGAGTGATTGCTGTACTTTGATACAAGTCATCTACCTCGTGGCCAGCTGAGGTGGATTAAAGTCTTCCCAGGAGGTAGGGCTTAATCTCTGGCCATAGGGCTCCTGGAATGGCCATAGAGGGTAGTCAGTGTGGGCTACTGTCCTTCTGGTCCCTGCCAGAGGTCAAGGCTGACAGGCACAGGAACAATTCCTTCAAGGCCTGATGGCCCAGAAAATAAAGTTTGACTCCTTCATTTGGCCGCGGGAGTGTCTTCGCTGCACACAGCAGCTGAGCTCAGTCGGGAATGCTCATTCAGGCTCCCTGCCTGTGGGTAACCTGGACTCTATCCTGGTCTCTCCATGTTTGCTGTGTGAGCTGTGAGCCCTGAATAGGATGCAGAGCAGAAGCCCCCTGCCTTTAGTTTCCTCTTAGCCTATCTACAATTCTTCCCTGCCTGGAAAGGGTGTTCGGAACAGGCCTCTCACCATCTGCTTCTTTTACCTGTTTTACTCTCCCTTTCTCCTACTCATGGAGGGTGGAATTTCTACTTCCAGTTTCTATTTAAAAGGGATTTTCCCATATGCCATTTCTACTCCATCCTTTCCTCCCACCATGATGACTGGCTGGCTGCTGAGAAACATGATTTATGCAGGAGAGGGTGATAAACACATAGTTTAATGTTTTCTAAATATGAACCTTGTTTTTCTCATTTTATCTACAAGCATGTGTGACTGTGGTGTGCATAAAACTGTGTCAACAATGGTTTCTTTCCTTGAGGAGCTCACATTTACAAAGAAAGGAAGAAATTTCAACCAAAAAATAAAAAACACCAAACCTGAAAGGAAAATCAACAGCAAGAGCCTGGACTTTCTAAACTAGGAGGAAGGCAGAGCTCCAGGAGACTCTTCTCATTTCTCTGAGGGCATGGAAACTCCAATGTGGAATAGAGCTTGGAGTTTAAAAAGATAGTCTCTTCTGTGTCCTGGATAGAGACCACACCAAAGGTTTGCAATATAGAGGCACAACAATCAAAATCATGAATTGAGATGTCCTTGACATTCCATTGTCAAGGGGAATTATTGCTTCCCTTGCATTAAAGACATTGTTGCCAATGCATATTCTATAATGTACCTTTCTTTCCTAACAAAGATTCCAGTTCAATCTGCATTTTCCTATAGCTCAAAGTTTGCACTTTCATTTAACCTAATAAACATCTGACCTTCCCAAGGGAAATATAAACAAAATCTTGACTTTCAAGTATTGTGGTCATTCTTGGTGGAGACATGCACTGGATCATCATATCAACCTTGACTATTATTTCCTATGACACACCAGATTAGCTGGTTTACAGTTAATTCAGCCAGTTACAAATTCTTCATAGGTAAGAGTTTAGCTTTTAATCTGATGCCATCTTCATCTCAGGCAGTGTTAAGATGGTCCAGTGAGTTCATTACCTTAAAGGTTGCACATAATTTGATTGATAACTCAGCTCAAATGTTTCCAAAAGTAAAAAAAAAAAAAAGTCATTTCACAAATCAATTTTTCCAACTGTTCAATTTTTTTTGTCATGAGTTCTCAATTTAACCACTAGAACTGGTCCATTAAAAAAATCTATTCTCAGATCGTAACACCTGAGAGGCCAAGCATGCTACTGAAAAATAAATGTCAAAATAGAATTTTTATGTTTCTAATTATTTGCATTTATTTCTATAGGCTTCTCTGATCAAAGAGCAATGCATGCACATTGAAGAAAAATTTAATTATAAAAAATCACAAATAGGTGAAAATCCTTTTGAAATCACTATGAATAGATAACCATAATTAGCATTTTGGTGTACACCCATCAGGGTTTTTGTTTTTGTTTTTTGGGGTTTTTTTTTTTTGAGACAGGGTCAGGCTGGAGTTACAGTGTTACAGTCTCAACTCGCTGCAACCTCTGCCTCCTGGGCTCCAGCGATCCTTCTACTTCAGGTTCCCAAGTAGCTGGGACCACAGGCATGCACCACTATGCCTGGCTAATTTTTGTATTTTTTATAGAGATGGGGTTACACCATGTTTCCCAGGCTGGTCTCAAACTCCTGAGCTCAAGTGATCCGTCTGCCTTGGCCTCTCAAAATGCTGGGATTATAGGCATGAGCCACCACCATGCCAAGCCAGGTTTTTCTTTTTTTTTTTTTTCTGTTAGTTTGAGCCACCACCATGCCAAGCCAGGTTTTTCTTTTTTTTTTTTTTCTGTTAGTTTGAGCCACATGAAATTGTGACATGCACATACCCGTACACACACCCACACACACAGACAAGCAAACCTTTATATTTACTTTACTGCAAAACTTGATTTGTTTTTGCCAAATATAAATAGAATAATTCTGTATGTTTAAATATACCTTTTATAAAAGTATCATGGATTTTATTAAATGAGTCTCACAATTTATTTAATTATTTTCTGTCATTAGATACTTGGGTTCTTCTCTCATTCCATTTTTCCAATATGGTGTTGTAAATAAGACTACAATAAACATTCTTGTTTCTATCTGATTGTTTTTAAGAGCAAATCTTTAGAAGTAGATTTCCTGGGTTAACTGGTTTGAATATTTTAATAATATTGATGGTGAGCGCAAAAAAGGGAGGGGTGGAGCAATGAAAAAAAACACTAAACAGGGCTTTCCACACACCCAGGGTTGAATCCTTCATCATCCAATAGCTTAACCCAACTTTATCCTTCGGTAAATGGTGTTATATTGGCTTTAAAGAATTGATATAAAAATTAAATAAGGTATCTTATGTAAAGTGCCTACTGTATTGCTGGCCTCTAGGAGAAACTCAAAGGAGGTTAGCTCAATTTATACTAAGGGTACTTAACACAGACCACAACAGTGTTTGTCCAAACATAAGTAACCCTTAATGATGGGACTTCAGGTATTATGGAGGCCAGTAGGAAGCCTATTGCTTTTTTCTTCTCATTCTCAACTTCCCTATCTTTCCTCCCAGTCCCCAATCCCAGAAACCAAAGTATTTGTCTTTCTCTGCTGTGACTCTTGGAAGATTAAGACTTTCTCTTAAATTCCCTACCTCTAATATGAGAAGAAGCAGCCAATAAGCTGTTTAGTGTGGGATTCATAGCACAGCACTACCTGGGACCAAATCCCCACTTGCCCACCCTGAAGTTTTGCCACCTTGGGCAGGTTAATTTACTGTTCTATGCTCAGTTCCTTCCCCTTGTAAAAGAGGAATGAAAATAAGTCTGTAGATGACAAGAAGAAATTAACATAGCCAAAGCACTCACTACACTCCCTGGCACAGGGTTAGCACACAGCAAAATGTCAGCTATTGCCATTCCACCACCCTCACTAAAGTAAGCTCTGTAAGAACATTTTGACTATCTTGTTCACTGCCAATTTCTTCATTGCCTAGGCCAGTGCCTGCCATGCAGTGGGCACTCAGTATTTGTTAAGCAAATGAACAGTTCTCTGGACCCCTTCATTACCAAAGCATGACTGCAGATGCTGTTTGTGCCACTTATGTGTTGTTGCTGTTGTTTTTCACTCATGACAGAGCCATTCCAGAGTTTGCTCCTAACTTCTTTCTCTGTGGGAGAAAATGCTACCGTTTCTTGGGCATACATATTTAATGTGACATTAGCTGCAGAAGCACATTCCTTTAGTGCATTAGAAGTCCCTCCTGTGTTTGCACGATCTGGAAGGCACTTGCTCCATGCAACAAGTATTTATGAATTTGAAACACATGGTGCAATGGCGCAGGCATCTTGCTGTGTAGCATCATGTGGGAGGGAAATCTGCAGCCAGCGGACACTTGCCTTCAAGAAAAGTAGTTACACACATACACATACAGCCCAGATCCTGTCCTTTCAGCTAGACCCTAGTCTAGTGGGAGGCATTTCTTGCCCTGAATCATGAGTGGCGCAAAAGATGATGCGAGCAGGAAGACAGCAGCAGAAAGAATTTATTGGAAGGTGATGATGCTGAGCAACATCTCGGCTCACTTCAGCTCAACAAACTCTACAAACTCTTTATTGAGTACACGCCATATGCCTGGCATGGGGCTGGATATCAGGAAAAAGATACGAACAAGACACAGGGAAAATGAATTGACCACAAGCCTCTCAATGGAAGGACTATGTGTCTTCTCCCAGAGCCGTCACAGGGTCCAGAGTACAGCAGTCAGTAAATGTTGAATCAGTGTATGATTGGAAAATGAGAGCTCGGCTGCAGCTGCATTCTATATGCTCCCTAAGGTGTTTGAGTAGAAGGACCATCTGTTTTCAAGGGGGTGTGGATGGAGCATACCCACAGAGATTCCTACAGTATCAGGCTCTTAAAAATGACCTTGGATTACAGAGAGTCATTTTTCTGCCAAAAATAATTGAGATAGATGGCTTCCCTTGAGAATAGAAAACTCGAATTGGGGGCTGTATGGTAGGCAGAATGATACCCACCTCCCCCAATACTCCTAACAAATGTCCATGTCTCAATTCCTGGAACCTGTGAATATTTAGTTTATATCTGTAAAAGGATCATTGCAGATGTGATTAAATTAAGGAATTTGATGTGAGGGATTCTCCCAGATCATCAGGTGGACCCAATATCATGACAAGAGGCCTTATAAGAGGGAGGCAGAAATGTCAGATTCAGAAAAAGGGATGTGGTGATGGAAGCAGAGAGAATGTGATTGAAAGATGCCATGCTGCTGGCATCTTTTGAAGATGGAGGAAGGGGCCATGAGCCAAGGAATGCAGGTGGACTAGAATAGCTGGAAAAAGCCAGTGAACTGATTCCCCACTAGAGCCTCCAGAAAAAAAAAACACAGCTCTGCCAACACCTTGGTTTTAGGATTTCTGACCTCCAGAACTGTAAGAGAATAAATTTTTGAAAATCTATTAATTTTTAATAATTTGTTAAAATAGTAATAGGAAACAAATACAGATTTTCCTGGAAAACATGGGAATCACACTGATTATTTCACATATGTGTCAAATTGTTTTACACAGGAAGAGGTCTGTTTAGGAAGGGCTCCTGGGAGGATGGGGCATCTAAGCTCAGCCAGAAAGAATGGACTGGGTTTCAAAGGGCAAAGACTGGAATGAGGATGAGAGGATTTTATAATGGGATGAGAAGCAGAGAAGGAAATTTGCCAACAACAGAGAGGGAAATACACATCTTTCTCATTGAATAGATGCAGGGATCTTGCTGAGGAGTGGGGTAGGAAGGAGAGGAGGGTAAAATATGCACCTGGAAAGATGAGTTGGGAATAATTACTGAGGTCCCTAAGTGCCAGGTCAGTTTTGTAGTTTTAATAATAACTTCCCTCATTCTCTGTGGAACTCTCCCAGTCTTTTTCTCATTGTTCCACCACACTGCTCTTACTCAGGCTACCAGTGACTTCCTGTCACCAGATGTACTGGTTAATGCTCATGTAACTTGACCTCAAGGTCTGTCAACAGCATTAGACACAGTGGATCACTCCTGTATTGAAATGTTTTATGCCATTAGCATCTGGGACACCACACTCTCCTAAATTTCTTCCTGCTCCCAGGCAATCCCTTCTCATTCACTTTTGTTGGTTCCTTGTCACCCTGATGATGCCTCAGGGATCAGTTCCTGGCTCTCTCTTCTCTTCTATCTACACTCATGGTCTGAGCAAACTCATAGATGTTTCAGGATTTGACTACACCTTGATGACTTTCAGAATTTATTTCCAGCAAAGACTTCTACCTGAAAGTCTGGTTCATGTACTCCATTACCCACTGGGTATCTCTACTTGAATATTTAAAAGGCTTTTCAAATTCAACATGCCTCCAACCAAATTCCTTATTTCCACCCAAACATTGCTCCTCCCACATGTTTCCCATCTCAGTGACCTCCTACCCTATTTTTCCATTTGCTCATGGCCAAAGCCCAGGAGCCATTGTTGGCCCCTCCCTCCCTTATACCCCACATCAATTCACCAGCACACTTTTTCAGCTCTACCTTTAAAATATAGCCAGAATTCTGTAACTTTTTGTGATCTTTGTTCCTACATTTGTCGTCCAAGCCCCCATGAGTTTTTGCCTGGGCTGTTATAATAGACTCTTAGTTTTTCTCCTGCTTCTTAGTCTTTTCTCCATGAAGTAGTCAGTGATTCTCCTAGAACACTTCAGTGAGTGTTATGCTCAGAGTTCTCTGATACATGTCGTACTTACTCAAATAAAACTCGAAGACCTTACATTGGCTTACAATGTCTTACGTAGACCTTACATTGGCTTACAATGTCTTACGTAGCAATATCTAATTATCTGCTGTCACCACTTAACTCTTCACCTTGCTTAATCTGCTACAACCACACAGTCCAGTGTGGCACACCAAGACTTCATGTTTCCTACACAGTTCCCTCTGCCTGGAATGCTCTTCTTTCAGCCATCCACCTCACTTCCCCCTTCCTTCATTCAGACATCTTCTCATATGTCACCTTCCCTGACCACCCTAAATAAAGTAGCGCTGTCTGCCAATATTTCCTTACTGCATGTAATTTTTTTTCATAGCACTGTTATCACCGGATGTTTAGTTGTGCTTTACTATTTTCTCTTCCCACCGGAATGTAATCTCCCTGACAGCAAGGACTTTCGTTCATTACTTATCTCCAGGGTCTAGGTACTTAGTACATGTTAGAATGAATGAATGACTGATGATAATAAAAAGTGACCATTCATTCACTATCTTCAGTGTGCCAGAGACAGGATTAGATGCTTTGGTGTACTTTCATTTTCTCATTTCATTCTTATATCAAACCTGAAAAGTAGGTAATAACAGTCCTATTGTGTACATGAACATACATTTCATTGGACATGGGAAGCCACCAAATGTTTCTGCACAAGGAAGTGATAAATTCACTTTAGGAAAAGGCAACCCAGGCTTCTGGACAGAGAGGGCAGGTCTGGAGACAAGGAACATATGGTCACATCATTACCTTACTCTGGGAACAGAGGATGAGGTCCTAAACCAAATCATGTGAAAGGAGGAGAGAGTGGACACAGTGAGATTAACAGGATATAGAAGTCCAGTGTTCAGAGACATGCTTCTATAAGGCAGGGGGTGGGGGGTAGATTGCCACAGAAACAGGAATCCCCGGGGAAATGAGACGGAGTTTCCCTCTTGTTCCCCAGGCTAGAATGCAATGGCGCCATCTTGGCTCACTGCAACCTCCGCCTCCCAGGTTCAAGCGGTTCTCCTGCCTCAGCCTCCTGAGTAGCTGGGATTACAGGTGCCTACCACCATGCCCAGCTATTTTTTTTGTATTTTCAGTAGAGACAGGGTTTCACTATGTTGGCCAGGCTGGTCTTGAACTCCTGACAGATGATCCACCCGCCTCTGCCTCCCAAAGTGCTGGGATTACAGGCATGAGCCACCAGCCTGGCCCCAGGGGGAAAATTTGATTTGAGCTTGGTTTGAGATAGGTTGAGTTTGCAGACCCAGAGGACCATCTAGGTAAACATCGGCAGAACACAGAGGAACAGGCTCTGAAGCTCAAGAAGGGGTGGAAGGTGGAGATGCAGATTTGTGGGTTATCTGGGTATTGGACAGAGGTACCTGCTAAGGGGTGATTAGGAGTGAGGAGCAGGAGCGAAACCATGGAGGTCAGGCTAACCAGACTACGCTGGTCCTGTCCTCGTGATTAGGAATTTGGGCTTCATTGCTGGGCCACTGGAGGGTTAGAAACAACATCACTCTGGATGCTCACTGGAGGGGATGAGAGCACAGTCTAAGAGACCAGCCAGCAGGTTGCTGCACAAACCCAGACCATGAGAGTGCAGAGCAGAAACCTCCTGAAGCAGCAGTGGAAGAGGTATCCTTTCAGATCCATCCTCCAGGTGGATGTTCCTCTCAAGTGCCTGCTTTAAATAACCTCCCTCTGAGAACTGTAATTAACACGTTTTCTTAGATGAAGCTGAGCAGGCTGCCTCCATTAGCCAGGGGAGGATCAGACAGCACCTGAGGCTGTCTGGGGTCTCAGGACCCAGGGAGTGGCTGATATTTGGCTCTGCTCTGTCTGGAGGCCCCTGTGGGACACTTGGGCTCCACACCTGAGGATGGGCTCTGTCCTGAGACCAGCCATCTCACCATCTGCTTCTTTAAGTCTCAACACTGGAAGGTGAGCTAAAGGGTTGTTTTAGAGCCTAGCAGACGTGCAAAGTGTGAGAGTTGCTGTGCAAATGCCCTTCTTGGCCCATCAGTGGAAGGTAAGAAAAGGAGGTGAGGACAAAAGGGAGGGAGGGAGCCAGCATGCTTCTTCAGAAAATGGCTGGGTCACCAGGTAGGGCTGTGCTTGGGAAGGACCTCTAACTGGGTGAAGTAGAGTCTGAACGAGGGAAGTCAGATGCAATCTCTATGATTATAGGGAGAAGCACATTTTTCGAAAAGCTACTTCCTGCCTGGAAATGAGGAGTCTGCAAATCCTAGAGAGGCCATTGAGGGTGCGGCAGAGAGCGCTGAGCTGGGAGTAATAGACTGTCACTCCTTCTGGCTCCTTCACTAGCTTGGGCCCTCCTCCCATTCATTCATCAGAGACAGATGAATTCCTGCTGTGTGTTGGAAAATGAAGGGGGAATAAAGGCAAGGCCTGGATGCCACACTGAAGCATCCCCAAATCTAATAGGGAAGAAAGAAAATTAAAGAGAAAAACTGCATTTTGGGACATGTCATCATGTCTTTTTGCTCTGAGGACAAAAGCAGATGGTATCTGAGGATGGCCAGAAACAGCTTCCTGCAGGAGCTTCTGGCTGACTAGAGTTGAAATGATACATAAGAGTCAGATAGGGCCAGGCACGGTGGCTCACGCCGGTAAACCCAGCACTTTGGGAGGCCGAGGTGGGCAGATAACGAGGTCAGGAGATCGAGACCATCCTGCCTAACACGGTGAAACCTCACCTCTACTAAAAATACAAGAAATTAGCTGGGCATGGTGGCACATGCCTGTAGTCCCAGCTACTTGGGAGGCTGATGCAGGAGAATTGCTTGAACCTGGGAGGCGGAGGTTGCAGTGAGCTGAGATTGGGCCACTGCACTCCAGCCTGGGTGACAGAGCAAGACTCCATCTCAAAAAAAAATAAATAAATAAAAATAAATAAAAAAAACAAAAGTAAAAATAAAGGGTCAGATAGGAAGGGATAAGGGGAAAGAGTTCATTTGTTATCTATCTATGACTATGCCACAGATTACTCCAAAACTCAGTGGATTAAAGCAACAGTGAACATTTATTATCTCATACAGTTTCTATGGGTCAGAAATTTGGGAGCAGCTTAGTTAGTTCTGGCTTGGATCCTCTCATGAGTTGCAGTCATGCTGTCAGCTGGGACTGCAGTCATCTGAAGTCTTGACTGGGGCTGGAGGATCTGCTTTCAAGCTGGCTTACTCACATGGCTGTTGGCAGGAGGCCTCAGTTTCTTCTGTGCATCTCCATAGGGCTGCTTGAGAGTCCTAATAATATGGCAGCTGGTTCACCTGGAGCACGTGATACAAAAGAGAGCAAGGCAGAATCTGTAATGTCTTTTATGACCTACTCTCAGAAATCACATGCTGTTATTTCTGTAATATTCTATTCATTGTACAAATCAGTCCTATTCAATATGGAAGGGGACTCTACAAGGGCTTGGAGATGAGAGGTGGGAATCATGGTATACCATAAAGGGGAATCACAAGAAAAGCCATGGGGATGAGACGAACCATGGATTAGGTGAGGAGCTGGAAGCAGTTTGCTTTTGGGACGAAAGGTACAATTCAGATAAATGGAAAGACAGGTAAGGCCAGATCAGGGAAGGCATTGTGTACTCATTGAAAGAGCCTGGACTACATCTTGTGGGTGATGGGGAGGCCAACAGGGACTTGTGCGTGAGTTGGAAAGATCATGCTGGCTGTCACATGGAGGGAGTAAAACTTGAGACAGGAAGACCTGCAAGGAGGCTGCCACCATCATCTGGGTTAGAGCCAAAGGCGTTCTCCCCTGGGGATGGGAAAGCCTGAGCATGGACACATGTCATATCTAGGAAGTGACAGGCCTTGAGAGCTAAATGATCATGAAATAGGAAGAATGGGGAAAGTTGAGGGAGATTTCCTTTTTTCTAGCTGGATGTCTGGGTAGATGGAAGTGCCATTAATTGAGACTGAGGTCCTAGAGAGGAGCAGAGTGGGGTAGACATGGTGAGTCTGTTTTGAATATACGTACTTTGAGGGGCTTCTAGATTATCTAAATGGATCAACCCAGCAGGCATTCTGAGGCCCAAGAGAAACTTCTGAATTGAAGATAAGAACCAGCAAACCCTGGCTGAAGAATGCGTAATTCTTACTTGGGGCTTAAAGTGACCATGGCTATTAATGGTGGGGTTTTGCCTGCTTAGAGGTATATCCTATTTTAGGGTTGATTAGAAAGTAGCGAGGGGGAGAATAACCAGCCTTTGCTGTGCACCAACAATGTGTTCAGAACTGTCCTGGTTTCTTTCACAGTTATTATTTAAAGACTTCACAACAATATTGAGGGCTTATTATTGGTCAGACACTCTTCTAAGAATTTTATGGGTGTTAAATCATTTGATTCTCACAATGAAACTATAAAGCAGGTAGTATTAAAGAAACTGAGGCACAGGGAGATGAGGCAATCTGCCTAAGATCTTAGAAGTGGCAAAGTTGGAAGGCAGTTAGTCTATTTACAGATAATGACCTGTCTATTGTGTCCAAGGTTACAGTGCAATAAATGATAGAGGCAGGATGTGAGCTCATTTCTTTATATCTACTCAGACAAAATAAGCTGAGGTTTGAGGAGGTAGCTTCCTGGGTTTTGCTTATGGAACCAAGGGAAAAAGAGAAGAAGAGTAAAGAAAGACCACATAAGCACAAAATCAGACACTTCAACAGCTTTGGGACTCAGGTCTCAGGTGAACCTTCTCAGCCTTCCTCAGAGAAACTGCCCCTGCCCTTGCAGGCAGGGCCACAGCACCTCTCCTGGGCATCCTTTGTTCCCAAGTCTTTATTTACAAGTTTTACTGCACCCAGATCAGGCTGAAGAAGTGACCCTGCATGCAGTGAGGAGCAGGCAGAGAAGAAAGGAGGAGACAGGTCCCAGAGCAGTTCCAAAAATCCAGTGATATGATATGTATCAGCTAGCTTTTGGGTGTAACAAACCACCCCTAAGCTCAGTGGCTTGAAACAACAGACATTTATTCTTGCTCATGTTATTGCAGGTCATCTGGGTGGGGGATTGTGTATTCTAGTCTGGGCTGGGCTGAGCTAGACTTGGCCAGACTTGGCTCCAGGCTGCAGATGATCTGGATCAATGTCACTGTTTTTCATCCTCCTTGGACCAGTGGGCCATCCGGAGTGTGTTTTTCCTATGGTGATGGCAAAAGCACAGGGAGTCAAAACCAACCATTCATGCACATTGCCATCCTGTGTTTGCACCAAGTCTGCTAACATCCCATTCACCAAAGCAAGTCACACAGTCTAGCCCAGAGTCAATGGTTAGGGAAGTATTCTTTGCCCAACATGAGGCCATAGTGACAGTAAGAATATATGATACCATTACAGGAAAGTGAAGAATTGGGGTGTATATATGTAGTGTGGGTAGGAGCACTTGGCAAAGGATAGGGCTCTTCTAATTAGTTACCCGGTTAACATCAGCTGGATTAACTAGCTCCTACCTGGTATTCACAAGCTGCAAATTGAGTGTTACAAGGAAACACTAGAGAGCCTGCCTAGGAAGCAAAGCCAGTCCTGTACAAATGGAAATGGCAGCCATTGCATAAGGAGGCTGAGAAGGCCATTGGCTGGAAAACAGCAATGCCACAGCTTGTCAGTCTACCATTTGTCCTTCATTCCTTTCAGAAGGTTTGGGTGACACTAAGACGGGGACACAGATCAGGGCTTGCCAAAGCAGCATCGCAAATGGGAGGTGAGAAACAGGGAGTAGGTATGGAGTGGGGCTGGGGCTTGGGTTCTCTATTGCCTTGTGAAGGAAGTAATCCGGCTTCTTAGATGGAGAAACTGAGGCATGAATGATTAAGGAGCAGGTGCTGGGCTCATCAGTGCATTAAGGGCTGCAAGCCACCTAGGTTAGTGATCACCCCACCAGAATGGAATCAGGGAAGGTTATGAGTTCAGTTTTGAGAGCAGGCCTCTCCCAGACATCTGTACCTTCACTCATCAGTGATGCCTCAGTGTTTCCAGCTGCGAGAGCCCACAAGGTGAAAACTCAGATGCCTATGGGGGCTGGGGAGATACGCAAGGAGGTGAAGCACAACAGGGACAGTGGTATCTGGAGAGCATATACCCAGCTGATGCGGCAATTGACATTTCCAGTGGGTTACTGCCACAGGGGAATGTGGCCTTGGTGTTGCTGGACCTCCCAGCTTCTTGAGACAATCTAGAAATCTGGTTATTAAAGTAAAACTTTAAAAAATTACTAACATGGCAGCCAAAAGAAAACATGTCTATGGATCTAACTGGCCTTTGGGCCACCGGTTTGTAACCTCTGCAAAGATGCCCTGGACCACATTATGTGACAAGCAGCCCAATAATCACCTTTAAAATTAGTTTTTTTCCAAAAACCAACTCCACTCACTCAAGGGAGCTTTTGGGGGATTCTTGCTGCAATGCTTGGAGCCTCAGCGGCTACCTCTGCTTTCAGAGATCATGTTTGATTTTATTCATTCAACCAATATTTATTGAGCTGAGCTCAGCACTGGAATTACAATGGTAAATAGGACAGATATGATCTATTCTTTTAAAAACTCAAGATGTATTGGGAAGCATGTACAACAGACGCATAATCGCACTAATAAATATAAAATAACTGACACATGCCAAGAATGAAAGCAGAAGGTGTGAAGGACTGAAGTATAACAGGAGAATCAGATTCAACCTGGGAGAGTGCTCAGAGGAGGTCTAGGGATACCCAGGTGAAGAGGGCAGGAGAGCCTCTGGGCCAGGGAAACCATGTGCACAGGGACAGACAAAGCTGAGGAGTTCGTGGAGGAACTTACCCAAGGGCAGGAAGTCTGGGAAAAAGGCAGGAGAGAGAAGTACTAAACTGTGGACAAGGACCTGGTGACCGCACCTTGGAGGGTGAGGGAGGAACCTGATCTTATTTAAATGTCTTAAATAAGTGTCACTCTGGTACCGCATGTGGAGGACCTGTGGAGGAAATATGAATGAGTGAGAAGACAGAGATAATAGCCCAGATCAAAGAGGATGAAGGATGGGACCAGGGAGGGGGCTGTGCAGAAACATAAAAGTGGTCAAAAGATCTATTTGGAGATAGAGCCAAATGGACATATGATTACTCTATATTACTGCTTGGGATAAGCCAAGAATTACTTGCTGCTTCTGGCAGTTCAACTGGATCTGGGCTGAGGATGATAATTTGCTCTTCATGTCTCATCCACCATGGATGACTCATCCTTTCCGAGCTAAGTCCTCTGGCCTTGGTACACCCACAAGCCTCATCAAATATGGCACAGTGTCTGCAGGCTAACACTTGCCTTTCTGAATTTGGTTCTTTTAACGAAGTGGTTTCCAAGCACTTAACACCTCCTACGTTTGGTTTGAGTCCTGGGTGGGCAGAGGACACACCAGAGATTCTCCATGTATGTTTTCTAAGAGAGTAATGATAGCTATTTTATTAAGTGCCTGGCACAGTTCTAAGTGTTTTGCAAATAGTTAACAAATTTAATTGATTTAATTTTTACTTCCATTTTGAAGATGAGAAGATTGAGTCACAGAGAGGTTAAGTAACTTGCTCTAGGTTGTACATGGAACAAATATTAGTGCAGAGAAATAAACAGTCTATTCTAAAATCCACGCACTTAAGCTCTACTCTGTGTGTGTGAACACAATATAGGGCTCTGAGACAGAAGGGTGTCATGTGGACGCTCCATTCTGCATTTCTGTGAAAGACTCATGCAGTAATTTTGCCAACATTATTCCTATCAGTCTACCCAGCAAATGCTACCAGAGGGGATTTGTCTTGAACATGTCCTTCTTGGTGTCTGCATGGCCAGAAGCCTCTAGCTAGTGGTCCTCTGCCCTAACCCCTGGCTCACAGAACCAGAGTGGTTGCTAATTGGATCAAAGATCAGCCCTTGATCCAGGAGAGATCTGTTTAAAGGGTGCCAAAGCTCTGAGGTGGCCAGAAATTAAGGTCTACTCTACAAAAAATTATGGTCATGAGCTAAGCCCATATATGCTTCACAGTAGGACTTTGCCTGGAGGATACAAATACAATTGGCCCATAAAGAGCAAGAGACCAGCAGGGTAGATGAGTAGAGTCTGATGATGAGGATGGACTACATGGCAGGCAATGACAAATACAGGTATGCCATGGCCAGACTTCCACGCCTGAGTTTCCCATCTCAAACATCACCTCTGGACAGCAATGAATAATTTTAGGGATGCTTCTCAGAGTATTATAAATGCCTCAGGAGGCACTTTCCTGATGAGGAGGCTGTAGGGCAACTGGGCTTCCTGAGTGGCTGACAGAGACTGGCCAAGTGCTCTCAGTTTGCATTTCCAGGGGGCACTGATGCAAGTGAAACACCAGACACATGGGCAGAAAAATCCCAGTTTTCTGATTGCAGCCTGCTAGGACAGAAGGGCCTCTGTTTTGTTATTCTATCAGAGTAGGGATGGTTGGGATGTATTACCCAATTCCTCAAGGCCCCAAATGCCCTCTTTCCTTGGGACAGTATATTTTTGACAATGTTTGTGCCCTTTGTCATTGCTTTGCTTCCTCTTTCTGATTCTTAAATTGTAAGGTACAAACTTCTGCAAGCGAGTCTAGGACAGTGTTTTCTAAAATGTGTTATGACATTCGTATTATGACATTACCGCTTTCCATTCTTTGCCTCACCTTTTCCCCAAAGTGTTCCACCTTTAAACAAGTTGAAGATACTTTAGATGAGTCTCTAAGAACAAGGAGTATTATACCAGACAAAGGCCTGAGGCCTCCAGGAGACATACTTGGCATATAGTGGGTGATGAATACAAATCGTTGCAGAATAGACTGAGCCCAATAGTCAATGTTGTAAATGCTTAACTATCACTTTCTAGTTAAGCGAGGAAAAGCTATGGATTTTGGTCTTCAGCAAAAGCACATTTAATGATTAAGCTATAGATATTTTTTCAGGCTCATTTCCTTTGTAATTGAGAAATCTGCAATTTGGAAAGGCCATCGAGGACCCCTACACAAAACTTACTGACCTGTTTCTGACTTCACTGGAGCATGTGGAGCTGATGTTGCCAAAGGCCAGTTTAGATGAAACTGGGGCTGAGGACCTGGCACAAACCTGTCTGTCTACTTTTGTGGAAAATGAGCAGATGGAGAGAGAGGCTTATGCTTTCTGGGCAGTCATTAATAAGCCACTTAGAAACCATATCAATTCACTCAGCAAAGAATCAATTCCTTGCAAGAACACAGGACGGCATCTAATATTTCTCGGTACTTACTATGCACCAGCACTGTGCTGGGTGCTTTTATACAACTTATCTCATTGAATCCTTCAATGATTGTCTGGGGAAGGAGGATATTATCTTGATGTTACTTATGAAAAACTGCAGCTTGGAGAATTAAAGTGACTGGCCAGGGGTGTTACATTGAGAAGCGTTTGAGGGTAGATCCAAGCACCCATCATACTATTATACACTGTCTCGCCATGATATGGGGAAATGAAGGTGGCCAAAGATCAGGCCTCTGACCTAACCTTACTTCAAGATGGGCCAGGTGTAGAGTGTCCCTGCCTCTGACCAATCATGTTGTGCCGTGGAAACCCAGGGTGAAGACCCCAATTTTCCACTCACTCATGACTATCTCCTTATGACAATTAATAATTTATCATTTTCTCTTTAGTGCAATATTGTGGACTTTCACCTTGACCTGTGAGAACATTCCCTCCCCCAGACTCCCCTCTTACCGTCAAAAGATCAACTTCCCGAACTGTGGCTTATTGAATGCTTTCTTTGCATTTAGTAAAGAATGTAGATTAGGACCCCTTTCTCAGCTCTCTTTCATTGATCACGTGCTGAAGGTGAGTAGTGTACCTTTATATTTAGCATGCTTAAGGCTAATTATACCTCAGAATCAAAGGAGATGGCTCAAATTAAATGAGAAATGATTAAGTGCAGCAGAGTCTGATTTTCTAGCGAGATTAGAACCAAAATAAACCTAAGTGTAAAACCAGGATTCCTATACCTCGAGAGACACAGGACCAGGCCTTAAGGAGGTGAAGTTGGCGTCTTCTGTCAGGGCCGCGGCTATGAGCGCTGTCCTTGGTGCTGAAGCATCTTTTCCAGCTTGATGAGTGAGGGCTCAGAAAACCATGTTATGGCTTAGCATCTTGGTTATATTGGGTGGTTATTATTTCCCTTCTAAAGCCACAGGCTCCTCCTCAGAGGAAGAAGTTAAGTCAGTTTCTTCTGGTCTCACTGCATTATGCCAGCACCCATCAGCATGACCGAATGGCAGAAACAAGGAGGCTCTAGTTGAGTCTGGGGCTCTATGGGACCTCTTCCCATCAGTAAACTACCTCCATACTTCCAATATGGAGTCATAATCTATAAAAAGCATACCCAGGTTAGGAGACACAATCTCTGGGACATGGTTTACTGAATTAATATTTTTGTGATCTGTTTTAAAATGCAGGCGACTTATTTGAAAATCTTAAGTGGAGTCCCAAGGTACATAATAGATTAAAATTATCTGCTTTGGTTGAAGTATAGGAAATGTTTAAAACTCCAGCCACATAGTCTTGCCCCCAGGAACCCCTCAAGAGTCCATGTGAATATCCTAGGGGTCTATGGTGCAAGCCTGAAAGCCACTAATTTTAGTCCAACTGTTTTCTGGCCCTTGACTCCTTGCTTGATTCCTCTTTATCATTGGAAGCCAAGCTCAGGAAACCTCCTGCAGGAAGATTTACTTGACCCCTATGCTGAGTTAGGAGCTGTGCTCTCCCTGCCCGTACACCTTTTTGGCACTACGCTGATTACTCTGTTGGGTAATTTGGTGTCTCCTTCAGTAGACCCAGATTGAGAAGTAGAATCATGTGCCTGGAACATAGTAAGTACACAATGAATACCAGGAGGTTTATTTTTAATAGACACCCTTTCAGAGCAAAGTAGAAACTCATCTACAGCATTTTCAACACCTCCAGGAATGAGGAACTCACTCCAAATGGAGGTGGTTCATTCCATATTAAGGTTACTGTGATAGTAAGAGGCTTCCTCTTTATTTTGAGCCAAAATATATCTCTGTGTAGATCCCACTTTTTAGGGCTATACAGAACAAGCCTTACTACGTTCTCCAATTGGAGAAATTACCTTCAGGTAATTGAGGAGTGATATCACATCCCTCATTCCTGAGTTTAATTCTGTCTATTCCTTGTGTTATTTTGAGTTCTTTTCACCTTCTTGTTCGTTGTTTTTTTCTGCATGCAAAAATGTTTGCTATATTCCTCTTAAAGTCTGAGTTGGATTTTGAAGGTTGTATAAACACTTCGCATTTATTCCTCTTAGCCTGCTTAGTGATTCTTTTTTTTTAATTTTCTTTTTTTTTATTATTATACTTTAAGTTTTAGGGTACATGTGCACATCGTGCAGGTTAGTTACATATGTATACATGTGCCATGCTGGTGTGCTGCACCCACTAACTCGTCATCTAGCATTAGGTATATCTCCCAGTGCTATCCCTCCCCCCTCCCCCCACCCCACAACAGTCCCCAGAGTGTGATGTTTCCCTTCCTGTGTCCATGTGATCTCATTGTTCAATTCCCACCTATAAGTGAGAATATGAGGTGTTTGGGTTTTTGTTCTTGCGATAGTTTACTGAGAATGATGATTTCCAATTTCATCCATGTCCCTACAAAGGACATGAACTCATCATTTTTTATGGCTGCATAGTATTCCATGGTGTATATGTGCCACATTTTCTTAATCCAGTCTATCATCGTTGGACCCTTGGGTTGGTTCCAAGTCTTTGCTATTGTGAATAATGCTGCAATAAACATATGTGTGCATGTGTCTTTATAGCAGCATGACTTATAGTCCTTTGGGTATATACCCAGTAATGGGATGGCTGGGTCAAATGGTATTTCTAGCTCTAGATCCCTGAGGAATCGCAAGAAATAACTAAAATCAGAGCAGAACTGAAGGAAATAGAGACACAAAAAACCCTTCAAAAAATTAATGAATCCAGGAGCTGGTTTTTTGAAAGGATCAACAAAATAGATAGACCACTAGCAAGACTAATAAAGAAAAAAAGAGAGAAGAATCAAATAGATGCAATAAAAAATGATAAAGGGAATATCACCACCGATCCCACAGAAATACAAACTACCATCAGAGAATACTACAAACACCTCTACGAAAATAAACTAGAAAATCTAGAAGAAACGGATAAATTCCTGGACACGTACACTCTCCCAAGACTAAACCAGGAAGAAGTTGAATCTCTGAGTAGACCAATAACAGGATCTGAAATTGTGGCAATAATCAATAGCTTACCAACCAAAAAGAGTCCAGGACCAGATGGATTCACAGCCGAATTCTACCAGAGGTACAAGGAGGAACTGGTACCATTCCTTCTGAAACTATTCCAATCAATAGAAAAAGAGGGAATCCTCCCTAACTCATTTTATGAGGCCAGCATCATTCTGATACCAAAGCCGGGCAGAGACACAACCAAAAAAGAGAATTTTAGACCAATATCCTTGATGAACATTGATGCAAAAATCCTCAATAAAATACTGGCAATACGAATCCAGCAGCACATCAAAAAGCTTATCCACCATGATCAAGTGAGCTTCATCTCTGGGATGCAAGGCTGGTTCAATATATGCAAATCAATAAATGTAATCCAGCATATAAACAGAGCCAAAGACAAAAATCACATGATTATCTCAATAGATGCAGAGAAGGCCTTTGACAAAATTCAACAACCCTTCATGCTAAAAACTCTCAATAAATTAGGTATTGATGGGACGTATTTAAAAATAATAAGAGCTATCTATTACAAACCCACAGCCAATATCATACTGAATGGGCAAAAACTGGAAGCATTCCCTTTGAAAACTGGCACAAGACAGGGATGCCCTCTCTCACCACTCCTATTCAACATAGTGTTGGAAGTTCTGGCCAGGGCAATTAGGCAGGAGAAGGAAATAAAGGGTATTCAATTAGGAAAAGAGGAAGTCAAATTGTCCCTGTTTGCAGATGACATGATTGTATATCTAGAAAACCCCATTGTCTCAGCCCAAAATCTCCTTAAGCTGATAAGCAACTTCAGCAAAGTCTCAGGATACAAAATCAATGTACAGAAATCACAAGCATTCTTATACACCAATAACAGACAAACAGAGAGCCAAATCATGAGTGAACTCCCATTCACAATTGCTTCAAAGAGAATAAAATACCTAGGAATCCAACTTGCAAGGGATGCGAAGGACCTCTTCAAGGAAAACTACAAACCACTGCTCAAGGATATAAAAGAGGATACAAACAAATGGAAGAACATTCCATGCTCATGGGTAGGAAGAATCAATATCGTGAAAATGGCCATACTGCCCAAGGTAATTTATAGATTCAATGCCATCCCCATCAAGCTACCAATGCCTTTCTTCACAGAATTGGAAAAAACTACTTTAAAGTTCATATGGAACCAAAAAAGAGCCCACATCGCCAAGTCAATCCTAAGCCAAAAGAACAAAGCTGGAGGCATCACACTACCAGACTTCAAACTATACTACAAGGCTACAGTAACCAAAACAGCATGGTACTGGTACCAAAACAGAGATATAGATCAATGGAACAGAACAGAGTCCTCAGAAATAACGCCGCATATCTACAACTATCTTATCTTTGACAAACCTGAGAAAAACAAGAAATGGGGAAAGGATTCCCTATTTAATAAATGGTGCTGGGAAAACTGGCTAGCCATATGTAGAAAGCTGAAACTGGATCCCTTCCTTACACCTTATACAAAAATCAATTCAAGATGGATTAAAGACTTAAACGTTAGACCGAAAACCATAAAAACCCTAGAAGAAAACCTAGGCAATACCATTCAGGACATAGGCATGGGCAAGATCTTAATGTCTAAAACACCAAAAGCAATGGCAACAGAAGCCAAAATTGGCAAATGGGATCTAATTAAACTAAAGAGCTTCTGCACAGCAAAAGAAACTACTATCAGAGTGAACAGGCAACCTACAAAATGGGAGAAAATTTTCACAACCTACTCATCTGACAAAGGGCTAATATCCAGAATCTACAATGAATTCAAACAAATTTACAAGAAAAAAACAAACAGCCCCATCAAAAAGTGGGCAAAGGACATGAAGAGACACTTCTCAGAAGAAGATATTTATGCAGCCAACAGACACATGAAAAAATGCTCATCATCACTGGCCATCAGAGAAATGCAAATCAAAACCACAATGAGATACCACCTCACACCAGTTAGAATGGCAATCATTAAAAAGCCAGGAAACAACAGGTGCTGGAGAGGATGTGGAGAAATAGGAACACTTTTACACTGTTGGTGGGACTGTAAACTAGTTCAACCATTGTGCTTAGTGATTCTTTAGTTTCATCTCATTGCTCCAGCTTGGAATCTCTCCTAAGCTTTCTCATCCATACTTTTATTGTCCTTCTCTACCCAACATTGGGGAGCTTCTAAACTCAAAGGTCAAGAGATGTCCCATAGATCTTCACCTCTTCTTTTAGTAAAAAATACATACATATATATATATGTATATATATGTATGTACATATATACATATACATATCTGTATATACAAATATACATATACATACATGTATGTATGTATATACATATACATATACAGATACATATCTGTACAGATACACATATGTATCTGCATGTATACATATATGTATATGTATCTGTATGTATACATATACATATACATACATGTAAGTATGTATACATGCATACATACATATATGTATACGTACACATACATGTAAGTATGTATGCATATATACATATACATACATGTAAGTATGTATACATATATACATACGTATATATGTATATATACACGTACGTACATATGTGTATATATATATACACACATATATATAAACATACATATATACATATGTATATATGTGTATATATACATATATACATATACATATATATACATATACATATATACATATATATGTATATTTAAAAAGATCACTTTGGGCTAGAATTAAAAAGCAGCATCCACAAGGAGTTTTGTCTGTTTTGTTAACTGCCGTATCACCAGCGCATGAAAGAGTATTTGAAATATCTTAAGTGCTTATTAAATATTCATTGAATAATTGAAACATGTTGACTAATGCTGGCATTTCCCGGACTTGAAACAATAGAGATGATGCCAGAACCCATGTCAGAAGAAAAAACTGATTACTACTTGATGGGCCTCATACTTCAATACACAACGTAAGACTCCCTCTGCCTCCTATGTATGTCTCTACGTAAGGAGATGACTTTAGATAAATATCTGACAGGGTTAATTTATTTCTAGGAAATGGTGCCTAGCAACACAGGAAAGCCAAGTGGAGCCTGATGATAGTAAATAAAATCAATAGAAATGCTGATAAAAGTACCAAAAATAGTTTATGTTTGTTGAGGGTTCACTATGCACTCAGCACTTCACACATATCTCACTTGAATCTCACAACACCTCTATTATTTTAGATGACAGAATTCACAAGTTCGTTGCCCATCTATGGCAGGGATCCTCTCACTGCCTGCTAAACTGTAAGCTTCCTGAGGGCAGTGGCCTTGGCTGAGTCATTGCTGTATCTACGAACAAAGCAGAGCTTGGGAAACATTCACCTGCCTGAGACAAAGACGACTGATGACAGCAGGGGCAGCCAGAGATGGGGGGTCAGCTGAGAAGCTGTTCTTACTCCTGGCAGTGGGGATGATGTGGTAACATGGCAGCATGAGAAGAAAAAAATAAACATCTACACATGTGTGTGTGTACACACATATACATACACACTTATGTAAATATACACATGTAGGCATATATTTAATAATAAATGCAAATGTGTTCTCTTAATGCCACTTTCAAATAAATTAAAATTTAATGCTTTGAAAACTAGGGATTCCTTTTTTAACTTTTTAAGTCAGCATTACTGAGGTATAATTTAATACAGTAAAATTTGCCCCATTAAAGTATATAGCTAAATAAATATAGACAAATGCATACAATCATAGCCATCATTATAATCAATATATAGAACAGTTCCATCACCCAAAAAGGTCCCACATGCCCCTTTGCATCCAATCTCCCCCACCATCTCTAGCCTCTAGAAACGACTGATCTGATTTATGTTGCTATAATTCTTTTTCAAACTATCATGTAAATGGAATAATAGGGCATGGACCCCTTTGTGCTGACTTCTTTCACTTAGCATAATGCTTTTGAGATTATCCATGTTGTTGCATGTAGTTTTTTCTTAACTGCTGTCTCTTCTATTTTCTGGAACAGTTTATGTAATTGATATTATTTTTTCCTAAAGTGTTTGGTAGAATTCTCCAGTGAAGCCATCTGGGCCAGAAAAAGTCTGTTTTACAGAACAACAATTCACTTGATATTTTGGATTCTTTGATATCGGGTGCAGGAGTCACTCCCACTTTCTTTCCTCACCAGAAGGACTGGGGTGCCCACATATCCCTGGGGGACTCACTTGGCTGCTGCTGGGTGGGTTGTAGATCAGAGCATGCAAGGTGGGGCAGGGGAAGAGGGAAGGATCAGGATTCAGCAATGACTCTGGGAAGAACCTGGTGGGAGGAGTGAAATGTCGAAGAAATAGTATTTAGGGCTTCTAGAGCAGAGTGCAGTGAATATGGAAACAGCAATACCTCGATCCTCCTCACAGCCTGATTATTAAGGAGAAAATCACATCATCAAAGTTGCATTGTTGTTTGTTTGCTATTTCCATCCTCCCTAGAAAGAGAGAAAAAGCAAGCTTCACAAAGAGACTGCTTCTCAGGAGATTTCCTGCCTCATGTCCAGACAAAAGTGGTTTGGACAAGCTTTAGATAAATATCTGATTGCTTTTACAGCCTTGGCGAGACAAAACTTGCAGATGCTTTGAAGTGTTCCTGGCGCAACTGAAAATTCTCAGAATTTAACACCCCAGGATCTTCCCAATAGGAACAGTACCAATTTGATCATCCCCAGGCTTAACAACCATAGGAAAAATCTCCGCAGCTGCTTTCAGGCAAGTGTGCTGAGATTCAGGGCCCTGTAAATCCTCTCTCCAGCTAAAGACCTAGAGCACATGAGTTTTGAAGGGACTCCCTACTAGAGGGCTCTCACAATAATACACATTGTTGATATAAACTAAAGCATGGCCATCACTGGCACTCCCATTATAATGTACTATCTCAGAAGGCTGGGACTTTTAAACACATCTGCAAAGACGATTCTAGACATAAAGAAAGGCAGACCACTAGGGAAAGTGAGGCAGGGGTGATTCCAGGTGCCAAGACCAGGTGTCCCTAGAAGCTTTGCCAGGGAGCTTGGCCAGCCTTTGTCTTTATACCCATCCCTCATTTTAGTGTCCCATGCCCCATCTCCCACCATAAGCCTCACACTCACTTCACCTTCCCAGCTCTTCAGTTAAGTTTTTGGGTTTCTTTTTTGGGGAGTTACTCATCTTAAATAAATTGCTCAGTCACGCATTCTTTTGACAAACATTTGTGGAACAACCTCTATTTGTCTAATCCATGCTCAGTTAGGAGTCCCACGTTTGTGCTCCCAGACAATTGACTGATTGATACCTGAGGTGTAACCCCCCACTCCAGGTGCCCTTGCCAGGCTGGTGGGCAAATTATTAATAATAAAAAGAATATGCTTCACACCCATTAGGATATCTTGATCAGAGAGGCTATGTTAGCTAGGTTATAAACAAAACAAAGCAGAGCCCTCAAACCAGAAAATAACAAATGTTGACAAATGTGTGGCGATATAGGAACTCTTATGCATCACTAAGGGGCATGTAGGATGGTGCAGCTGCTGTGGAAAATGAGATGGCAGCTCCTCAAAAAAGTAAAAATAGATTTACCATGTGATCTAGCAATTCCACCTCTGGACATATGCCCAAAAGAATCGAATGTAGGGACTTGAACAAATATTTGTACAGCCACATTCATAGCAGCGTTTTTCACAATAGCCCAAAAGTGGAAGCCACCCAAGTGTTCATCAGTGGAGGAGCAGATCAACAATACGTGGTACAGACATATGGTGAAATACTATTCAGCCTTAAACAGGAAGGAAATTCTGACACATGCCACAACGTGGATGAACCTTGAAGACATTATGGTAATTGAAATAAGTTTGCCACAAAAGGACAAATATTGTATGATTCCACTAGTAAAATGTACCTAGAGTAACTGAATTTATAGAGACAGAAAATAGAATTGGTGGTTGTCAAGGACTGAGAGGAGGGAATGGGGAGTTTTTATTTAATGGATACAGAGTTCAGTGAGAAAAATGAAAATATTCTGAAGATGGCTGGTGGTGATGGTTATGCAACAACGTTAATGCACTTACTGCCACTAAACTGCCCACTTAAAATGGTTAAAATGGTAAATTTTGGCCGGGCACGGTGGCTCACGCCTGTAATCCCAGGACTTTTGGAGGCCGAGGCGGGAGAATTACGAGGTCAGGAGATCGAGACCATCCTGGCTAACACAGTGAAACCTCGTCTCTACTAAAAATACAAAAAATTAGCCAGGTGTGGTGGCAGGCACCTGTGGTCCCAGTTACTCCGGAGGCTGAGGCAGGAGAATGGCTTGAACCCAGGAGGCAGAGTTTGCAGTGAGCCTAGATCGTGCCACTGCACTCCACTGCCCTCCAGCCTGGGTGACAGAGCAAGACTCCATCTCAAAAAAAAAAAAAAAAGTAAATTTCATTTTATATATATATATCTCACCACAATTAAAAATTAATATACCTAATGATCCTTTCCTCCTTAACATAAGATAAAATAAAGGCAGAATTGCCAAGCTGCTTCTAAAAGTTTGGTGGGAGAACCCATGAGATAAAATCTGTCTCAGTTCTTTGACTCTAAAGCTCTATCCAAATGTAAGGAAATACTATAATTTCCTGAAGACTTGGAAGTCTGTAGTAGTTAAGATTTTGGGGGTTGCAATTAATGGAAAAGTGGACAAAACCTTGTTTATACAATAAAGGAAATTTCATTGATTACATAAGTAAAAATGTTTAGTGGTAAGTGTAGTTCATCAGGGCTCTGATTCAGTATTTTTGTAATATTTTTTCTACTCTGTCACTCATTGCCATTCATTGAGTGTCTTAGCTCTGCCAAGTTACCCTCATTTAGCAAAATGACTGATACTGTGAACCTCACATCCACACATCATGTTGTCCAAAGAGAGAGTTTCTCATCCCCCAGCAACCAGAGGTTTTTCATCGGATTTTCTTTAATTGGGCCAACTTAGAACTCAATTTATTGACTCAAGTGATTTGGGAACTAACATGCAGAAAGTATAAGGTCAAATTCGCTCTCATGTGGCTAACCTCAAGTCAAATCCATATCTGGAGGCTTAATTAGATGAGCCTTTTTTTCTTTATTTAAGCCAGTATGAATTGGGTTTTCTGTTGCTTGCAACCAAAAGATTCCTGAAAGTTCCACACTCTTCCCAAAGAAGTAGGAAGGAAGGAGAGGGCTGATGGATATGAATAGAATTAAGTTTTTAGGTGAGTGTCAGAAAATGGAGGGATTGTAACCCTCTGGATTTTAGATTGTTTGAGTAAAAGGGGTTGTCAGGTCATCTGATAACAAAGGAGATGTTGGTGGGAGACGGGGCACTGAGTTTTAGAGAGTGAAAAATTTTGAAATACATACCACGAAAACTGATCAAGAAAGCCATCTAGGGAAACTAGGAATTCCAGGCTATGTTAGTGTTAAGATGAAATAATCTTGTAGGCCATGGATGAGAACTCTTCTAAGAAGAAATGCATGTACTAGTTCCTAAATCATATTCAAAAGGTCAGTATAGAACAGAGGTGTACCAGGCATCATTCTGAGCATGGCTAAAAAAAAATCCAATGTCCTGGAAGTCATCAAGCAGATGATGCAGATGTCATAGTTAACCAAGAAAAAAAAAGTTGGATAAGAATAAAATATTTTAAAATCATATTTTCTAGTTTTCTTCCTGGAAAAGATCTAGAAACAATGACCAACCAAATAGCAATGAGCACACCTAGAACTCAGATTGTGGTCTCCAAACATCATTTCCAACTAAAAGGAGTCAGAACTCTTTGGGGGAAATGTCTGGCTCTATGTCTGGGTCAAAGAATATACCAGGTGAGCCTGAAACATCTTGATACACCAGAAATCAAGGAGTCAGCCAGGGTGGTGTTAAAAGGATTCAGAAGGAAATTTAAACAATCTCCCACTGGCCAAATAAGAGACAATTTGAGCATTAATAAAAGTAATAACTGCAAAGGATTAAAGCATATCAAATATATATGTAAATCTACTAGTTTGCAATAGTATTAAAAATAAAAAGAAAGAATAAGACAATCCTAAATGGTCACTTTTGGAGGATGCTAGGTATAGTGACGTCAAGATGGTTGGAAACTTACCATTCCTCCAGAGAGCTGGAGTCTGTATCTCCTTTCCTTGGATCTGAGCCAGGCTCTGTACTTGTGTTCACCAATGGGATTTTGTGGAGATGCTGTGTAATCTCTAAGACTGAGACTTATGAGCTCTGCATATTTCACAACTTGCTCTTAGAACCTAGCTGTCATGTCAAAAGCCTGATTACGCTGGGCACGGTGGCTCACGCTTGTAATCCAAGCACTTTGGGAGGCCAAGGCAGGTGGATCATGAGGTCAGGAGATCGAGACCATTCTGGCTAACACTGTGAAACACTGTTTCTACTAAAAATACAAACAATTAGCCAGGCGTGGTGGCTGGCTCCTGTAGTCCCAGCTACTCAAGAGGCTGAGGCAGGACAATGGCATGAACCCGGGAGGCAGAGCTTGCAGTGAGCCAAAATTGCACCACTGCCCTCCAGCCTGTGTGACAGAGCCAGACTCTGTCTCAAAAAAAAAAAAAAAAAGCCTGATTACCTGGAGATTACGCTGTGAGGAAGCCTGAAATAGCCACATGGAGAGAAAACTTCCCAGCAGGCCCCCAGCTATTCCAGCCATTCCCACTGAGGTGCTAGACAAATGGGTAAAGAAGCCATCATGGATGCTCCAGCCCCAGAAGACGTAACATGCAGTAGAGGAGCCACCCAGCTGAGCCCAGCCAGACTGCAGAATTGGGAGGACTAATAAATACTTGTTGTTTTTAACTACTAAGTTATAGAGTTGTTCATTACCTAGCAAGAGATAACTAAAGCCCTCATTATTTTGCCATTATTTTGAAAATAAGGGCCAGGCATAGTGGCTCATACCTGTAATCCCAGAACCTTGGAAGACCGAGGGAGGAGGGTCACTTGCACCCAGGAGTTAGAGACCAGCCTGGGCAACATTTGTAGAGATGGGACCCCATCTCTACAAATTTTTTTTTTAAAACTTAGATGGGCATGGTGGTGTATGCCTGAGGTCCCATCTACTTGGGAGGGTGAGGCTGGAGAATTACTTGAGCCCAAGAGGTCGAGGATGCAGTAAGCCATGATTACATCATTGCACTCTAGCCTAGGTGACAGAGTGAAACCCTGTCTCAAAAAAAAAAAAAAAAAATCAAATCTGAATCTGATTAAGCCACTTGATATAATTATCAATTTATAGGATATAAACATAATATAAAAATATTTTAAACTATACCACATAGGTAAAATGAGCAAAATCTAGACCACAGTCAACTCTATGGAAAAATGACCCAATTTTTAAAAAATAATTTCAGGAGGGAAAAATAAAAGGAGAAGGAATCTGTAGGTTAAAAAAGATTTTAAGAACATATCTGCCGGGCGCAGTGGCTCACGCCTGTAATCCCAGCACTTTGGGAGGCTGAGGCGGGCAGATCACGAGAGACCCTTCGAGACCATCCTAGCTAACACAGTGAAGCCCCGTCTCTACTAAAAATACAAAAAAATTAGCCAGGCATGGTGGCTGGTGCCTGTAGTCCCAGCTACTCGGGAGACTGAGGCAGGAGAATTGCTTGAACCTGGGAGGCGGAGCTTGCAGTGAGCCGAGATCGCACCACGGCACTCCAGCCTGGGCGACAGAGTGACAGTCTGTCTAAAAAAAAAAAAAAAGAACATATCCATCAATTATAATGTATGTATCCTATTTGGATGCTGATTCAAATAAATAACATGTTAAAATATTATAAAATTTATGAGATAATTGATCTTTTAATCACAGATTAGATATTTGATAATACTAAAGAATTATGGGTTTTTTCAGTCATGATAATGGGTTTGTTATAAAAATATCCTAATGTTTTAGTAATTAATATGAAAGTGTATATAGATGAAGTAATATAAGGTCTAGGATTTGCTTTCCAATAAGAAGGGAGAGGAAAGTGGTTGGACTGCAGGTGGGGCAGGATTGGCCTTAGGTTGGTGATTGTTGGGGTTGAGTGCTGGCTGTCTGGGAGGAGGAGTTACTATTTTGTCAGCTTTAGTGCCTGGTTTACATTTTCTATAATAAAAGTTTTAAAATGTTATATGAGTAGGCCTAATCAGCCTTCACCATTCTTCTGAAAACTCATTGTTCTCAAACATCTCACATGCATCATGTAGTGTTAACTATTTTATATGTACATATATAACATTTTTCTGAGGTCACACCAGCCTGAAGACAAAAATAACAATCACAAAAATGAATTTGTTTGTTCTGCTCCCACCTGCTCTGTAGGAACTTCAGTCCCTTCAGATTCCTCTCAATTTCTTCTCTTCTGCTGTAGCTGTGTTGTCGTCTCTTGTGGCTGTCCCCACTGTGCCACCTACTACTATGTATGCCCATGAGACGGGAGCCTGGCTTCTGTACCCAGAAGACTTTCTCCACAGCCACAGAGGATAGCAGTGCCTTCTGCTGCTGCCAAAACTCTGTCATAACTGCATCTTTTTGAAGCCTTGTGCTCATGGTGGGCTGGACAAGTTAATAAAAGTAGTTAGCTGCCTCCTCAGCTCACTACAACTACCTTAATTGCACCATGCAATCTGTCCTAGATAGGTCCCTGGCCATCAGGCTGCTGCAGTGTGATCCTTTCTTTTGGCTGCAGAGAGTTGGACCAAGGTAGGGCCCGTAGCTAACATGAGCCAAATGCTTCCATGAAAATGCAGGATTGAGAGAAACAGTCTGTGTAGCTAGAGTTATACTCAGTGACCTTAGGCAGCCAAGTGTAATGCCATAGTTAACCAGGAAAAAAAGTTGGATAAGAATAAAATATTTTAAAACCATATTTCCTAGTTTTCTTCCTGGAAAAGATCTAGAAACAATGACCAACCAAATAGCAATGAGCACACCTAGAACTCAGATTGCGGTCTCCAAACATCACTTCCAACCAAAAGGAGTCAGAACTCTTTGGGGGAAATGTCTGGCTCTATGTCTGGGTCAAAGAATATTCCAGGTAAGCCTGAAACATCTTGATACACCAGAAATCAAGGAGTCAGTCAGGGTGGTGTTAAAAGTATTCAGAAGGAAACTTAAATAATCTCCCACTGGCCAAATAAGAGACAATTTGAGCTCAGTTTTCTGAGAAACAGTGTCTCCCATGCACTGAGAGAGGCAGAGAAGAGAGATGGAGGAACAGTACTTTCATGCTCCTGATTGTTTCCATTCCTGGTTTAGATCTTTGTGGTCTCCAGCTACATTCTTGTCTGTGGGTATTGAAAGCCAACTCACATCCTTAAAATAAATTTTCATTTCCTGTTTAATCCAGCCTCAGTTAGTGTTGGTTACTTGCAACCAAAGAGTACAGATAAACAGTGTAGAACTCTTCCATTAATTTACATCTTGCTTTGTTTGTTTGTTTTTGCAGTCTCCTTTGCCTAGGCTTCTGAATGTGTTTTCTCATTCAGAAGTTTTCTCCACTAGACTATGGAACAAGGGCTAGGCTCGGAATTACCAACCCCCTCCTCCCCAGGTACCAAACTGTCACTCTGTCCTGAAACTAAACTTGTGTGCTTTGAATTTCCCTTTTCTTTAGATGGATTGTTTCCTAGGAGACTTCCTAGGCCTCTCATGTAAACATGCCCTTGTTGGGCACAGCCTGACTGCACCCATGACAAATCTGAGGGGAGCACATTTTAGGATCAAGGTGTGGGTCTTTAGGAACCATGTCTCCTAAATTTTGCAGTAAATCCAGAGAGTACACAGGCTGAGTCAGCCACTTCCTGCCCCCTCCCTGATTATTCTTTACCCAGCATGGAGTAAATGCTTAAACTGTGCTTAGAGACTGATTGATTGGTTGATAGTTGAATAGACAGCCTCACATTTCTGATTTTTTTACCTCCAAGTGTCTTCCTTTACAAAACAGATACCTTGACATAATAAGAACTTATATTAGTTTAAAGTAATTGCTTATATTTTTCAAATTGCTCTGCTTGCTGTCTTCTAAAAGTGGCTAGAGTGCAATAAGGGAAGAGCTGTAAAAGCTGTCTATCACCAGATGTATTCTCTTATCTGCAGATATGAGTGGCTTCTAGTTTACAAGAAGCCTAATAATAAACTAGAACCCACATCACTGGCCAAAGGTAATAGGAAAAGGGAGTTTTCTGCTCTCAACTAGAGATAAACTTTTGATTGCTTAGGCTCTTGTTATGAAACCAAGTGGCAGAACATGCTGAGTACCTCTCTCCCCCAGAAAAATAGAACAAAAATTCCAGAATGTAGGCAAAACTCATCTTTGTGAATATTTCTGTCTCTCTCATCTCTAATGTTTAAGCCACTGAAGGGAAATGAGGCATGGGGCTCTCTGGAAGGGGACAGGCATGCAAATTAGGAAAAGAATCGATAAATTTTTGTGTGTTGAGTCCAAGAACTCTTGATCTCAAGATGTGATAGGGGAAAGAAGCATATAGGAATACATAAGGAAACAATTAATTGCCTTCCTTAAGTTGGAAGGTGAGAGCTGAGGCAGATGGAAGTCTCCACAGAAATCAGCCTTTATGGGTTTTCAATGTAGTTACTTTGGAAGAATATTAAGAGAGTAGGCAGCAGTTGTGGAAGTGATCAGGAGAGTGTAGGGGGTAATGAGGAAAGTCATGTTTTAGAGAAGCATTAGGACAGAGAGGAGCAATTTGCAGGCTTTTCTGTGCAGCCTAAATAACACCTTGTGTTTTCTCTGCAAAATGATCAAAGAAAGACAAGATTCAGAATGGAAGTCTCAACCACCCTAATGTCCAGCAAAGGCTCTGGCGATAAAAGATTCTGTGATTGTGAAATGGCTGAGGTGGCCACCCCTAGTTCTCTTCATCAAAGCCACCACACAGATGTTCAATAGAGGAAGACAGATGACCATCTGCAGATCATGATTGTGCTTTTCTGCTCAAAGAAGAACTAGTGAGGGGGGTCACCAGCCAGAACCAATGTGTTCACTTCAGCTGATGGAATGGCTAGGCAGTGCCTACAACCGTGTATAGAGGCTCTATTACTGGAAAGGGGTCCCAATTTAGACCCCAAGGGAGCGTTCTTGGATCTCACACAAGAAAGAATTCAGGCTGAGTCCATAGAATAAAACGAAAGCAAGTTTATTAAGGAAGTAAAGGAATAAAAGAATGGCTACTCCATAGGCAGAGTGGTTGCCCAGTTTTATGGTTATTTCTTGATTATATGCTAAACAACAGGTGGATTATTAATGCCTCCCCTATATAGGGTGGCTTCCTGACATTGCCATGGCATTTGTAAAGCGTCATGGGGCTGGTGGGAGTGTAGCAGTGAGGATGACCGGTGGTCACTCTTCTGTCACCATCTTGGTTTTGGTGGGATTTGGCTGGGTTCTTTACTGCATCCTATTTTATCCGCAAGGTCTTTATGACCTGTATCTTGTGCCGACCTCCTATCTCATCCTGTGACTTACTTAGAATGCTAACCACCTAGCAATACAGCCCAGTAGGTCTCAGCCTTGTTTTACCCAGCCCTTATTCAAGATGGAGTGGCTCTGGTTTAAACACCTTTGACAGTTCCAGTGAAGTTGTAGGGTACAGGGTTTTGAGGGTTGACTTAGTTCTCTCATCTTTCAGAATCAGCCTCCTCCCAGATAAAAAATATTTTCTGTGAAAGAAAAGATTTCAACTTTGAATGTAAGCTTCAGTTCCTGTCATCTGTAATATCAGGGTAATAATATGCCTAACTCATGAGGTTGATTAGATAAATAAAATGAAATGATCTAAAGCTCTTAGCACAATCCTTGGCACATATAGGTGCCATATGTTAGCCTTAATATTCGTACAAGTATTTAATGTTTTATTCAAGAGATTCCCTATCAATCAGGAAAATAGAAGTGATTCTAGATCTTTCAAGTAGAGAAATTTAACATAGGGCATTTGTTATACAGATAATGGAAGAGCTGAGAAGCCAAACTGTGGGACAGTGAGGAATTCCAGAGATTAGCAACAACAGGAAACTGCTATCATTTTAGTGCTGGAGCAACAATAGGAGGAGAGCTCAGAGGCCAGGGCCATCAAGCTGGCTTGAGAAACATGGTGGGGCCTGTCCAGTGGGAGGTGGGGCAATAAGGAAAGGATCTGTTTCTCCAGAGCTAGAATCACAGGAGAAAAGTAACCATTGCTACTATTCCCTACTGAGATACCACTGAAGTAACGCATGACAAGAAGAAATACCCTGCTCTCTTCATTCTTCCCACCCTCCAGCCTTCCACTTGTGTCTCCCACTAGCTGAGTCCACCCAGGAGCACATTGGCAAGAGAGCCTGAGAAGTATGGTTTTTTACCATACAGAGTAGAGCTGCAAAAGGGCATGGAGTGGACAGCCAACAAGCAAATGACCAGCATTCTTTACAAAGACTGGAGAGTTGACTGCTGCAATCCTTGGAAGATGGCAGCGGTGGTCTTTAGTTTTCCTAGCCTCTTTGGCCTTGAGCTTGTCCTCTGATGAATATTTTATGCTCAGCTTGCTCATTCAAGCCTGTTCTCAGAGAATTTCTTCCCTTTCAGGGTTCACTGGCTGGCAATAGTTTAAAAAGCTGCCTCTCAGGGAATTTACAGCATGGACCGAGACGATGAGGTTAGAAAGATATTCTAACAGTGACGTCTTAACATTTCAGGCTTTAGACACGTGAGAGGCTTTTTTCCTCTTTTTTTTTTAAACCCCAGGGTCTTCATTTGTAGAGTCCTGAGAATTGCAGCGCAAAACCTATGTTTTTTAATATTCAGATTGTTTCCTCCGTCATTACTATCCTGTGAGTAGAAAAACAGGGACTGATGTTCCTCAATTTAAAGAAAAGCATAGAATTGAAGAAACTCAATATGACAGATATAATTGATAGAGATGGAATTTGAGTCCACTTTTTCCTGACCTAAAGCCAAGCATCTTCCCACTCTGCATTGTGCCCTTCCCAAGGGAAATACAATGGGTTCAAGGGCAATGTCATTTATTGAAGTAGTCCATTCTTTCTCCCTGTAGAATGACTCCTTTTCACACATTAAATTCTCATACATATGGGGAGCCTGTTTCTGGAGTGTTTTATCTATTTATCTCCAATCCAATTTGTCTAGTCCTGCATAAAAATCATGCTGTCTTAATTAGTTTGGCTTTAGAGTATATTTTAATATGTGGTAAAGAATGTCCCTTCTCCCCTCTATTTTTCCTTATCCTCACTCTTTTTCTCAACATTTTCCTTGTCTCTTTTGTATATTATCTTTTCCGTGATAAACTTGGAATCTATTCATCAAATTTTAAAAATAAATTGTTTGAACTTTTGATTAGGATTGTATTGAATAGCAAATTAATTTTAGGAGAATTGCTATCTTTTCAATATTGAGTCTTTCTATATAACAACATGCAGTATCATTCTATTTATTCAATTCTTTTTTATGTCCTTTGGTAACATTTTATGGCCTTCCTCAAAAAAATCTTGCATATATCTTGTTAGATGTATTCCTAGGCTTACTATGGTTTTGGTTGCAGACACAAACAAGGTATTTCCTCTCATGACATTTTGTAATTGGCTATTGCTGATGTAGAGAAAATTTCCTAGTTGTTGTATGCTCTTGTACCTAATCATCTTCCTAAACTCACTTTTTGTTTTTAATGGCTCTTTAGTGCATTATCCTGGGTTTCTTAGGTAGAGAGTCAAATTGTCTAGCTTTCCTACCATATTTAAGTTGTTCTTCACTTTATGTCTATTTCCCCACAAATACTCTACAATTTGTCTCATTGCCATTATATTCTGTCTTGAATTGTAGGAATGTCTATGCATTTTATTACCTTTAGTAGATTTTCTGAGAGGAAATTGTTTTATTTATCTTTGTACTATCTTTTCCTATTCCTCCAAGATCCCAGCATATTACCTGGCATAAAGCATATAGTAGATGTTCAATAAATGTTTCTGGAATAATTATTCACGCCTTGTAGTGTAGTGAACTATGTATATTAAATCTGGACTAGATTTTGCGGTCAAATAAGATTTTGTTTTAACCTATGTGTCTCAACCTGACTTCTTTGTATCATTCTTTAGATACAAAGAAGTCAGATTGAGACACATAGGTTAAAACAAAATGTTATATGCCCACACCAGGCAAATAAATGGGAATCACATGGCCCTGAGGCAGGAGGGCTTCAGAGTACAATAGGGAGCAAATATGTCAAATTCTTGGCTTTGGAATTTAAAATTAGGGCTTAGACAAAAAGGCAAACTTTGCAGTCCAATGAGGTTTCATTCTCCTTCCCATTTAGCCCTGCACACACATACACACACACGTGCACACACACACACACATACACACACCCTAAGACTAGACAAAGATTCCACAATGAGGAAAGGGGAGGTACTGTAAAC
The DNA here is from genome assembly GCF_000001405.40 of Homo sapiens. NCBI lineage: Eukaryota > Metazoa > Chordata > Mammalia > Primates > Hominidae > Homo > Homo sapiens. The sequence continues at coordinate 139,816,635 of NC_000003.12, forward strand.
TGCACCCAAATCAGCACGAAGAGTTTCATGCCTGGAGTTCTGTCTGAGGAGGCCCCATCCGTGACTCCATCGATCTTTTTGTACATGAACAGAAGACATGGTCCCAGCTAAGGAACAATATTAGTTACATTTAAAGATGCAGCTAAAGATAATTACCCATCTGCATCAGTCAGCAGCTCAAGTTGATGCAATAGCAAGAGTGATGCCCACCTATGCTCTGAGGTCTTGCTAAGTCTTGATTCTCCCCACCCCATCACTGTGCTCTCCCTGGGCCAGGAAATGCCTAAGTCCCCAGAGAAGAGAAAAGGCCTTGACACCTGCCTTGGTGGCAGTGGCCTAGAAAAAACAGCTCTCCTCCCATGCACTCACCCAACATTTGGCAAAGGGGGCTAGAAAGGACCTGCTCCAGGCGTCCCACTGGCAGAGGCAGAGGCAAGACAATCACCTGTTAGATCTTCCTCTATCCCTTTATTTTGAGCCTATGTGTGTCTCTGCACGTGAGATGGGTCTCCTGAATACAGCACACTGATGGGTCTCGACTCTTTATCCAATTTCTCAGTCTGTGTCTTTTAATTGGAACATTTAGCCCATTTACATTTCAGGTTAATATTGTTATGTGTGAATTTGATCCTGTCATTATGATGTTAGCTGTTTATTTTGCTCATTAGTTGATGCAGTCTCTTCCTAGCATCAATAGTCTTTACAATTTGGCATGTTTTTGCAGTGGCAGGTACCAGTTGTTCCTTTCCATGTTTAGTGCTTCCTTCAGGAGCTTTTGTAAGGCAGGCCTGGTGGTGACAAAATCTCTTAGCATTTGCTTGTCTGTAAAGGATTTTATTTCCCCTTCACTTATGAAGCTTAGTTTGGCTGGATATGAAATTCTGGGTTGAAAATTCTTTCCTTTAAGAATGTTAAATATTGGCCCCACTCTCTTCTGGCTTGCAGAGTTTCTGCCGAGAGATCCGCTATTAGTCTGATGGGCTTCCCTTTGTGGGTAACCCGACCTATCTCTCTGGATGCCCTTAACAATTTTTCCTTCATTTCAACTTTGGTGAATCTGACAATTACGTGTCTTGGAGTTGCTCTTCTCGAGGAGTATCTTTGTGGTATTCTCTGTATTTCCTGAATTTGAATGTTGGCCTGCCTTGCTAGGTTGGGGAAATTCTCCTGGATAATAGCCTGCAGAATGTTTTCCAACTTGGTTCCATTCTCCCTGTCACTTTCAGGTACACCAATCAAACGTAGATTTGGTCTTTTCACATAGTCCCATATTTCTTGGAGGCTTTGTTTGTTTCTTTTTACTCTTTTTCCTCTAAACTTCTCTTCTCTCTTCATTTCATTCATCTGATCTTCAATCACTGATACCTTTCTTCCCATTGATCGAATTGGGTACTGAAACTTGTGCATGTGTCACGTAGTTCTCATGCCATGGTTTTCAGCTCCATTAGGTCATTTAAGGTCTTCTCTATGCTGTTTATTCTAGTTAGCCATTTGTCCAATCTTTTTTCAAGGTTTTTAGCTTCTTTGTGATGGGCTCAAACATCCTGTTTTAGCTCGGAGAAGTTTGTTATTACTGATGGTCTGAAGCCTTCTTCTCTCAACTTGTCAAAGTCATTCTCCATACAGCTTTGTTCTGTTGCTGGCGAGGAGCTGCGTTCCTTTGGAGGAGAAGAGGTGTGCTGATTTTCAGAATTTTTCAGCTTTTCTGCTCTGGTTTCTCCCCATCTTTGTGGTTTTACCTACCTTTGGTCCTTGATGATGGTGACATACAGATGGGGTTTTGGTGTGGATGTCCTTTCTGCTTGCTAGTTTTCCTTCTAAGAGTCAGGACCCTCAGCTGCAGGTCTGTTGGAGTTTGCTGGAGGTCCACTCCAGACACTGTTTGCCTGGGTATCACCAGAGGAGGCTGCAAAACAGCAAAAATTGCAGAACAGCAAATGTTGCTGCCTGCTCCTTCCTCTGGAAGCTTCATCTCAGAGGGGCACCCAGCCGTATGAGGTGTCAGTTGGCCCTACTGGGAGGTGTCTCCCAGTTAGGCTACTCGGGGGTCAGGGACCCACTTGAGGAGGCAGTCTGTCCATTCTCAGATCTCAAACTACCAAGCAAATGGAAAACAAAAAAAGCAGGAGTTGCAATCCTAGTCTCTGATGAAACAGACTTTAAACCAACAAAGATCAAAAGAGACAAAGAAGGCCATTACATAATGGTAAAGGTATCAATTCAACAAGAAGACCTAACTATCCTAAATATATATGCACCCAATACAGGAGCACCCAGATTCATAAAACAAGTCCTTAGAGACCTACAAAGAGACTTAGACTCTCACACAATAAAAATGGGAGACTTTAACACCCCACTGTAACCATTAGACAGATCAACGAGACAGAAAGTTAACAAGGATATCCAGGACTTGAACTCAGCTCTGGACCAAGTGGAACTAATAGATATCTACAGAACTCTCCACCCCAAATCAACAGAATATATGTTCTTCTCAGCACCATATCACACTTATTTCAAAATTGACCACACAGTTGGAAGTAAAGCACTCCTCAGCAAATGTAAAAGAATAGAAATTATAACAAACTATCTCTCAGATCACAGTGCAATCAAACTAGAACTCAGGATTAAGGAACTCACTCAAAACCGCTCAACTACATGGAAACTGAACAACCTGCTCCTGAATGACTACTGGGTACATAACAAAATGAAGGCAGAAATAAAGATGTTCTTTGAAACCAATGAGAACAAAGACACAACACACCAGAATCCCTGGGACACATTTAAAGCAGTGTGTAGAGGGAAATTTATAGCACTAAATGCCCACAAGAGAAAACAGGAAAGATCTAAAATTGACACCCTAACATCACAATTAAAAGAACTAGAGAAGCAAGAGCAAACACATTCAAAAGCTAGCAGAAGGCAAGAAATAACTAAGTTCAGAGCAGAACTCAAGGAGATAGAGACCCAAAAAACCCTTCAAAAAATCAATGAATCCAGCAGCTGGTTTTTTGAAAAGATCAACAAAATTGATAGACCGCTAGCAAGATTAATAAAGAATAAAAGAGAGAAGAATCAGATAGACGCAATAAAAAATGATATAGGGGATATCACCACTGATCCCACAGAAATGTAGACTACCATCAGAGAATGGTACCTCCACGCAAATAAACTAGAAAATCTAGAAGAAATGGATAAATTCCTGGACACATACACCCTCCCAAGACTAAACCAGGAAGAAGTTGAATCCCTGAATAGACCAATAACAAGCTCTGAAATTGAGGCAATAATTAATAGCCTACCAACCAAGAAAAGTCTAGGACCAGACGGATTCACAGCTGAATTCTACCAGAGGTACAAAGAGGAGCTGGTACCATTCCTTCTGAAACTATTCCAATCAATAGAAAAAGAGGGAATCCTCCCTAACTCAGTTTATGAGGCCAGCATCATCCTGATACCAAAGCCTGGCAGAGACACAACCAAAAAAGAGAATTTTAGACCACTGTCCCTGATGAACATCGATGCAAAAATCCTCAGTAAAATACTGGCAAACCGAATCCTGCAGCAAATCAAAAAGCTTATCCACCACCATCAAGTTGGCTTCATCCCTGGGATGCAAGGCTGTTTCAACATACACAAATCAATAAACATAATCCATCATATAAACAGAACCAAAGACAAAAACCACGAGATTATCTCAATAGATGCAGAAAAGGCCTTTGACAAAATTCAACAACCCTTCATGCTAAAAACTGTCAAGAAACTAGGTAGTGATGGAGTGTATCTCAAAATAATAAGAGCTATTTATGACAAACCCACAGCCAATATCATACTGAATGGGCAAAAACTGGAAGCATTCCCTTTGAAAACTGCCACAAGACAGGGATGCCCTCTCTCACCACTCCTATTCAATATAGTGTTGGAAGTTCTGGCCAGGGCAATCAGGCAGGAAAAAGAAATAAAGGGTATTCAATTAAGAAAAGAGGAAGTCAAATTGTCCGTGTTTGCAGATGACATGATTGTATATTTAGAAAACCCCATCATCTCAGCCCAAAATCTCCTTAAGCTGATAAGCAACTTCAGCAAAGTCTCAGGATACAAAATCAATGTGCGAAAATCACAAGCATTCCTATATACCAATAACAGACAAACAGAGAGCCAAATCCTGAGGGAACTCCCATTCACAATTGCTTCAAAGAGAATAAAATACCTAGGAATCCAACTTACAAGGGATGTGAAGGACCTCTTCAAGGAGAACTACAAACCACTGCTCAACAAAATAAAAGAGCACACAAACAAATGGAAGAACATTCCATGCTCATGGATAGGAAGACTCAATATCATGAAAATGGCCATACTGCCCAAGGTAATTTACAGATTCAATGCCATCCCCATCAAGCTACCAATGATTTTCTTCACAGAATTGGAAAAAACTACTTTAAAGTTCATATGGAACCAAAATAAAACCCACATTGCCAAGACAATCCTAAGCCAAAAGAACAAAGCTGGAGGCATCAGGCCACCTGACTTCAAACTATATTACAAGGCTACAGTAACCAAAACAGTATGGTACGGGTACCAAAACCAGACCAATGGAACAGAACAGAGCCCTCAGAAATAATACCACACATCTACAACCATCTGAGCTTTGACAAACCTGACAAAAACAAGAAATGGGGAAAGGATTCCCTATTTAATAAATGGTGCTGGGAAAACTGGCTAGCCATATGTAGAAAGCTGAAACTGGATCCCTTCCTTACACCTTATACAAAAATTAATTCAAGATTAATTAAAGACTTAAATGTTAGACCTAAAACTATAAAAACCCTAGAAGAAAACTTAGGCAATACCATTCAGGACATAGGCATGGGCAAGGACTTCATGAATAAAACACCAAAAGCAATGGCATCAAAAGACAAAATTGACAAATGGGATCTAATTAAACTAAGGAGCTTCTGCACAGCAAAAGAAACTACCATCAGAGTGAACAGGCAACCTACAGAATGGGAGAAAATTTTTGCAATCCACCTATCTTACAAAGGGCTAATATCCAGAATCTACAAAGAACTTAAACAAATTTGCAAGAAAAAATCAAACAACCCCATCAAAAAGTGGGCAAAGGATATGAACAGACACTTCTCAAAAGAAGATATTTATGCAGCCAATAGACACATGAAAAAATGCTCATCATCACTGGCCATCAGAGAAATGCAAATCAAAATCACAATGAGATACCATCTCACACGAGTTAGAATGGCGATCATTAAAAAGTCAGGAAACAACAGGTGCTGGAGAGGATGTGGAGATATAGGAACACTTTTACACTGTTGGTGAGACTGTAAACTAGTTCAACCATTGAGGAAGACAGTGTGGCGATTCCTCAAGGATCTAGAACTAGACATACCATTTGACCCAGCCATCCCATTACTGGGTATATACCCAAAGGATTATAAATCATGCTGCTATAAAGACACATGCACCTGTATGTTTACTGCGGCACAATTCACAATAGCAAAGACTTGGAATCAACCCAAATGTCCATCAATGATAGACTGGATTAAGAAAATGTGGCACATATACACCATGGAATACTATGCAGCCATAAAAAATGATGAGTTCATGTCCTTTTTAGGGACATGGATGAAGCTGGAAACCATCATTCTCAGCAAACTATCACAAGGACAGGAAACCAAACACTGCATGTTCTCACTCATAGGTGGGAATTGAACAGTGAGAACACCTGGACAAAGGGTGGGGGACATCACACACTGGGGCCTGTCGTGGGGTGTAGGGAGTCGGGAGGGATAGCATTAGGAAATATACCTAATGTAAATGACGAGTTAATTGGTGCAGCACACCATCATGGCACATGTATGCATATGTAACAAACCTGCACGTTGTGCACATGTACCCTAGAACTTAAAGTATAATAATAATAAAAAAAACCATACAAGTACCAAAAACAAAATAAACCACCCCCACGCCCCCGCCAAAATAAAAGACAATCACCCATTTCTGATGCATCTGTTAAGGGCAAAGATTGGCTAAGTCAATGGCGACTCTTCCTCTGTACCTGCTCAACACTGCCATGGCTTGGCAAAGGTCCTGGTACATGAAATATGTTCAGTAGATATCTGGAGGTTGCTGCTCCAATAATGCAGATGGAGAGATTGCTTAAATCATTAGGACTAGAGGAAGTCCCTTACCCTCCTCCTTTCCTAACTAGCCAGCTGCCCCAGCACTCCCACCTAGTAGATACCTGCCAGGGATAAGGCTATTAACTCTGCTACAAAGGCCTTCCTGGGGAGACTGCTGCAGTGATGGTTCCAGAAACTTAGTCTAGTTAGCTCTTTCCCCATGGAGGAATTAACCACAGGGAACTGGACCTGGGTTTCCAGGCAACGGAAGTGCTTCAAATCTGGGTTTTGATGGCCCTGTGAACACCCTTCGGGTGCAGTGCCACACTGGGATTTAAAAACGGGAAAAATTAGCACAATGTAGTGTGGAGAAGTGAATCGGGCATCATTAGGGTGTTTCAAGCTGACCCACCACCCTGAGTATTGTAACTTTAGAAAATCAAAGAATGTCTAAACCGGACGGGCTCCAGGGATGCTAAATCCAACTTTATTTTAGTAGTGCTGGGTCCCCAAGAGGGGCAGAGGGAGACCTGTGGTCTCACTGCCAGTCAGTATCACCTACAGATGGCACCCCCAGGCTCTAAAGTCTTTCCCACCCCTCTGACCACAAAGCAGCTTTAATCGCCTGTCTTTTCACCCGAGCCAGTGCAGCCTTGTGTTTATACCTGCATCACTGCCTTCAGAGGGAGTGCTCATGGAAGTAGAGATGTCTTCCTCACTTTCTTGGAACACCCATCATGCGGGCTGGTGAACAGCAATCAGCCCACAAACATTTGTTGAGTGAATATAGGAACTTCACCCACTCACTGTTGAGTCAAATCAGGAGGCTAGAAGATGAAATGGAGCCGTTCTTCCACCTCCTCACCCCTGCCCTGACAGCTGTGTGCTCTGGAGTAAGCCAGGTAGCCTCATCTGAAAAATGGGAGGAGTCATGGATGCAGCTAGAGCCCAGGAGGATCATGCAGTAAAAGTGCCCCGACAGCTGTAAAGTCTTCCACAATGTCAATGTGCTTTTCTTTTTGCAAATGTGCTTGGCTCTCTCTAATCTTATATTAGTTTCTTAGGACTGCTGTAGCAAATACCACAAACTGGGTGGCTTAAAACAACAGAAATATATTTCCCCAAAGTTTGGGAGGACAAAAGTCTGAAATCAAAGTGTCAGCAGGGTTGGTTCCTTCTGGAGGCTCTGAGGGAGAATTCTTCCTCGCCTCTTGTAGCTTTTGGTGGTTGTCAGTGACATTCAGTGTTCCTTGGCTTATAGGTGCAGTATTCTAGTCTCTGCCTCCATGATCACATCAGCTTTTCCTCCTTGTCTCTGCATGTACTTTTCTGTCTCTTTTAAAAATACTCTCACTGGGTTTAGTACACACCCTAATCCTGTACGATCCTATCTCGACCCTTATCTAAATTATACCTATTTTTTCTTGTTATTTGTCATTTATTTATTTTATTTTTTGTAGATCTGGGATCTCACTGCATTGCCCAGGCTGGTCTGGAACTACTGGTCTCAAGTGATTCTCCTACCTTGGCCTCCCAAAGCACTGGAATTATAGATGTCAGCCACTATGCTTGGGACAAAGACTATTTCTAAGTTAGGTCACATTCTGAGGTTCCAGGTAGACATTAATTTTGGGGTGACACTATCCAACCCACTATAGATCTCTAATTCCATTAACCAGGTGTGGTTCTCTGCTCCCACTTACTTAGGTACACACCTTTTAGTGATAACCAGGTATGCAAGCAACAGCCCCCAAAACCTGCAAAGGAGCAGGAAAGGGAAGAGAGGTGACTACTTGTTGAGGGTCTTCATGTACTTAGGGCCTCAATAGGCCCTATACAGCTCTCAATTTCTTTAATCAATCTTCCTAGCAGCCCGTGAGAAATATTACTGTCTTCAGCTTCCTAAAGGAGAAAACAGAGGCCTGGAGGGATTAAAAGACTTTTCTAAGATTTTAGAGGGCATGTTAGGGTTCAGGCCCAGGGCTGTCTAACCCAAGGCCTAATTCCTTCTATTACATCCATCATACATGAGTGAGCACTGGGCATGAGGATACGTCAGTGAAAGGGGCCCTGTAACATGGACCTTACATTTTGGCTGGGGGAGACAGGCAATGAATACATAGGACCATGTTGGGAAGTGCTAAGTACTCTGATGATAACACAGCAGGGTGAGGTGACAGAGGTCTAGGGAGAGTGGTGTTCAGCAAAAACTTCTCTGGGGAGAGACATCTACACTGAGGCTCAGCTTCAAGAAGGAGACAACTGTGAGTGGAGACCAGGCAGGAAAAACAGGAAGTGCAAAGGCCCTGAGCTGAAAATGAATTTTACCAAGTTAAAAGAAAAGAAAAAAATCCAGCGGAACTGTGTGAAGTGGGGGTGAAGGATGGTCCGAGATCAGAGGTGGGTGGGCAGTGGCCAGATCAAGCATGGCCTTGTGAGTGAGGAATCGGTATTAGTGGGAAGCCTTGGGAAGAATTGGATTGGGAGTATATTGTGCTCTAAAGTGGACCATCTGTGCTCCTTTGTGGTGCACTGATTGTACTAGGTCAAGGGGAAAGCGGGAGACTGGTTAGGAGACTATCATGAGTTATCCAGTGAGAGAGGAGAGGTGCTGGAGGCCTGGCCTTGGATGGAGGCCATGGAGATAGATAGAGGGCAGGTGAGGGAATTTGGGGGATAGAGCTCGATCGGGTGATCAGTTAGATAGAGGCTGTGATTTGGAGGAGTAAGCAGGAGTGGTTCCTCTGTTTTGACTTGAGCCATTGGGTGGAATGAGGTTCCCCTTACCAAGAAGGGGTGTCTGGTAAAGGTGAGAGTTCACCATGTGTGGGAAGACATCCTGCCACCCCACTTCCTTCTTCATCCTACCCGAGATAACATGGTAAGATGTTAGCTGCCATCCAATTCCCTGTGCACATTAGACAAACACATTACTTTCCTTTTGTCAGTTGCCTGGAAGTAGAGCACTGAGGGAAACGAAAGCTGTGTTCTATGGAGGGTGAAGAGAGAGGGGGTGGATTCTGGGGCCTGGGACACCCCTGAAAGGCAGGTTGAGGAGACGGGGACACTGCTGGGGCAGCTTGAGGACAGGAGGGCTGCAGGCATAGAAGAGCAGGGCCCAGCATGTGGAAACTGAGATGGGGAGGGCAAATGTCACTGCGATGGCCTGAATGTTTGTCTCCTCCAAAACTCATCTTGAAATTTAATCCCCAAAGTAGCAGTATTGAGAGGTGCGGCCTTTAAGAAGTGATTAAGTCATGAGGGCTCTGCCTCATGGATGTATTATTTCATTTGTGGATAATGAATTAATGGGTTATCACAGGAGTGGGGCCGGTGGCTTTATAAGAAAAGAAATAGCAATCTGAGCTAACACACTCAGCCCCCTCATCATGGGATGCCCTGCACTGCTTTGGGACTCTGCAGAAAGTCTCCCCACTCCCACCCAGCAAGAAGGCTCTTATCAGATGTGGCCCCTTGACCTTGGACTTCTCAGCCTCTAGAACTATAAGAATAAATTTTATTTCTTATAAATTACCAGTTTCAGGCACTCTGTTATAAACAACAGAAAATGAACTAAAACAATCACCAATTTGATAGTGTGAGGAATAGCAGCCTGAGGAATGGGGTCAGAAACTGGCAGGGGCAAGAGCAGACTGCAGGTTGTGGATGGAGCAATTGGGAGGAAGAGTCGGGATGCATCAGTTAACACCCTTTGGTATGGTGCTGGCAGATGGCACAGTGCAGGCATGGGGCCTCAATGAACCCCTTAGGGTGGCCCTGTTCTTGTAGACCATGACCCTAAGAAAAGCAGCTAAGAGGTCCACCAAGTTGGCCATGTCTGAAATCATCTTGCATGGGACACTTCCTCCTTTTCACCTCCCACATTTCCTGAGGGATTTCAAGTTTAACAGGTAAGGAAAATCTTTAGCTAAAGGATGAAACTCTGAAGGTGGCATATCAGATGTCAGCCAGAAGTAGGGAGAACATCTCACAGACATCAGGCTCCTACACACCCCTTAGATCACACCATGCAAGCTGCCACCCTCCCTCTCCACTTGCAAATACAGCCTGTTTATATCTCTATCCATCAGAATATTCTTTTTTTTTATACTTTAAGTTTTAGGGTACATATGCACAACGTGCAGGTTAGTTACATATGTATACATGTGTCATGTTGGTGTACTGCACCCATTAGCTCATCATTTAACATTAGGTATATCTCCTAATGCTATCCCTCCTCCCTCCCCCCACCCCACAACAGGCCCCAGTGTGTGATATTCCCCTTACTGTGTCCATGTGTTCTCATTGTTCAATTCCCACCTATGAGCAAGAACATGTGGTGTTTGGTTTTTTGTCCTTGCGATAGTTTGCTGAGAATGATGGTTTCCAGCTTCATCCATGTCCCTACAAAGGACATGAACTCATCATTTTTTATGGCTGCATAGTATTCCATGGTGTATATGTGCCACATTTTCTTAATCCAGTCTATCGTTGTTGGACATTTGGGTTGGTTGCAAGTCTTTGCTATTGTGAATAGTGCTGCAATAAACATATGTGTGCATGTGTCTTTATAGCAGCACAGAATATTCTATTAATCAGATCATCTCTCTCCCCAAACACACATTGTCTGTATCAGGGGCCCTTGTAGACACTAAGTTTAGATGTAAATACTTAAAAATGGTTATTCATGCTACATATATTCCATAAAGAATCTAAGGAAACTTATGAATGAGGAGAGTTAAGGCAAAGATTTTCTAAATGGCTTTCTGAAAGTACATAAAAGAAGGAAGGAGGAACTTATACCAGGAAATCAGTAGGAGAGATAGTGACTCTAAATTTAGCTCAAAGCTCATGGCATCCCAAGAAAAAAGGAAAGTACACTTGTTTGTTTTGTCCTCCGTGCCTGAAAATGGCAAGCCTTGCATAAGTAAACATCTGGGGAAGCACTGTGCCATCCTGGAGGGAAAAAGTGCCTTGGACATAGACAAAGATCTGAGATTCAGATGTGACATTGGGAAAGACGAATTTCTTTGAGTACAGGGTGTATCTTCTGTAAAATGAAAGCAATTATTGTAAGCAGGGTGCCTAGTATGCACTGCCCCCATTCTTGGCTCATAATTCTAGAAGGGGATGTGTCATGAGGACCTTATATAAGAACCTATTGGTAACAAGACACAATGCCATCTGGTCAAATCCGCCTCCTCTCTGGCCTCATGACAAAACTGGCTCCTGGAAGTATAGTCTTCCCAAAGGAAAGAAAAACACCCTTAGAGACCTGGAAGTGGGAGCAGAGAAGCTCCCCTCTGCCTTGGACTGATGTTTCAGGCACCCAGCTGCTGCTGAAGTGAAGGTAATTCTGTCTGGGTCTGCAGTGTGTCTTGGAACAAAAGGCTGGCAGCATTGGAAGCTGCTGAAGCCTCCTACATTCCTTAGAAAGCCCAAACACAACCACACACTTCTGAAGCTGGCCAAGCTTCTGTCTGGATCATCCCACCATGTTCTGTAAAATCCTACTTCTTCTGGCACCTCTTTTATAGGATCAGTGTCCTCATGGAAACCCTCTTCCGTCCCCTGTCCTATGTCAGGCCTCCTGGGGGCAGAAAATTAGATTGCAAAATCATTTCTTGCTGCTCGCTTCTTATAAAAACTGCACCTCTCCTGCCCCCAGGAAGGCATTGCTCTCTGCTAGGGACACTGAGAAAAGGAAGAGAAACAAACTCTTAACAAGATAACACCAATAATATTAATAATGACAGCAGTCAGCATTTATTGAATGTCATGTTATACCAAGCATATTAAAAGGACTGTCTCATTTAATCCTCAGGATGACTCATTTCTATCTCTCTTTTACACAGCGGCTCAGAGAAATTCAGCAACTTGTTCAGAGTCACACTGCTGTTACATAATGGGGAAGGGAGTAAATTCATAAGTCTGGAGTATCAGCCACTTCTCTTATCCATGTAATGGTTACCCTAGGTTTTTCCTAATAGGAACATTTTATCATAAAAGAGCTCTTTTATCCTATAAATGTATGCACTAATTATAAAATTAGCTATTAGTGAAAGAGGTATTTTGAGTTAAGGAGGACTGTCGTAGGGCCCCTTAGATGACACCTTGGATATTTTGTCTCTTTGTGCCTCAGTTTCCTCATCTATAAAATAGAGATAGTAATACATACACACTTCAGGGGTCATTGTGAGGTGTAAATGAGTTACTGTATGTAAAGTGCTTAGAACAGTGCCTGGCACAGGGTAGGTGCTATATGAATGTGATTATTATCACAGTTGTTATTGTCAGGGTGGTGACTTCCATCTTCAGTCATATCTCAAAATTGTCCTCCTATGAGCAAACAGGTGGGTTCTCAGGAGAAGGAGAGCAGCAGGTACCACCTGTACTCCCCTGTTCTGGCTCTTCTGCCAAAGAGAAGAACAAAAAAGTCCTGGCCAAGCATAGATGAGCTGGATCTTTCTAGCTAGGGGAAAGAAGAGGAATCCCAGGCAACCTGCAGTGTTTCCCGACATCCCAGGATACAGCCCTCCTGTGGTGCTGATGCTGGGCCAGGTTGAATGCCATTATTTTCTATAGGAAAGGGAACAGTAGGTTCTCCAGCAATCCATGTGTCTGAGGGGAAGGACTGGATCACCCACAGAATTGGACTCAGTAGACTATCAGGTGTATCACTTGTTATGTGTCAAGCTTAAAATGTTACCTGAATTCTGTCTTCTCTCATTCTTCTATTCTTAGTTGGATTATCTGATGCCTTGTGGACAGGGTGTGTGACAAGGACACATGGGGAAAGAAAAATTTGCCCTTGGTGTAGTAGCATGCATGCACTCCTGCCTCCTAACTGCTTGGGTCCACAAGCTTTTCTGGTTATAGCTTTCTATTGCCTTGGGCTGGGCTCCCACACAGATCTAGCCCTTTGGGGACATTCTCTCATTGACCCCTGAGTTCATATACATTTATAACCAGATCATCAGCTTCTGCAGGGCAGTGGTTGTATGTTTGATTCCCACTCTGTGCATGGCCCTGTGTCAAACACTCAGTATCACAGGACCACAGAGGACCTCTAGGAGGTTCAGGTGACAGGGACTGTCAGTGTCTTGCCTCCTTGGGAGGCTTGATCCTTCTCAAAGAATCATAACATCACAGGAAACTAAGAAAATGTGAGCCCATTTGGTGAGTGCAGATTCAAACACATCATAATTTTTCAGATACTGCTAATTAGCCTAATTAGCAAGGTCAATTTGGGCCAGCTAACCACTGTGCCATCTCTTCACCTGTATTGTTCAATTCATGAAATGCTTACTTGGCACCCACTCCAGGCCAAGCACTGTAGCTAGGGCCCAAGACATGTAGAATTAAAGAGGCACAAACCTGACCCCAGAAGCTGACCTAAAGGAGGGACGTCTAACAGGGAAATGGCTGTGTTGCCAAATGAAGGTGGAGCAGTAAAGTGCAAGGTGGTGGTGTCATGTGCAAGGCACAGTGTAGTGCTTCATACATGAGCTTGGGGCTCATGCAGAAAGCATGGGGCATTGCATAAAGCTTGGGGCATTACCGAGATAGTAATACTTCTTCTGTAGCACTTTCATGAGGATTACATGCCAACAGATGTATATATATTAGCTGACTTAAACATGGAAACACACCTATGGCCAGGGTACTATTACACATTTTATTATACATTGTAAGTGCCTGGCAAATTTTAATTGCTGCTATTATTATATTGAAGTAGCTCAGTTTAAGCAAATTCTGTTGGCAGATGGGCAGGAAGTTCACACAGAAGAGGTGAGGTCTTTGCAGGGTTTTGAAGGGTAAAAAGATGTTCATCAGGCTATCAACAGGGAGAAGGACATTGCAGGTATTGAGATAAACATGTGTCAAAAGCATAGCGGTGAGACTAGCACAGTGTGTTTGAGGAGCTGGGCAGCACCATTTTAGCCTGGCATAGAAAATAGAACACCTAACGGCCTGCTCCCTCGAGCATTTCCCACTTTCCCCTCAGGCTTGTAGAATGGGACTACGGAAACAGCTTCCTTTCCCCTTCATGTAGGAGATGCCAACACCCACTCAATCCCATGGCAGCTCCAGCACAGGCAGGCTGTTGGGTCACTATGCTGGTGACCTTTCTATTCAATCCGCAGCTCCAGCTGTACAAGCCTGGAGGCCCCACTCAGCCAGTGAGGGGAGAGCTAATTGGAAGATGAGGCATCGCAGGAGGCCTGACATCCTTGCCCCAGGCCGTCTCTGGTGCTGCAGCAGATGGCTTGCCTTCTCCGGCCCTTCAGAGACGCCCCCTCACAATCACGGCTCCACAGCTGCCATACGCGAAGGTTAGCTTGGTGCTTCAAATGTGTGCCTGAAAGATTATGTAACTTGCTGGCAGGAGAAAGCCGCTACACTTGGCGAGTTTAGCAAAATTAAATGTGTCAACATTCGGTTTTGAATTTGAAATAGTGCAAATGTCTCCTTAGTCCCATTTGAATAAAAAAAAAGTCAAGATTGGTCATATTCTTTCTAAAATGCTATAGATTGAAAGTGTATTTAACTCATTCATTTATTTAACAAATGTACACGGAAGGCTTATTGTGTGCCAGACAAATGTGATACATTAGGAATCAAACACCGCTGAAGAATCTTTCCCTCAAGGAGTTTACATTCTAGTAGGGCAGGACAGACAATAAATAACTGACACAATACTGACATATGTTCCATGCTATGACAGAAATTGAGAAACGTCATGGAGTAAATTTGAAAAACAAAGCAGGAAAAGGAGATTGGTGTTCTGGGGGTGATGCTGCACGTTAAATAAGGCAGTCAGCCAGGCTTTCACAGAGAAAGTGGAGTTGACATTGATTGTATTTAGGCACCTTTTCACTCTCCTTGTTGGCAAGTGCTTGGTAGGCAGGTCAGGGGGGAGCAGCTGGAACTGCTCTGGGGAGTCTGGAGAGAAGCCTCATTCTTGCCACCTAGGGTGCCCAGTTGTCCCAGTTTGTCTGGACCAAAGGGCTTCCTAGGACATGGGAGATTCAGAGCCAAAACCTAGTAAGTCAAGGAAAATGGAGACAAATGGTCACCCTTATCCCCACACCAGTGGTTTAGTGGACTCTTACTTTTAATTCAGCCCCAGTGAGCCATCAACCTTGCCACATAGAGTGGACTCTGGCTGACCAAAACTTGAGCCGGGTCTTACCTGTTTTTAAAATTCCTCAATGCCTAGTTGATTATTTGTTTTCTTTAACCATTAGGGATTTCATCAAGATCAAGCAGGGAATAACTTTCTCCTCTCCTCCTGGATTTGTAGCAAAACTTTGGGGCTCAGAAGGAAAGCAAAATGAATACCCATTTCTAATGAGCTTTTGAAAGTCTCCAGAGAATTTTTGCTTAGAGACACTGTAGAAGTGTAGAACTGAAAATATTCATCTTAAATGAGGTTTGAACATTCCCCCAATGGTTTCCGTTGCCGACGCTCCTCTGGCACCACAGACATTCAGGGGCTGATTGGATTCAGAGCTCCTCCAAGGCAGGGCTTGCCTTATGCAGCTTACTGCTCCTGGCATTGAGCAGAGGACCTTATCTCTGGTAAGATGTCACTTCACACTTTGTTGGTGTTAATCACATTTTTCATCTCCCAGGCATGTCAAACTCAACTTGTGCAGAATCAAGCTCAGCAATCTCCATTTCCCTTACCCCCAAAACCTGTTCCTTCTCCCAAGTTCCAACTTCAGTGAATGGCTCCATCATCCTCTAATTACCCAAGCCAGAAGCCTACTGACTCCTCTCTCACTCCCACAACTCACGAATCACTCAGCCTTACCTGTGTCCTGTCTCCCAAACTTGCTCTCTTGTCCTCATTACCATGGCCACTGCTCAAGTCCAAGTTCCAATCACCTGGCACCTAAGATGATGGGAAAATCATCTCATTGGTCTTCCTATTGCCTCCCCAAATGGTTTTCAACACCTACAGAGAGAGGGATCTTTATAAACATATGCAACAGATTCCATTACTTTCTATTTTAAAAGGCCTTCAATAGTTTTGTATTATTTATTGGATAATGTCCAAACTCATTAGCATGGCCTATTGGGTCCTCTGCAATCTTGTCCCTGCTAACCTACCTCACTTGAAAACAGCCCAATTCCCTACCACTTCATGTTCTGATTGAACTCAGTAAATTCACTTTCCTTAGGAGCGTTTGTCACTGTTTTTACTCACACACTTCTCTGGAGGGTCCTTCTCCTTTCGAATTTTATTTCAAGCTCAGCTGATGTCACCCTTCAGAAGACTTTCCTGACTCTTCCAGTTAGAACTGGTGTTCTGTGTTAGCTGTTGTCTGTTGATACTCAATGGTCCTCCTGACGTTCTAAGCTTGTTCTTGTGTCACAGAGCCTGGAAGTCTGGAAAGCACATTGTCCAGATTCCTTTGCCGGCAGAACATGGAGTGATAGAAAACAGGGGCTGGGTTGAGGCAAGACAGGTAAAAGTTCCAGCTTAAATTCTTCAAATGACAGACTGGCGCATGAGATTTGCAAGGCAAAAGCAAATAACAAATCATTATTTCTTCCAGGAATGGCAGATAGATGCATGGAGAGATGGCAGTTTTTGATGTTTTTCTTTTTTTTCCCCACTTGCTGATTTCCTGAAAGCCAGCATCGGCTTTCCATTCCCATTGCTTCCCCAGCTCTCCCACCAGTTTTATGAGTTTTGAATTTCTTGAGATAAATTCCTCCCTCTTGAAATATGCAGAGTAGTTTGTATTTCCCTAACGGATATGTGTGCTTCCTACTTTCTCAGGCATAATTAGTGTTTGTGTATCCAGCATTTCATCCAGGAGCTGGCAGTTAATAAGTATTAAATACTGTTGTTACTAAGTTAAATTGAATTGAATTATACAAAGAAATAAAAATACCATGGGTCACTTACCCATCAAGGCTAGCCCCTGAGGCGAGGTGTTTCACTCATTTCATTGCACCCGTTTCTTCATCCTCCTTCTCTGTATGTGTAATGTCAGATCATGTATGGAATGAAATGCAACAAAAAGAAAAATCCTTTGAAGTATGACAGTCATGGGTTCAAATCCCACACCTGTTACTTATTATCTGTGTGATCTTGAGCAAGTTACTAATTTCTCTAAGCCTCTGTTTTCTAATCCATATAGTGAGAATCTTTATGCTTTACAGAGTACTTATGAGGATACTCAATAAACATTAGTTCCCTATCCTTTCCAGTGTAGAAGAAACATAGAATTTTTGAAATTTAAGTGGCCTTAGAGATTATTTGTGACCTTATCCCCTCATTTTACAAGGAAACAGAGGCCCAGGCAGGGAAAGTGATTGACACAAAATTACATAGTTATTGAGTGGTGAAGCCAGGACTAAGGTAAAGTCTTTTGACTGAAAGTGCAGTTCATTTTTATATTATAGATATAAATAATGATGCTGATGAAAATGAATATAATTTATAATTGCAGAAGGACAGAGACGTTTCCTCAGTCAAGGTCCCAAATGAAGAAAACATAGAGCAAAGGACCCTCTTTTCCCACAGATGTCCTGTGACTTAATATAGTGTGAGTGGGAAATAAGCACTTGCTTGGCTACTGGGATTTGAAGGCTTTTTGTTACTGCAACATAACGTAGCCTATCCTGATTGAAAGAGGATGTGAGCTGATTGGGAATCCATGGTGTTTGGCTGATGTGGGATATAGCAACTCACCCAAAGCCTGTATGAGATGCATGGTACTCAGAATTGCCAGAAATATCCATGTTCCACATGAGAATTGAGAACTAGAGTATGGGAAAGAGACACAGGCTCACTTGTCTCATATACATTTTTTTTTTTGGAGTCTGCATCTAGGACCTAGAAAGATTCTTATGGGTCAACCTGGGATCCTTGTGTCTGGTTCTTGGGCTCCTGAAACCACCTCCTTCCTTATTCTCTCAAACCAGCTTTGGATTGTTCCTTACATATGGTCTGAGCATCCCGGTATATTCAGGGTCCTAAATGTGGGGTTGTTCCTCAGAGAAGTGGCAGATTTTAATCCATGAGTGGACAAACAGGTATGAGAATTCTGGCTATATAATGTAAATATCATTTTCCCGGATTGATGTGTCAAAAGTAAGATGGAATTATTATGAATCCTATGGCTAAGAAGAGAATTAAAAGCTTTAGCTAGAAAGAGTCCATGATAAAAGCAATTAGGGAACCCCTCTTTGAAGATGAGATGGCTATACAAGGAGGTTAAAGACAGTCTGCATAGAGTTGAGAAGGGAAGATGAGAATAGCCCAAGAGAATGACTCAAGCATATGAAGGCAAATTCAAGGTGCAGCACTTATCTGAGTGGGAAGGCAGTCCCGGCACAGGTTTTGAAGAAATGTGTTAGAAAAACATGTGAAGCTTGGACTGGAAAAGAAGTAGCAGAGCCAGGTAGGAAAACCATCATAGCTGAATGAAGTCCAGGTTAGATGTTGGACTGGTTTGCTGAGTGTAAGCTCCAGGAAGGCAGGGACTTCTTTTTGATCACTGCTGTATCCCACTATCCAGGGCAGTTCCTAGCCCGTAGCAAGGCCTTTATAGATTGTTGGATGAACGGCTGTAGAGAAGATACCCCCTGGTGTTTTTCCTTTCTTCAGAGTGACAAAGGTAGGCAGGACATATTTGGAAAATGGAAACTTTTGCCTCTGACTCTGGCTTTCTCTCTTGCTATGGGAGACCATACCTGACAAATACAGTCGAAGGCTAGAAACACAAACATCTGGGTCTGAAACAAACAAATAAACAAACAAAAAATAAAAAAATAAAGCACCAGGATCTGGCAGAAAAAAAAAAAAGAGAATACTAGCCCTGCCCATGGTAGAGAAGGGAAGAGGCTGACTGAAGAGGCAGGTTATTCATTTTAAAACTGAGCCTGAAAGGAGCCAGAGAATGACAGACAGAGGGAAATGGAATGCGAGAGGCCTGTCCCACTGCCCCAGGAAAGGAGGTGGCAGGAAGAACAATTCAGAAGATGAGGAGAAGTGAGGTTTCAGAAGGGAGCCCAGGGCAGAAGAGATGGTCTTCTCTGGAAATGTGAACAGCAGCTTCAGTTCCCAGTGTTCATATAGCTGAGTCAAGAAAACTAAGAAGAAAAATGCCCTAATTGACAGGATTCATAGGGCCTGGACTGGAGGCAGAACAGCAGCCAACATGGCCAGGCCAGGAAACATTCAAGGCTGCAGGTAACAACTCCAGAAAAGAGAGTGTGAGAAGAGCCACATGTGTTTGGCTTGGGCAAACCCTGCTTGCAGGAGCAAAGGGCATGGGAGACCAAACACATGAAACAGCCCCAGGGGTGCCGGGAACATAGGCTCAGACGTGAAATGGGAATTAGGAGTTTTTATAAATTTGAAGGAGATGGAACCCCAAGTAAAATCTGGAGGCTCGGCTGCACCTGGGCAAATGCCAGTCTTATTGGCAACTGTAGTGAGTTTGAAATTCAGAATCTTTTCTATGTCTCACATTTGTTTTCTCCAACTCTTCTTTCCCAGATGTCACCAAGCATCTGCTACATCCCATGGCTGGCAACAGAAACATGGCTTCTGAGAACATAATGTTGCTCAGCTAAATTTGGTAGGTTTGGGGCTGGGGCTGCGATATTCTTGTGTACCCTATTGACTTTCATATCCCTTGCAAACCAGGACACATGAGGGCCTTGGGATTGGATAAGTCCGACCTCCTTGTTGCTTCAGGAGTCACACCCATTCTGGGTAGACACGCAGTGAGCAGCTGCTCCCAAAGGAGACACTCAGACTCCAGCAGGGAAGCTACCCTGGTTGAGACGAGGGAGACTCCAAGTCTCAGGGAGGAAAGGCCTTTCATTTCTTTGGATTTTGATTTGCAAAGGGAAGGGAGCTCTGGTTTTGAACTTTGATTTTCCTCCTAGAATTTAATAAAGGAGAGGGCTCCAGAAGGCTGAAGTTCAGGGTATTTTTAAGTTGCTGGTATTGTGCTCATTGGGGTATTTTTATGCTGTCATGTGATGTTTGTGGCACAGCTTCCTCTACTGAGCTATATTGGACAGTGTGGCTTGAAATTTGAGATGGAAAATACAATCAGGATAAATTTTTGGCCCAGGGTACAGTGAGGACTTGGAGTGATTTTACTGAATGCCTTGTTCTGATTATTTCAGAGGCTTCTGAAGGTAACAGCTGAACTGCCCCTCCCTCTAGCCCCTGGGTAGTGATGAGAGGCATGAGCGTATGTTGTGAGAGTAGAGTGCCTCTGCTGGCCTCCATCCTTGGAAGGACAGAGGTACCCTGGCTGGTCAGGCTTGGCAAGTTGACCCAATGAGATAAGTAGACAAAACCTGGGTGGAATCAGGGAAGAACCCTAATCCCACCTGATTTCTGTTTTCGCAGAGAAGAGCCTTCTCTTTCTCTGCTATCTGCTAACTTAATCCTTCTAAGGGCGGTGGAGTTGCTAACATTCAGGCCAGGTGTTGACCAGGAAGTGAAGCGAGATTATTAAGAGTACACTTACACACAGCAAGCTGCATCACAAGTGCCTCAGAATGCTTGAAAATGAGGTCCTATCTGGCACAGCTGCCCAGGGTTTGGTGAGTAGATGTATTTGTGCAGGGACAATTGTGCCCCTTTTGCCTTTATAGGATGCTTGGTGAGTGAAGCTGGGGCTAGCTTCTAGTTCCTGCTTGTCTCCTCAGGGGATGTTTTCAGCCCTGAATACTCTTTCTTGCTCTCCACTCAGCACTAGGTGAGGCCAAACTGCAAGGCCAAGCTCTGGACCTTTACTCTCTGTTCAGCTTCTTGGGGCCTATGGTCTTCAAGTTGGGAGAGGCAAATGAAGGAAAATCTCCTCCTTAGCCCAGCTTGTTCAGTGGTTCATGTGCATTAGGAGTTACTGTGTACCCATCTGGCCCGTGAGTAAAACATCATCAGGTCCCTTCTACTTAGCATCCCTTGTGATATCCTCTGTCTGCCAGAGTCTTAAAAGGCAGGAGGGGTAAGAGAAATAATAAATCAAACTTCGCCCCGATTTCTAATAACAATGGTAATTAATAATATTTATTTTTTATATAATAACAACATGAGGTCTTGTGGTATTTAAAAACTGTTTTTTTAAGGTGATTTTATGTCATGGCTGAAGATTTTACACTGTGGCTTCTGACAGAAATGAATGATGTGTAAACCCACATTTTGATCCATCAGAGGCTTCACTTTTGCCCTCCTAGAACACTATTGCCCTACCTAGGGCTTATGAAATCCTGTTTGTAAGAATTTAAGCCAGAATATTACTCTAATAATCAGGCCAAGCCTGCTTCATCCAGGTATTCACCTATGACATGATCAAAAAGTGTTCTTTAATTAAGTACTTTGTAAGGTGGACCAAAGAATACATTGAACATGACTGAGCCTCATCCACACACAAAGAGGAGAAAGAAATACTCGTTATAGTTCTATGCATAGACTGTAAGAGATACATAGTGGGTTCTGATCACCATTTCCAAGTCTTGCACAGAACTTTGCAGAACCAGTGTGTTAACCTGGGCTTGTCTTCCTGCAGCCTTACCTGTTCACATCTGTGGGTTCTCTGTGATCAAGAACTGCCTGCCCTGGGAAATCCATTTGTTTTCCTCCACTCAGTGCCAAATGCCTTCGTCTTTGTTTCTGCAAGCTCTCAACATTCACTGTAAGTGTTGCTTGTGAGGGGGCTTTCCAGTCTTTTCTTGAGCTTTGCATAATTCTACCTGCCTGCCTTTGGTTTAATTCAGGAATGGCTGCGGAGGCTGCAGCTTCTGCTTTTTTCTAAACTGAGTGCCCTTATGCTAGGGGTTTGCCTGAGTCTGAGGGGTTTCCTGGTACATAGACTTTCAGTGCTAAAAGTAGGAACGTTCCAGGCAAGCCAGGATTTGTTGGCTTCCCTACCTAGTGCCCTGATTGTTTTGTCCTTCTAGTGGCTGTATTCCCTGTACCTGATGAGAATTGCCTGCTTGCTCTAATGCCAGCCCTTTGACCTTCTGGACTTTCCACCAGCCAGCAGCATGCTGTGTAACTGAGCTTGCATAGGAATATTGGGTGTGAGTTTGAATTATAATAGATAATTAAATTGAGCCTTTTCCTCTTTTGTGTGTCCTGAGCCTGTGGGAGAGAAAGCCTCACAGACATAGGTGTTTCCTATTGTCTGCAGGGTCCTGGCCAAAAGGCAATTCAGAAAGTGGGTCTTACTTTGGCATCCAGCCCCGCCATGCTTAGAAGTATTGTTGTGTTTCTCTGGATTAAAATAGCATCTCCACCTCTTCTACACAAAGTTGGCATTCTCTCTTGTTTCAGATCCATTCCATGCCAAATATGCTGAGGTTGGTTTGGGAGTTGTGTCACTTTCCTCAGTTTCTCTTGTTTCCATGGTGCTGACATGGCCAACTACCAAATTCCTAGGATTTTTTTTTTTTAGTTTGAAAAGTCTGGTCTGTTGCCACAGCACCTACAGCCATATGGAACTTTCCAGTGGCAACCATGTGACTCAACAAGGGAGCCAAAATGCAGTTTATAAGATCTTCTGGAAATCCGTGCCTATGGGTTTGGCTACAGTGGGTAATGTTCTGATACCATCAACTCCAGGACAGAAGTAATCTGTTTGCAATTCCAAACTCATTATTTCTTTATTTGCATTCAGTATCACAAAGCCATTCATGAGAAACCCATTTTTAAAGCCTCATTACTATGAAATTTGTTAAACTGAGTGTAAACATTTTATCAGCAATATGTTCTGAAGAGTCTTTTTTCTTTTTTAACCTGAAACATCATTTCACAGCTGCCTGGCTCCTAGGTTGGGTCACAAGTTAATAATGTCTCTACCTTGAAACAAAATTAGGCTGTGGCTGCCTGTCTTATAAATTAGGCCACAGTGAGATTTTCATTCCTTATGGCTGCAGCAGTAAGCAGTGCATCATCATTATGAAGCTTTCTTTTTTACTGTATCTTGTTCTATCAAGTGTAATCAGAGGGCCAGGAGGGCCTGTGTTCCTTGGAAGGAGATTTCAGGCACAAAAACATTTGGTTCATGGGCCTCAGGGGAGTCCTGGTGCTTTTCACTCTAGGGAGGTTGCTTGGCACAAATGTTGTCCAGACAGCAGAGATGCTCTGGGATAGAACGACCTTTCCAAGGGTAGAAACCAGATTCCCCTTTGGCTGACAGCATACTAGAGTTGAAATAGCCTCGACCCTTGACCTTTTCTGATGTTACAATATTTTAAGTTTAGGTTTACACGTTTATGATTCAAAAGTGTGTTTGTCTCTTCCCAGGCACATTGGTTGCAAGTGGTGGAATCCTCACCAAATGAATAGGAATAACTTGTGCTCAGAACAACTAAGCAGAAAAGGGGAAAATTGGGAGGGAACAACCCACTGTCCATCAGGTTCACCTGAGTTTATGTTTTTTATTTTTTTTCTTCTTCTACTTTTATTTTAGGTTCTGGGGGTACATGTGCAGGTCTCTTATATGGATAAATTGTGTGTTGTTGAGGCTTGGAGTACAAATGATCCTGTCACTCAGGTAGTGACCACCGGTACCTAATAGGTAGCCTTCCAACCTATACTGTCCTCCCTACCTTTCCTCTCAAGCAGTCCTTGGTGTCTTTTGTTACCATCTTTACGTCCATGTGTATTCAGTGTTTAGCTCCCACTTATACGTGAGAACACGTGGTATTTGGTTTTCTGTTCCTGCATTAGTTTGCCTAGGATAATGTCTTCTGACTTCATCCATATTGCCACAAAGGACATGATTTTGTTTTTGTGTGTGTGTGTGTGGCTGCATAGTATTCCATGGTGTATATGTACTTTCTTTATCCATGTATATGTGTTTTCTTTATCCAGTCCATCATAGATGGGCACCTAGGTTGATTCCATGTCTTTGCTATTGTGAATAGTACTGCCATGAACACACAAGTGCATCAGAGCAAGGAAAACCAAAACCAAAATGAGATACTGCCTCATACCAGTCAGAATAGTTATTATTAAAAAGTCAAAGAACAATAGATGCTGGTGAGGTTGCAGAGAAAAGGGAACATTTATACACTGTTGGTGGGAGTATAAATTAGTTCAACCATTGTGGAAAGCAATGTGGAGATTTCTCAAAAAACTTAAAACAGAACTCACATTCAACCCAGTAATCCCACTAATGGACATATACCCAAGGGGAAATAAACCATTTCACCTGAGTTTTAGTTTTGCCTGCATCTAGTTATGTGACCTTAGAGAAATTATTTAGCCTCTCAGCTTCATTTCCTTATCTCCAAAATGAAGATGATAATGCTCACCTTGGAGAGTAATTGTAAAGATTAAAAGATAAGCCATGGAAAAATTTCAGTAGAGGCTCTTTGCTAGTATAATTATGATGACTTTTTTTTTTTAACTGTTTCTAAAGCTGTAATCTCTGAGGAGACCCACCAAGCGTTTGTGCTATGCTGTGCTGTAGAGATAAGTGTGTGTTGGAGCTGTAAGTGCAGGGGTATGAAGACCATCTAAGATTCACTGTTGATGAGAGAACGGTCCCATCTATTCTCGTCTGAGCAACAACTGTAAAAGAGTACTAGTCGCTTCTTACGTTCGTATAATCATTTCAACTGAACTTTTCTAAAACACATGTTCCTCACTCCAGGCCTGTGGGCAGCACATAACTGTTTATCCACATTGGTATTAAGAGAAAAGCTCACTTTGGGGAAGAGTGTAGACTTTTATAGAACATTTGGAAAGCACTTGCAGCCAGATAACAACAGCTAGCATTAGCCTTTGCCTGCAGTTTTTAGAAGGGCCCTTGGGGAGCACATTCCTTACACTTGTGCCTTTCATGGAGTTTGGAAATAGAACATTGGTGTTTATGCTATTCCTAGGTTGATGTGAGGTGGTGAGGATCTCCAGAGGCTGAAGGGTTGGTTATAATCACCAGTCCTCTATGGAGACTGGCCTCACCTCTGGGACCATGTGGGTGGAGACAAAGAACTGGAGTCCCAGAGTCAGTACTTGGGTTCAGGATGGGATGAATCCTTTTGTTGTTGTTGTTGTTGTTGTTGTTTTTTAGTGCTGAGCTTCTGTTCCCAGGACCCTGATTATAATGCCATCTCCTAGGCACAAATTCTAAGACCAATATTATATTAGTTGTTCAAACTTCCAGGGGACCACAGTCCCTGCCATTAAAGAAGTTATAATGGGGAGAGATGTATCCCTATATAAAATTATCAAAAACATGATAAATGCTCAGATAAAGGGTGTGTTATGTTAGGAGGAAACCTAATGAGGTCCTGAGAAATTAGAGAGCTTCTAGAAAGACAAGGTTCTGAAGGGTAGGTAGGAATTTGCTAAGTGAAGAGAGTGACAGTGTCGTAAAAGTAAAACAGTATATGTAACTTTCAGGAGGCAGAGAAAGCACAGTGCCTTTGAGTAACTGAAATTGATTTGCAATAGTTGAAGGACAAGTGTTTGCTGGAGTTTGGAGTGAGGAAATATCAAGCACGAGTAAGATCATGCTTGACCTAGTACAGTGCAGAAAGGAGCTGGAGTTTGTACTTAAGACAATGGGGAATCCATTGAATAATTTTATAAAGAGGAATGACATGATCAAATTTGCAATAGAGAAAGTTCATTCTGTGGTGTGTGTGAAACATAGAGGTGAACCATGATATTGGCCTTAATTAGAGAAGTGGCAGTAAGTAGTGGATAGTGAAGTGTGTTAATAGGCAGAAGAAGATAAAAGAATAAAAAATAAGACCTAGGTTTCTAGACTAAGCTACAAAAAGTTAGGTGGTAAAGGAATCCTATTAGTTTTTTTTTTATTATTACAAATCTCTGGTAAAATGCTTTTTTAATCTATTTTCTTGATCATCATAATAATAGTTGTTTTAAAGTACATATCTGATAACTCTATTTTCTGGGTCTATTTATACTGGCTCCTATTTTGTTTCTTTATTTCTTCTAAAAAAAAATGGGATACATTTGCGTAACGTGCAGGTTTGTTACATAGGTATATGTGTGCCATGGTGGTTGGCTGCACCTACTGACCTGTCCTCTAAGTTCCCTCCCCTCACTCCGCACCCCCAGCAGGCCCTGGTGTTTGTTGTTCCCCTCTCTGTGCCCACGTGTTCTCAATGTTCAACTCCCATTTATGAGCGAGAACATGTTGTTTCGTTTGCTGTTCCTGTGTTAGTTTGCTGAGGATGATGGCTTCCAGCTTCATCCATGTCCCTTCAAAGGACATGATCTCATTCCTTTTTATGGCTGCATAGTATTCCATGGTGTATATGTACCATATTTTCTTTACCCAGCCTATCACTGATGGGCATTTGGGTTGGTTCCATGTCTTTGCTATTGTAAATAATACTGCAATAAACATACATATGTATGTGTCTTTATAGTAGAATGATTTATATTCCTTTGGGTATATACCCAGTAATGCGATTGCTGGGTCAAATGGTGTTTCTCATCCTAGATCCTTGAGGAATCGCCACACTGTCTTCCACAATGGTTGAACTAATTTACATTCCCACCAACAGTGTAAAAGCGTTCCTATTTCTCCACAGCCTCACCAGCATCTATTGTTTCCTGACTTTTTAATAATTGCCATTCTGACTGGTGTGAGATGATATCTCATTGTGCTTTTGATTTGCATTTCTCTGATGATCAGTGATGTTGAGTTTTTTTTTCATATGTTTTTTGGCCACATAAATGTCTTCTTTTGAGAAGTGTCTGTTCATATCCTTTGCCCACTTTTTAATGAGGTTGTTTGTCGTATGTTTAAGTTTCTTGTAAATTCTGGATATTAGATCTTTGTCAGATGGGTAGATCGCAAATATTTTCTCTCATTCTGTAGGTTGCCTGTTCACTCTGATGACAGTTTCTTCTGTTCAGAATCTCTTTAGTTTAATTAGATCCCATTTGTCAATTTTGGCTTTTGTTGCAATTGCTTTTGGTGTTTTTGTCAGGAAGTCTTTGCCCATGCCTATTTCCTGAATTGTATTGCCTGTGTTTTCTTCTAGGGTTTTTATGGTTTTGGGTCTTACATTTAAATCTTTAATACATCTTGAGTTAATTTTTGTATACGGTTTAAGGAAGGGGTCCAGTTTCACTTTTCTGCATATGGCTAGCCAGTTTTTCCAGCACCATTTACTGAGTAGGAGATCCTTTCCCCATTGCTTGTTTTTGTCAGGTTTGTTGAGGATCAGATGGTTGTAGATGTGTGGTGTTATTTCTGAGGTCTCTGTTCTGCTTCATTCGTCTATATGTCTGTTTTGGAATCAGTACCATGCTGTCTTGGTGACTGTAGCCTTGTAGTATAGTTTGAAGTCAGGTAGCGTGATGCCTCCAGCTTTGTTCTTTTTGCTTTGTTCTTTCGTCTTGGCTATACGGGGTCTTCTTTAATTCCATATGAAATTTAAAATACTTTTTTCTAATTCTTTGAAGAATGTCAATGGTAGTATGATGGGAATAGCATTGAATCTATATATAACTTTGAGCAGTATGGCCCTTTTCATGATACTGATTCTTCCTATCCATGAGAATGGAATGTTTTTCTATTTGTTTGTGTCCTGTCTTATTTCCTTGAGCAGTGGTTTGTAGCTCTCCTTGAAGAGGTTCTTCACATCCCTTGTTAGCTGTATTCCTAGGTATTTTATTCTCTTTGTAGTAATTGTGAATGGGAGTTCATTCATGATTTGGTTCTCTGCTTGCATATTGTTGGTGTAAAGGAATGCTTGTGATGTTTGCACATTGATTTTGTATCCTGAGACTTGCTGAAGTTGCTTATCAGTTCAAGGAGTTTTTGGGCTGAGAAGATGCGGTTTTCTAAATATAAAATCATGTCACCTACAAACCAAGACAACTTGACTTCCTCTCTTCCTATTTGAATACTGTTTATTTCTTTGTCTTTACTGGCTCTATTTTTCTCTTGGATTTCAATGATTTAGTCTCTTTTTGTGGCATGTCTCGTAATTTTTGTTTGAAATTTTTATTGAATTATGAACACTGTATTTAAACATTTTAGAAACTTTGGATGATGTGTTCTGTTGTCTTATGCCTGGGAGAAGAATAAGTCCCTTGCCTCCGCCTTTATCTCCCCCTCCTCTTCTTCTCTTTTTTTCTTTTTCTTCTTCTGGTTTTGAATCTTTAATGAGAAAAACAAATATAATATTGATCTCAAGAACACTGTGTGTTTGATGTGTCATCAGGTCAAGGGTTGAAGATATACATGACAGAGAGAGCAAACATAATATACATAAAGAAAGATATATACACAATCACAGAATGAAAAATTGGTGTCTGTACTGGCTAAGTTTCAATTTCCTCATCATTCAGCAGCATTTTGGGGGATCCTGAGGCTAATGAAGAACAGATTCCTGCAGCACATTGTGCATCTTCCTCAGAAATTTCTCCTCATGCTCTTACCCTTAGATTGGCCTTTTAAACACCTCAACCAGAAGCAAGATATTGGCCACCCTCAGAAGCACTGCCCACTTCATGTTGGGTACCATACATGCCACCAAGTCAGGATGACTGCTGTAGGGTTGATGTGAACCTCTGTGGCCTAGAGTCACCTGGGAAAGCCAGAGGGCCTCACCCCACACATGTGGGAGCTCAGCAGGTTGTGGGTGAGTAGCTTCATGTTGCTGTAACTCTTTCTCTAGGTCAGACCAGAAAGGGAATAAGTCTTCCTGCAAGCAGACAGGATATGGAGAAATCACGTTGATTCAGTGTAGGCTTTCTATTTATGATTTGTCCTTACCCCTAAAACAGCCCTTCTGGAGTCTCAACTGAAACTCTTGTGTTTACCAGGGCTTTACTCATGGCAGGCCCCAAACACCAATTTTTGTTTTCCTAGCACCATGAGGGTGTATAATCCTATGCTAAGATTTTTACTGTCTTGAAAGTTTTTTTCCACTTGGTTTCTCTGTCTCAACCAACATGTAGCTTGGAAATAATAAAATGTCTCAAGAAGGAATTGTATATCAGTTTTATCTTTTTGTGGTTCCCTCTTCTCTAGCATTTTGGGCCTCAAGTTTTGATTTCTTTGTAGCCTGAACTCTAATTTTTGTCTATCCAGCCCAGTGAGACTTCTGTGAGCTCTAGGGCACTGCCTTGCTTCTCCCCTTCACCCCATGCCAGGAAATGATAAACAACTCAAATAGAAAACACATTATTGAATGCAAGGCTCATCACAAAATGTTTCTGTTTTTCAGAGGCGTTTGGCCCCTCAGGTCTTAGATGCTTTGGTTATTTTCTGATGCCACCAGACAGCTGTTTTGGGACTGTTATCCAGCTTTTATAGTTTTTCTTAGCCCAAGTTAGTCTGATACTATCCACTCTATCTTAATTGGAACTGTAAATCTGGTCTTAATGTATTTCTTAAATATTCATAAACACAAAACTAGATTCAAATTCCTATATTTATAGGCTAATGCAAAAATATCAAAACAAATTAAGAAATTTCAACCATTAAATGTGATTAACAAATTTAACCAATTTAAAAAATTGATTAAACTTTTTTAATCCATGATGGATGATGGATTAAGATTTGTGACTATCTCCCAATTTCAGGTTTTTAATTGTGCTGTGTGATTATTCAATTCTCATATCTCCTTTCTCTATTTCTGCAATGTAATAACTTAAACTACAATTCATACCATGTGCTGTGACATTATTTGGCCTTCAGTTTGCATAAGCATTTTATTTATACATAGGATTCAACTATGTTCTTTTCATTTTGGCTCTGAGCACTTAAAATAGTGTTTTTTGGCACCAACACAATGATAGAAATGAACACAAATGTAGGCACTGAAATGTCACTGCAGTCCTTGCCTCTGGGTGGTCATCTTGATATTTCAGGATGTACTTATGTTAATGTTCTTAGATGATCATTAAAATGAAAATACAAATTTAAAAAATTACCCATATTGAGGCTTTAAGACTCTATGAATATGAAAGTGGACTCTAGTTATTGAAACAGCTCAGCCATGAGACCCAGCAGGGTAGGGTAGATCTGCTTGGGTCCCAACTCTCCTACTCTGTTCTTCATAGCCTTTTAACACCCACCTGTGACAAATTGCACCAAGCTCAGAAACCCTTCCTTGAAACCTCTAGGATCCCTTGGGAGCCCTCTACACTAACAGAAACCTTCCCCTTTCCCAGCCCTTGGCTAGCACCTGTTGCTCTCTTTCTCATTAACGAGGAGCAGGTGGCTGCTGAGGCACTGAGTTTCTCTTCCTGAGAAAACCTGAGATATAGGAAATCCCAGGGTGACAGGTACAGCTTCAGCCTCAACCTAGCATTTGCCACCTTCTTTCAATAGTTGAGAGAGTGTGTGAGTTAGGGACTGAATTGTGTCCGCCAAAATTTACATGTTAAAGTTCCAACCCCCAGTACTTCAGAATATCACTGTATTTGGAGATATGGTCTTTAAAGAGATAATTAAGTTAAAATGAGGTTATTAGGGTAGGCTCTAAGCCAATATTACTGGCATTATGACCTTACCAGAAGAGAAAATTTGGACACAGAGAGATAAGACCATGTGAAGGCACAGGAACAAGACAGCAATCTATGATGAAAGGAGAGAGCCTCAGAAAACTAACTTTGCTTACACCTTAATCTTGGACTTCTAGCCTCCAGATCTACAAGAAAATATATTTCTGTTGTTCAACATACCCCATTGGTGGTACATTGTTCTGGTAGCCCTAGCAACTAAGAGAGAGGGAGGGAGAAGAAGGGGGAGTAGGGGGAGAGAGAGGATGAGAATAGGGGAGGGGTAGAGAGGAAGTGAGAAATAAAATGAAAGAGGAGAGAGACAAGTTCAAGGTTTGTCAAGCATGCAGATGTGATCCTGGCTGCTGGTGAGTGCAGGAGTCAAGGGGGAGGCTGAGGGAATACCACTCTGGCTGCATCCCAGTCACTAAGGGTCTGTGCTTTCAGAGAAAACAAGACACTGCCTGAAGACTCAGGCTTTTATTTTGGAATGTGTTATACAACAGCAGCAAAAAGCAGCGGGCATCCTTGCTTTTCCTAAGTGTATGTTCTCCTTTCTGTGTCTGGCTGACCATGGGATTGAACAGACAGGATGATGAAGTGACCAACTCATAACCCAGAGCAGGAAGAAGCAGGGACAGATCTGGATGCAGAAAGTAAGCAGAGCTGATACAGATCTAGGTGCTGTTTAAAAAATCTTATAATCTTAAAACACACACACACATAGATATATTAAAGCCAACTTCCATAAGTTGGAATATTGGGAAATATATTGGACTTGGAGTTAAAGAGACTTGAATTTAAATCTCCACTCCCCCACTTAGTTGTGAATAACCTGGGTAAGACACTTAAAGTCCCTGAAACTGTTTTTGAATCCATAAAATGAAGATAATGACATCTGCATCACCACATTATTAGAGAATTAAATAAGAAAAATGTGTGGAAAGGGAGTTTGGCTGGTGTCCGGCACAGAGTAGGAGCTCGATAGATGTCACTTTTCTCTTTCAAGAAGAAATAAATCCTTTCCTTCCACTACCCAAGTGTAGAGTCCTTAACATTCAACAGTCACTCTGAAGTGTAAATTTAAAATGCTTGGTTATCTCTTGAGATTGGGTTTGATGGGAGTGAGGGTGTGGAGTATTGGGTGAAATACCAAAGTGAATGGAAGTAGGAGTGAGTGGGCGGGGGAAGGGGATGGACTGAAGAGGACACCTGGGGACATGGGGAAGGTTGACTTCATCATCAGAACAGCCCACCAAAGGGGGTGACAACCCTGTGGCTGCCACAGGGTGGGGTATCCTGCAAGTTAAGTGAGCTGAGGTGAGCCAGGTGTCTGGACCTGGGCAGCAGGAGGTGTAGCCTTGTTGAGGAGCTAAGGTGGGCTTCAGGAGAAACAGTCCAACAGTGGTGGCAGGGCTGGTCTATGCTCCTCTTCAGGTTTCTGAGACCTGGCTACAAACTGAAATGCTAAAACAAAGGGAGCCAGAGAAGTTATATAAGAAAGCCTGGGAGCAAAGAAGAGGCCAAGTTTCTCTCTGTCTTGGTTACTGTTTCTCACCGGAGAACAGCAACCATAGCAATTAACCCAACGGAAAAGCCTATGTCAGCAAACATACTCAAGGCTTGACTATCACCCTAATGTTTTCAGTGCCTGTAGTATGGTAGACACTTACATGCATTCATAATCTTCTTTAGATATCTCGTTTTATGTTAGGGAGGCTGAAAAAAGGTAAAGTCACCTGAACAAGGCCACAGGTTGTTGATTCAAAAGTTATGAATGTGAGACAGCTAATCATGGGAAGGATGACGGGGTCTCCTCCAAGGTTGGGCATAAGCTCCTGGATAGAACATACATCAGTGTGCTGTTCCTGTCCTGCAGTCAGAAAAGGGAAAACCTTGTACGGTGATTAGCTGGAATTGTTTCTAATATGGGCTGTGTGGGTGTGGGTGTTGGGGTGGAGAGTGGGGACCCAAAAATAAGGAAGAGATACTTCTAATTTTATTATTTGGGTCTGTTCCAGTATCTAGCCTAAAGCCAGGCACTTGGTAATTGTTCAGTATGTGCTTATTGAAGAATTGAAGGAGGAGAGGGAGAGCAAAAGGAGGCAAGGGGGAAAAGGAGTTATTACTAAAATAACTAACATTTACATAGTGCTTACTATGTTCTGTATGCTCCCTAAGAGTAATTTAATTCTCCCATCATTGTTATGAGGTAGGTTTTTATCACCATCATCATCACCATTTTATTTATTCATTTATTAATAATTTCAACTTTCATTTTAGATTCAGGGGTTTCATGTGCAGGCTCGTTACATGGGTATATTGTGTGATGCTGAGCTTTGGAGTATACGATTGATCCCATCACCCAGGTAGTCAGCATAGTACTCAATAGTTTTTCAGCCTTTGCCCCACTCCCTTCCTTCCCTCTTTAGTAGTCACCAGTGTCTATTGTTGCCATCTTTATGTCCACGTGCATCAATGTTTAGCTTCTACTTATAAGTGAGAACATGTGGTGTTTGGTTTTCTGTTCCTGTGTTAGTTCACTTAGGATAATGACCTCCAGCTGCATCCACGTAACTGCAAAGAACATGATTTCACTGTATTTTTTATGACTGTGTAGTATTCCATGAGGTATATGTACCACATTTTCCTTATCCAATCCACTGTTGATGGGCACCTAGATTGATTCCATAGCTTTGCTTTTGTGAGTAGTGCTGTGATGAACATGCAAGTTCATGTGTTTTTTTTTTTGGTAGAATGATTTATTTTCCTTTGGATATATACCCAGTAAGGGCATTGCTGGGTCAAATGGTAGTTGCGTTTTAAGTTCTTTGAGAAATCCCCTAACTGCTTCCCATAAAGGCTGAATTAATTTACATTCTCACCAACATGAATACACATTCCCTTCTCTCTACAACTTCAACAGTATCTGTTGTTTATTTATTTATTTTGAGACAGGGTCTCACTCTGTCACCAAGGCTAGTGTGCAGTGGTGTGATTATGGCTCACTGCAGCCTTGACCTCCTAGGCTCAAGTCATTCTTTTGCCTCGGTCTCCTAAGTAAGCTGGGACTACAGGCATGTGCCACCATATTTTTTTGATTTTTTTTTAAATACGGACAGGGTCTCACTATATTGCCCAGGCTATTCTTGAACTCCTGATCTCAACTGATCCTCCTGCCCCAGCCACCCAAAGTGTTGGGATTACAGGTGTGTGCCACCATGCCCAGCCTATTTTTTGACTTTTTAATAGTGTGTATTTTGACTGATGTGAGATGGCATCTCATTGTGATTTTGATTTGTATTTTTCTGATGATTAGTGATGATGAGCATTTTTTCATATGCTTGGCCGCTTGCATGTCTTCTTTCCAGAAGTGTCTGTTCATGTCTTTAGCCCACTTTTTAATGATTTTGATTTTTTTTTCTTGCTTGTCAAATTAAGTTCCTTATGGATTTGGGATATTAGACTTTTGTCAGATGTATAGTTTGTGAATATTTTCTCCCATTCTGTAGGTTGTCTACTTTGTTGATAGTTTATTTTGTTGCACAGAAGCTCTTTCATTTAATTAGATCCCACTTGTCAATTTTTGTTTTGTTGCAATTGCTTTTAAACACTTAGTCATAAATTCTTTCCCAAAGCTAATGTCCAGAGTGGTATTTCCTAGATTTTCTTCTAGGATTCCTATAGTTTGAGGTCTTATATTTAAATCTTTAATATATTTTAGGTTAATTTTGTATACGGTGAAAGGTAGGGGTCTAGTTTCATTCTTTTGCATATGGCTAGCCAGTTACTCCAGCACCATTGATTGAACAGGGAGTACTTTCCCCATTGCTTATTTTTATTGACTTTGTTGAAGATCATATGGCTGTAGGTTGTGTGGCTTTCTTTCAGAGTTCTCACTTTCATTGGTCTATGTGTCTGTTTTTGTACTAGTGCCATGCTGTTTTAGTTACTGTAGCCTTATAGTATAGTCTGAATTCAGGTAATGTAATGTCTCTGGCTTTGTTATTTTTGATTAGGATTGCTTTGGCTACTTGGGTTCTTTTTTTTTGGTTCCATATGAATTTTAGACTAGTTTTTTTCTTCTGTGAAAAATGACATTGGTAGTTTGATAGCAATAGCATTGAATCTGTAGATTGCTTTGGGCATTATGGCCATTTTAACTATATTGATTCTCCCAATCCATGAGCATGGAATGTTCTTCCATTTGTTCATGTCAATTTGTGATGTCTTTCATCAGTGTTTTGTAGTTCTCCTTGTAGAGATCTTTCTACATCCTTGGCTACATGTATTCCTGGGTGGGTGGGTGCATGCATATATCTCTGTGTGTGTGTGTGTGTGTGTGTGTGTGTGTGTGTCTATTATAAATGGAGTTACATTCTCAATCTGGTTCTAAGCTTGAATTTATTGATGTATATAAATGCTAATGGTTTTTGTAGATTGATTTTGTATCTTGAAACTTTATTGAAGTCATTTATCAGTTCTAGAATCCTTTCGGTATAATCTTTAGGGTTTTTTAGGTGTAAAATCATATCATCAGCAAAGAGAGATATTTTGACTTCTTTTTCTATTTGGATGCCTTTCATTTCTTTCTCTTGTCTGACTGCTCTGGTTAGGACTTCCAATACTATGTTGAATAGGAGTGGTGAGAGTGGGCATTCTTGTCTTGTTCCAGTTCTTAAGAGGAATGCTTCTAGCTTTTGCCCATTCAGTATGATGTTGGTTGTGGGTTTGTCACAGGTGTCCCTTATTATTTTGAGGTGTGTTCCTTTGATGCCCTGTTTGTTGAGCATTTTTATCATGAAGGGATATGGAATTTTATCCAAAGCTTTTTCCATGTCTATTGAGATGGTCATATGGTTTTTGTTTTTAATTATATTTATGTGTTGAATCACATTTATTGATTTGTGTATGTTGAACCAACCTTGCTTCTCAGGAAAGAACCCTACTTGATTGTGGTGGATTAACTGATGTGCTGCTGGATTTGGTTGGCTAGTATTTTGTTGAGGATTTTTGCACCTATGTTCTTCAGAGATATTGGCTTATAGTTTTCTTTTTTCATTGTGTCTTTGTCAGGTTTTGGTATGAGGGTGATGCTGGCTTTAGAGAATGAGTTGGAGAGAATTCCCTCCTCCTCAATTTATTTGAATAGTTTCAGTAGAATAGTTATGAGTTGTTTGTATGTCTGGTAGAATTCAGCTGTGAATCTGTCTAGTCCAGGGCTTATTTTGGTTGGTAGGTTTTTTATAACTGATTCAATTTTGGAATTAAATATTGGTCTGTTCGAGGTTTCAATTTCTTCCTTATTCAATCTTGAGAGGTTTTGTGTTCCCAGGAATTTATCCATATCCTCTAGATTTTCTAGTTTGTGTGCATAGAGATGTTCATAATAGTCTCTGAGAATCTTTTGTATTTCTGTGGGATCAGTTGTCACCTTTGTCATTTCTGACGCTGCTTATTTGGATATTCTCTCTTTTTTCCTTGTTAATCTATCTACCAGTGTGTTGATCTTGCTTATCCTTTCAAAAAAAAAAAAAAACACGAACTTTTGGTTTCGTTGATTCTTTGTGTGGATTTTTGGGTCCCAATTTTGTTTCATTCTGCTATGAATTTAGTTATTTTCCTCTGCTTGCTTTGGAGTTAGTTTGTTCACATTTTGTAGTTCCTGTAGGTGTGATGTTAGATCATTAATTTGAGATATTTCTAACTTTTAAAAGTAGGCAGTGCTATTAAATTTTCCTCTCAACACTATTTTTGCTGCATCCCAGAGATTTTGGTATGTTCTATCTCTGTTTTCATTTTTTTCAAATAATTTTTTGATTGCTCTCTGAATTTTATTGCTTACTCAAAAGTCATTTTGGAGCAAGTTGTTTAATTTCCATGTAATTGTGGGGTTTTGAGAGATCATCTTGATATTGATTTCTGTTTTTATTCTATTTCTATTACATTGGCCTTAGAATATGGTTGGTATGATTTTGATTCTTTTGAGTTTATTGAGACTTGCTTTATGGCCAATTATGTGGTTGATCTTGGAGTATTTTCCACATACAGATGAGAAGAATAAACATTCTTTGGTTGACAGGTGGAATATTCTGTGAATTTCTATTAGGTCCAATTGGTCAAATGTTGAATTTTAGTTCAGAATTTCTTTGTTAAGTTTTCTGCTTTGATGATCTGTCTAATGCTGTCAATGGGGTGTTGAAGTCCCCTACTATTATTGTTTGGCTGTCTATATCTTTTTGTATGTCTAGAAGTAGACATGCATGAATCTGGGTGCTCCAATGTTGGGTGCATATGTATTTAGGATACTTAAGTCTTCTTGAACTGAACACTTTATTATTACATAATGCCCTTCTTTGTCCTTTTTTACTGTTGTTGGTCTAGAATCTGGTTTATCTGATAAAGGAATAGCGACCCCTACTCTTTTTTGTTTTCCATTTACATGATAGATCTTTCTCCAATCCTTCACTTCAAGCCCCTAGGTGTTTTTATGTGTGAGATGGGTCTTGTTATTTTATCCAACTTGCCACTTTCTGCCTTTTAAGTGTGGCATTTAGATCATTAAAAGATTTTATTTCTCCTTTACTTATGAAGCTTAGTTTGATGGAATATGAAATTCTTGGTTGGAAATTTTTTCTTTACGAATGCAAAAAAAAAGAAAAAAATAGGCCCCCAGTCTCTCCTGAGTTGTAAGGTTTCTGCTGAGAAGTCTGCTATTGAACTGATAGAGTTCTTTTTATACAAGATCTCTAGTTTCCTTTATCAGTGTTTTCTAGCCGGGTGCGGTAGCTCACGCTTGTAATCCCAACACTTGGGGAGGCCGAGGTTGGTGGATCACAAGGTGAGGAGATCGAGACCATCCTGGCTAACACAGTGAGACCCTATTTCTAGTAAAAATACAAAAACTTAGCCTGGCGTGGTGGCACACGCCTGTAATCCCAGCTACTCGGGAGGCTGAGGCAGGAGAATGGCGTGAACCTGGGAGGTGGAGCTTGCAGTGAGCCAAGATCACGCCACTGCATTCCAGCCTGGGAGACAGAGTGAGACTCCCTGAAAAAAAAAAAAAAAAAAAAAAAAAAAAAGACTTTTTTCTTTAGCATTGACCTTGGACAGTCTGCTGACTATATGTCTTGGTGACATTCATTTGTATAGTATCTCACAGGTGTTCTCTGGGTTTCTTGTATCTGAATGTTTATGTCTCTGGCAAGATTAGAGAAATTTTCTTGAATTATTCTCCCAAATATGTTTTCCAGGTTGTTTATGTTTTCTCCTTTTATCTCAAGAATGTCAATAATTTATCATAGATGTGTTTGCTTTACATAATTCTATATTTCTCAAAAATTTTATCTTTTAAATTTATTTTTTAAAAATTTTTATCTGAGTGTGTTACTTGGAAAGACTGGTATTCAAGCTCTAAAATTATTTCTTCTGTTTGGTCCAGTCTATTGATAAAACTTTCAGTTGTATTTTTAAATTCCTTAAGTGGGTTTTTCAATTCCAGAAGCTCCAGTTGATTTCTTTTTAAGATATTTATCTCTTCCATCATTTCCTGCTTTAGAAGTTACTTTGTATTGATTTTTGACCTTGTCTTGGATCTCATTGTGCTTCCTTGCAATCCATGCTTTGAATTCTTTGCCTGTTATTTCTGAGTTTCAATTTTGGGTAGGAACAATTGCTGGAGAACTAAAGTGATCCTCTGGTGGTGTCACTACATTCAGATTTTTAAATGATACTAAAATTCTCATGCTGGTTCCTTCTTACCTGCAGATACATGTGCTTCTTATTTCTATAATTATTTTTGTTTAGATAGGATTTCTTTCTTTCTTTTTCTATAATATTATCGTTTATTTTCTTTCCCTTTCTCTTTCTTCCTATCCTCAAGCCATATGACTGTAGAGAATGTTGGGTAGAGCCTTTTGACTTTGCTTCTACAGCTGTATACAGTTCTTTTGGCTGGTTTATTGGGCTGCTTAGTTTGACCTATAAGCCTGTAGATGGCACTTATAGGTAAGAGCCAGCTGTGGACAACATGGCTCAGTATATACTTGATCCTTTTTTACTGGGAGAAGCTCTCTGTTGCCTCAAGCCAGGGGCTGATCCATGAAGTGCACCATGGTCTTAGCTCGCTGTTTATCCCTGTGGGGCAGGGGCAAAGAGGAAAGATGGGCAGGGCCAGACTGGTTAGGTCTGCCCACAGATCCCCTGACGGCAGTCTCAAGCACCAGTGCCAAGGGAGAATCCAATGGGCAGCCACCAAGTACCCAGAGGTATACCTGTGTGTGGATCTGGGAAACCTCCTTGGCCCCAAGTTCTCTGAATGGGGAAGGGAGTGAGATGGGCTAAACTTCTAATCCAGGAGCATGTACTCCAGGTGGCTGGAGATCTGCCTGGGAATGAAGTGTAGAAGACCCTGTTGCATGACAATCTCTGCATAGGAAGGGTGGGGGACACTCAAGCAGCTGAACCAGGCAAACAAGTGCTCTGAATGCCTGGAGATCTTCCTGGACATGTAGCAGAGAGGGTCTCCTTTCACCAGGATTTCTGCACAGGAAGTTTGGGCCAGCTTAGCTGCTAATCCAGGCAAACAGGTACTCCGACTGCCTGGAGGTATCCCTGAGCATAGGGTAGAGAGGGCCCCACTTCACCATGGTCACCAAGCAGGAAGGGCAGGCTGGCTTAGGCTGCTGATTAAGGCAAGTGTTCAAAATGAACGGAGATCTGCCTAGGTGTTGAATGGAAAGGGCCCCCCTTCACCACAATCTCTGCACAAGAAGAGTAGGGTGGCTTAGGCTGCTTGTCCTGGTGAGCTGGTCATCTGAATGCCTGGAGATCTGCCTGGGCATGAAGCACAGAGGGGCCCCTGTACCTAGATCCCTGCACTGGAAGGGCAGGGTAGCTCAGGCTGCCAATCCAGGTGAGCAAGTGCTTTGAATGCCTGGAGATCTTCCTGGGTGTGGAGCAGAGAGGGCTCTATTGCACCACAATCTATGCACAGGGAGGATGGAGCAGCTTAGGGTGCTAATCCAGATGAGTGGGTGCTGTGAATGCCTGGAGATCTGCTTTGGCATGAAGTAAAGAGGTACTTGCCTTCACCAGGATCTCTCATCACCATTTTAGTGATGAGGAAGCAGAGGCACAGGAAAATTAGGTAACTGCCTGAAGCCTAGGATTGCCAGTAAAATACAAAATGCCAGGTTAAATTTGAATTTCAGATCAACAGTGAATAAATATTAGTATAAATGTATCCTAAATATTGCATGGAAGTATTTATATTAAAAATTATTTGTTACTTATCTGAAATTCAAATTTAGCTGGGTATACTGTATCTTTATTTGCTAAATCTGGCAGCCAGGTTAAAGTGACAAGCAGAGCAAGGATTAAAACTCAGAGTCTTCACTCTCAACTACTATACTACACATTTTAAATGTGTCAAGTTTTTTTGTGTGTGTGATATGTCTTTGACAACTTATCGTTTTCTCTGGCTCTTGATCTGTTCAAGTTTCCTACTTCTTTTTGAATCAGTTCTGGTAGTTAATATTGTCTTAGACAACCATTTATTGCATCTAGGTTTTCAAAGTAATTGGCATAGTGCATTGGCTCAAATTTTTAAATCTTCTTAGTGTTTGTAATTTTATCTTTGTGCCATTCCTGATGGGGCTTACTGTCTTTTTGTTCATCAAAGTCATAGCCTTTCCATTATTTTTACGTTTTTCTGAAGAACAAACTTTTCATGTTATTTATGACCACAGAGTTTTCTTTTTGTTTTCTATTTCAGTAATTTCTGTTTTTATTTTTTCCTATTTATTTTCATTTTACTCTGTACTTTTACCTTCTTGAGTTGGATGCTTAGTTTCTTGTGTAAAATCTTCCTAGTTTCCTAATATATAACATTAAGGCTACACATTTTCTACTAAATATCACTATTTGACTTAGTCTTATAGTTTTTAGTATGTAATTTTCTCATTGTTTTTCTAATTAAAATTCCAGTTTTGATTTATTCTTTAATTCACAGATTATTTAGAGGATACTTTATAAAATTTCTAAGTGGTTTTAAAATATTTGTTTACATTTTATGGATTAAGTTTCTCTTGACTTTCTCCAGTTTTATTTTATGATTTTTATCTCATTTGGCAAAAATAGACGTTTTCCTTGAGCCATGGTCAAAGTTACATCCAGGGTGTGTGGTGTGTGTGTGTGTGTGTGTGTGTGTGTGTGTGTGTGTGTATCCATTGCATAAACTGTAATAAATTTGCCCAATAACTATAGTTCAAACCATGTAGATGTTTATATCTTGCTTACATAACAATACATAGTCATTCAGTGATACAAGCTGACTGTCATCTTCAGCACGTGGCTGTCTTTGACAGTCTTCCTTGGAGTTATTTCCATTTCAACCACCTGGAGGAGAAAACAGACAGGGAGAAGTGCATATGAGCGTTTTTTATGGGCAAAAAGTGAATATCATTTCTGTTTATGTTGAACTGGCTGGACCTCTCATAGCCACACCCAACTTCCAGGAAGGCTGGGAAATGCAGCCTAGCTGTGTGTCCTAGAATAAGAGGAAGAACCTGGATTTTAGTGAGTTGATAGGGATCTCTTATACACTATTTCCTTTTAATGACCAGGGTGTTTGAAAAGAATGTACATTTTCTATTTTTTGAGTATAAAATTTTACCTGTGTATGTGTATCAAGTTTGTTAAATATTATTCAAGTCATCTACAGTCTTTACTTTATACTTATCTACTAGATTTGACTAGCAGATAATTTAAGAGAAGTCTATTAAGGTGTATTATAATTTCTTAATATGATTGTGGCATTGCCTATCTGTTGTAGCTCTAACAATTATCATTTTAAATATTTTAAAGTTATGCTATTGATACATTAAAGCTTTTTGACTCAGAACATCTTTATGGATTTTTCTTTTATTATTACAAAATATCTATATTGTTTTACAATACTTTTAGCCTCAAAATCTACCTACATAATATAAATGTTGCCAACCCTGTTTTCTATTTGTTCCCACTTGCTGCCCTTCTTTTCAGGCTTTCTTTGTCCTTTCTAGGTATATGCATGGGCATAAAATTGGAGTATGCTTTTTCTCAATCTTAGAATTGTTGTTTTGTCTTTAAGGCAGCTTTATTAAGGTGGAATTGATGTACCATAACTGCAAATATTTTAAAGTGCACGATTGTACACTTATGAAAATAATCATCATAATGATTGTTTTTAATGATGGTTTAATACCTT
Source organism: Homo sapiens (assembly GCF_000001405.40). Taxonomy (NCBI): domain Eukaryota; kingdom Metazoa; phylum Chordata; class Mammalia; order Primates; family Hominidae; genus Homo; species Homo sapiens. The sequence goes on from NC_000003.12 coordinate 139,858,513, forward strand.
TTTATCATTATTTATAATAGAGATGTTAAATACAATTGTGGTAATTAAAATGAAGGACATGTTTGGTCTTATTTTATCTTATTTTATGCTTTCTGTACTATTATGTATTATTTGTTCCTATTTTTTCCCTCACCAAGTTTTACTGTATTGAAAGAGTTTTTATTTTTAGCTACTCTCTTGGCATTTGATGATTTGGAATCATTTAAATGTTTCTATTTTTTGGTGAATACATATATTTTGAAGAGTGTCTTCAAGTTTGTATTTTTATACCAATACAGTAAACATCTCAATGTTTCAAGAGGAGACTTTTTAGTATAGCTTTTATTTAATTAAAATCAGCCATACACGCCATACTAAAATGAAGCTTTCAGGATGCTTTTACTTCTCTAACTTCTCTGTATCTCCCCCACTAACTCCTGGGATTTTTTTGGACTCCTTTGAAATTTTGGTTCCTAGCTTTTTAAATTATATAGTATGCCTGATCTCTTTCAATCCCGTATGTTGTAGTTGGCAATCCCTTTATAATTGTTTGTTCTGAGTTAGGCATGACTTTCAGTTCCTCGTAATTGCTGTCTAGACCCCTTAGTCCTGCCTCTCACTAGTTGTTGCCTCTAGCACCTCTAGCACCAGACTCACCCCTTAGCCACTCCTTTCATCATTGTGGGGCTTTATCACCATGTTGGTGATACAACCAACATCCTGATATCTAAATCCCATCCTCCAGTGGAGTTTTCTCAGGCATCACCTCAGTAAACCACTTGGATGCCCATTCCCCAGACTTTGTTATCATCAATAACTGAACTCTGTCAGCCATTGTAATGCCACCCTTTTTCTCCTCCCCAACTCCCAGCTCCCTTGCTCAGCCATTCTCCAATCTGATCTCACCAGTTTCACGGCCTCCTTCCCTTGCTCATCCAGCCTGGATTCCACAATCTAGCCTTATAGCTTCCTTGGCAACTCCTTTTAACTCACTTGCCTTCCGTTGTAGTGGGTTGAACAGTGGCTCCCAAAAGATAAGCTTAGGAATCTGTAAATGACCTTATCTGAAAAAAGGAATCTTTGCAGATATAATCAAATTAAGGATCCTGAAATGTGATTATCTGGATTCAGGCAGGCTCTAACCCAATGACAAGTCTTTAGAAGAGAAGAGAGGGAAAAATAGACAGAAACACACCAAGGAGAAGACAATGTGAAGACAGAGGCAGATATTGGAGTGATGCATCTACAGGCCAAGGAATGCCAAGAATTGCCAGCAGCCACCAGAAGCCAGGAGATAACAGATTCTCTGTTCGAGCCTCCAGAAGGATCCAATGCAGCTGACACCTTGATTTCAGACTTCTGGCCTCCAGAACTGTGAGAATAAATATCTGATGTTTTAAACTACCAATTTGTTATGGCAGCCTTAGAAAACTAACACATTGCTGCTCATGTACTTGACTGGAAAAGCCCTGAACTATTTAACCAACTATCTCCTTATTCCTCTTTCACATGTCCTGTTTCTCCAAATTAGTTAATCTCAATTCCAAAGCTTCAGTCCAAGCCACAATCATCTCTCTCCAAGACTGTGACAACGGCCTCTTGATTGATTAGGAGCCCTGCCCCTAGAACCTAGAGTATTAATCTGACCGTGTCACTTACTTTCTGAACTCCTCTACATCCCCCAACACATACAAACATATACAGTCCTTTTTGTTACACCTGGAGAGAAATTCAGACTCTGCGCTATGGTTCTGCAAGACCCTGCCAACCTGTAATGGTCAGAGAGCATTAACTGCTGTAATAAATTTGCCCAATAACTAACTATGGCTCAAATGGTGTAGATCTTTATTTCTTGCTCACATAACAACATACAGTCATTCAGGGATATAGGCTGACTGTCATCTCCTACACGAGTCTGTCTTTCAAAGTCACCCTTGGGGTCATTTCCATTTCGACTAGCTGGAGGAGAAAACACAGAGAGAAGTACATATGAGTGTTTTTTATGTGCAGAAACGGGTATCACTTCTGTTAATATTGCACTGGCTGGGTCTCTCATAGCCACGTCCAATTTCCAGGAAGGCTGGGAAATGCAGTCTAGCTCTGTGTTATAGAATAAGAGGAAGAACCTGGATTTCAGTGTGTTGATAGTGGTCTCTGCCACACTGCCTCCTTGATCTTATCTTCTCCCATGTCTGCCCAAATTCCCTATGCCTAGTCATTGTGGTTTTTTTTCTGAATGAGCTGAACACACTAAGCTTATTTCCTTCTGGAGACTCATTTCTGGTCAGAATGCTCTTCCATAAGTGTGCAGAGTTACTTCCTTCTTACGTTCAATTCTCAACTTGAATGTCTTCTCCAACTTTGCCAAAGCATTCCCTTTTCTCATTATCCTATTTAATCTCCTTCACAACATTTAGTATCTGAATATACACTTTTAAATGGCAGGGGCTCTGTCTTGTTCACCACTGTATTTTGGAACAGAATAGGAAATTAATGAATATTTTTTGACTGACTCCTACTCTTGGAATAGTCTATCATACCTTGAGATTTTTGTTCTGATTTTATTTTATTTATTATTGTACTCCATTAAGCAATTTACTTAGAAGGTGTATCTGGGTGGCACACATTATGAATTTCCTTGTGGTGAAAAACTTTTTTCTCTTCCCACATAAACATTTTATTGAATGGTGTAAGATTCATGGATCACAAAGCTTTTCTCTAAATGCTAAGCATATTTTGTTCCATTGTCTTTGAGTTTCTGGAGTTGCAGGTGAGAAATCTGTTGCTGATTTGATTCTCTTGCCTTTGAAACTAGATTTTTCTCCTGTTTGAAAACCTATAAGCAAATTTCCTTATTCTAAGAGTTCAGACATTTTACAAGGCATGTATATATATGTATACATATTTCATAATTCCTATATGACACTATAAGTACACTTTTCATTTGAAAATGTATATCTTTTTACAACTCAGAGTTTTTTCTTCTTCTTTTTACATTTTTTGCTTCTCTTAGGTCTATTCATTTGTCTCCTGAAACTACTCCATTTTGCATATTACATCTCCTGGATATATCCTCCATGTCTCTTATTCTTTTCACTTGTTTTGTTTCTTTGTATATTTTTGCTTTTGTGTAGTAATATAATTCTTACTCCACAAGAGTAAGATTACTTATTCAGTTTTCAGTTGAATCAATTCTATGTTTTAGTTCTGAAACTAAATTTTTCAATTCAGAATTTAAAAAATTTACCCGAATTCTTATTGCATAACTTTACATATTTTCTATGGATTTTTATTTTCTTTTCCATCTGTTTCTTTCATTAAAGCATCCTTATAAGAAAGAGGTCTGGCTCTTTGCTTGGTCTCCCTTTATGCTATGAAGTCTCTTGACTGGTAGTTATTCATTCTATGCCTATGTTGGCAGTTCTAGTTTCCTCTAGCACATGTTCAGATCAGGCTGATGGGTCAAGCTAAGGTGAATTGGAGGGTAAGGAGGAGGAAATGAAAGACTGTGATTTTCTTCAGTACTGTGAGCAGTGATTGGGTGGCAGCCACAGCTCTTGTCTGTGCTCTGGGAGTTAGCAGGCCCAGCACACGGAGCTATTTATGCTGATGGGTGGTCAGATGTCCTCACTCCATGCTTTTCCAGCAAAGACACCTCCTCCCTTACCATGGGGTCCTAGGTCCTCTGGGTAATAGAAGCAAGTTCCACAGAACAGACATTGCCCACTGCCCAGATCTGCCCAGTCCCCTTGGAATCTGAAACCTCAGATGTGAGTTGGCTTTCCATTAGGATTCAGCATCAGGTATACTCTCATTTTCAATGCCTTTTTTTGTGTTGTGGGAAGTCAGGGAACCCGAACAGAAGGACCTGCTGAAGCTGTGACAGAAGAATATAAATTGTGAAGATTTCATGGACATTTGTTATTTCTCCAAATTAATAATTTTATAATTTCTTACACCTGTCTTTACTACAATCTCTGAACATAAATTGTGAAGATTTCATGGACATTTATCACTTCCCCAGTCAAAACTCTTATAATTTCCTATGCCTGTCTTTACTTTAATCTCCTAATCCGTCATTATAATTTCCTACACCTGTCTTTACTTTAATCTCTTAATCCGTCATCTTCATAAGCTGAGGATGTATGTCGCCTCAGAACCCTGTGATGATTGCATTAACTGCACAAATTGTTCATAAAGCATGTGTGTTTGAACACTATGAAATCTGGGCACCTTGGAAAAGGAACAGGATAACAGCGATGTTCAGGGAACAAGGGAGATAACCATTAGGTCTGACTGCCTGGGATCCAGGCAGGACAGAGCCATATTTCTCTTATTGCCGAAAACGGGTAAGAGAAATATTGCCAAATTCTTTCCCCAGTAAAGAATAAAGATATATTTTTTGCCTTCTTGTTGAGTTACTGCTGGAGGGAATTTGGTGATAGAGGGTATCAGAAATATGGGCTCAGGCTGCCTTCTTCTCAGAATTCCTACTAGATCCTGATTTAATTTACTTGTCCAATGTGTAACTGTGATCACTCTCCAACTGTTCACCTCAACCCTACTTCCACTCCATTCCCAGGGCTGACAAGCTCAGGTCTGGGTCAAGGACCCGATAGGAACAAGGGCCCTATGAGACCATCACATTCTCCCCCAGGGAGGTGGAGTGAGATAAAGAGGTTGGGGCCAGAAATGGAAGGAGGAAAGATGGGTAATACCTCTTAGAGCACTGTGATCAGCTAGGCCTGAGAATGCCTCCTACACAATAGGCATTATCCCAGCAGAAACAGAGGGAAATCGAGGCAGAAATAGTACAACTTGTTGGGCCTCTGGTATAGTTCTCAAACAAGAGGGATAGGAGGGATCCTTGATGATTCCCATTCTTCAACCCATTACCCAGGCAGGAGAGAAGCTTGGAAGTTGCACTTTCTGAAGTGAATTTCCCTGGAGTGGCCATTCTGCTATTATACTTGGAGGACCTAGCAGGGATATCTGGGAAGTAGATTGGCCAGGGATTTTGGATAAGTCTTGACCATCTCTCTCCTTATGAAACACAACTAACATAGCTATTAGGTTGCTGCATAGGATTGGGAAATGTAGTATGTTTAGAAAAAAGGTTAAAGTTCATCTTGGAAAGGTAGATTCTTCTTTAGTGTTTATATCACTTTAAGACTTAGGCAGTCTCAAAAGTTTATCAGAGAAGAGGATTAATATTTCTTTCCGAACTACACGGGTAAAAATCAAAAGTTGAGGAATCACATTTGTCACGGAAGCTGAAGCAAACACAGATGATCTTCAAGAACTATCAACTCAGGTCCTGCTAGTCTTCCTGTTTAAAATAAACCAACTCTTTAACTGTTTGTCTCCAATGTGCCTGGATCTGCACTATGTGCTGAGGATACTGAGATGTATGACAAGATTCCTGTTCTACAGAGCCTCTCATATTGGGAAAGGGATATGAATTGAGGAAAGGTAAGAAAATACAAAGAAAATGAAATAAATGAATGATAAAGGGAAGCATGGGATACCGGAGGAGAGAACGACACCTAACCTGCCTAACCAGTCTGAAGGGCAGGGGAGGTTAGGGAGCTTTCCCTACAGAGATACTCTGAGCCAACTGGCTACACTTGGGCTGAAAGAACATGTGTTGCTATCTGCATCTATCCTATGATGTTATCCACAGGTCAGAACACAGCCCTGATGAAGAGAATCTGAACCACCTCTGCCACTTCTACCCTCGGCCCCTACCCAGAGGCACCAGGTGGGTCTGGTCAGTATTTGAAACCTGGACAACCCTGGCTAGGGAGAAGGACCTACATGGGTGTATAGAAGTGGAGGATTAGAGGACAAAGGATAGAGTATAAAATGCCAAATGCACTCAACAGTCTACAGGAGGGAGAAGAAGGCCAAAAATGGTCAGTAGAACCAAGATTTCAAGGGGTAATGTTGGAGCAGAGGCCAGAGAATCTGTCATGACACGATCATGAAGCTGAGAAGCCACATGTGACACATGTGCAGCAAGAGGACTAGGAAAATGGCTGGGACTGGAAAAAGAGGGAGGACTGGGCTGGCTAACTGTTCCATTAAAAACTCCAAAAAATAGAGAGAGGCCAGCTCCAGGTACCAAAAACTTTTCAAGCATCAATTTTCAAAAAATTCTATACTTATAAAAACTGCCTGAATACCCTATGTGTTCTTGAATTTCCAATAAGATTTTCTGAATTGGAGAAAATATTTCCATACTTTGGTACTTCTGCTAGTGTCCTGGAGTGACTGGTCAATAGGAGAGAATGACTGAGCATAAGTCTTCTCCTACTGTTCTTTTTCCTCTAATGGCTTTATTGAAGTTCAATTGGGATACAATAAACTGTACATATTTGAAGTGTAAAATCTGATGTCTTGCCAAATGTATCCACCCAGGAAATAATCATTAGAATCGACCCCATAAGTTTCATCATGCTCTTTTGTAATCCCTCCCTCCTGCCTACTCATCTCCAGACAACTGTAGTTGTCTATTACCACACATTAGTTTACATTTCCTTGAATTTTATATAAATGGAGTCATACATTACATACTCTATTTTTGTCTGGCTTCTTTCACTCAGCATAATTATTTTAAGATTCTTTCATGTCATGTATATTGATAATTCATCTTTTTATCACTGAATAGTCTTATTGAGTAGTATTCCATTGTATGGATATACCATGACTTATTATCCATTCACCTATTAATGAACATTTGGGTTCTTTGTAGCTCAGGAGTATTACAAATAAAGTTATAAACATTTAAGTATAAGTCTTTTTGTATAAATGCATTCTTTCTTTTCTCTTGGGTAAATAGCTAAGAGTGCAATGGCTGGATCATATGGTAAGTGTAAGTTTGAGTTTTTAAGAAACTTTGCCAAACTAGTTCAAAGTAGTTCTTCCATTTTACATTCCCACAAGCAGTGTATAGGGACTCTGGCATCTCAGCAACACTTGCTATAGTGAGAATTTCTTATAATGCTCATTTTAATAGGCATGTAGTGGAACTTCATTATATTTTTAATGCACATTTTTCTAATGACAATGGATATTGAGTTCTTTAGATATTGTAGATATATGTTCTTTATCAGATATATGATTTACAAGTATTTTTCTCCCAGTCTTTGGCTTGTTTTGACAATATTACCAGAAGCTTTTAATTTTAACTAAGTCCAATATATCAGTGTTTTTCTTTTATGGACTGTATTTTTGGTGCCATATCTAAGACATATTTGCCTAACCCAAAGCATAAATCTCATTTTAAGAAGGCCTTGGTGTTCCAGCCCTGTCCAAAAATTGGAACTCAAGGGCATTATTCAGGGAAAATCCCAAGTTCTGATTTAGTCTTATTTTCTTTGAAACAATTGTATTCTCCTGACTCTGTATCAGCCTATGGAGCTGTCACCCAGAATTATTGCCTTCCAGAGGGTCTGTACTATCCCAGATTATCAAGGAAGAGTGTTCTCTTGTGAAGGCTAGAACAAGGGCCTTTATGGGCACCAGTCCTGCCTGTCCTTGCTACCTGCTCCTTTCCACTCCCATGGCCCAGATCATTAGGGAAAGGGAAAGGTATCACATAGCAGGAGGTATGTTAAAGTCTGATGTGCTGTGCCTTGGATTTTTCTGGCAAGTGCTTCCTTCAGATTCTAGAGACAGGAGGAGGCAAAATGTGCTTCTTGCAATACTGAGGCCCCTTGCAAAATCAACTGTGTCCACAGAAAGGGAAACAGAAATCACTATTACAAGGTACCTACTTTGTGCATTAGTGAGCTCACAGAATTCTTGCTATGAGCTGTGAAGATAAGTATTACTGTCCCTAGTTCACAAGTAAGGACACAGGCTGAGAATTGTGACATAATCTGTCCAAGTTACACCAAAAGTCAGTGGCAGAGTTGGGACTTGAACCTATGTCACTATAATTTGAAAGCTTCCTTCTGGTCTCATCAAGGTGCGTCTTGGGAACAGTAACCATCTGGCAGTTGATTCATTCATACAAAGGGGTGTTTATTTAAAAATCACCCTCAGGAGAAGCTGTCTGTTTCCTATGGCTATGGGTTTTGTATCTGATTCGGATTGTAGGGGCAGTGTAGATGACACAAGACCACTTGTGTCATCCCCCTTCAGAGCACTTGAGCACACTGGGAAGTGCCTGGGTTTTGGAATCAGAGAAGTTTAAATCCTAGTCTCACAAGTTATTATAGTTGTGTGACCTCAAATAACTTTCTTAATGTTTCTGAGCCTCAGCCTTCTTGTTAGTTAGAAAAAAAAATTGAAATAGAAAGTCCTGTTGCTGGGGGCAATGTCAATATAAAGCTTCCTTGCGATGGAGGTAAGGTGCACAGATGCAGACACAGGAGGACCCAGGCCAAGCTGCCATTGACTACCTGATAGTTTGGAAATAGCAAAAATAACATAATTGGAGAGGGACTGTGAGTAACCAATATGAGCCCTGGATCTGGATAGAAGTTGAGTTCAGAGGGAGAGAGATTTAAAAAAATAAACCTTACTCAAGGTGATCCTGTAAATACAAATCCTAAAACCTAAGAGACAATCTAATGCTAAGAAAGATTGAAAATTGTAAGCTGAATCCACTCCAAATGACATAAAAATAACAGATAATGTGAAAATTATGTATGTAAAGATATATTTAGGATTCTCAAAGAGATAAAGACATCCAGGAACAAAATAGAAATTTATGAAATTAAACTGGCATAATGAAACAGGACAAGTGGATATGAAAATGAGTAATTTGAAATCCTAGAAATATGAACAAAAAATACTAAAATTAAAATATTAACGGGATTAACTTAACACTGGAAGCTGCTGAAGAAGGAACTCATTAATTGGAAGGTAGGCTTGAATTTATTTGGAACACAGCACAAAAAGTTTATAATAGAAAAGGGCAATTAGGGACACGGAGAGACTTTGAAGTGTGTTAAATAGATTTTCAGAAAAAGAAAATAAAGGAAATGGCAGAACAATTAAGTAAACATATTAAAAATAAAAACATAGGTATAAATGTTTATGACTTCAGATTGGGCAATAGTTTCTTAGAAATGACATCAAAGGCACAAGCAACAAAAGTTGATAACTTGAAAATCAATAAACTAAAAATTTATGTGTGTCAAAGGACACACCAAGAAAAGGGGAAAATTTTTGCCAATAATGTTGAATAAGAGACTTAAACCTAGCAAGACTATGTAAAGAAATACTATTAAATAATAAAAAGACAAATAACACAATTTAAAAATGGGCAAAGGATCTGAAAAGACTTTTGTCCAAATAAGATACACAAATATCCAAAAAAAAAAAAAAAGCTCAATGTTAGCCATCAGGGAAATGCAAATCAAAATCACAATGAGATATCAGTTCACATCCACTGGGATGGCAATAATAAAGAAGACAGGTAATTACAAATGTTGGTGAGAATGTGGAGAAATTAGAGCCCTCATACACTGCTAGTGAAATGTAAAGTGATGCAGCCACTTTGGAAAACAGTCCAGCAGTTCCTCAACAGATTAAAAGACTAGCTTCCATATGACCTAAAAATTTTACTTCTAGGTATATACTTCACTCCAAGGTAAAATGGAGGTATATATTCACACAAATATCTTGTATATGAATGTTTATAGCAGCATTACTCATAACAGCCAATATGTGGAAGCAACCCAAATGTTTATCAACCAATAAATGAATAAATAAAATGTGGTACATCTATACAGTGGAGTATTATGTGGCAATGGAAAAGAATGAAGTACTGTTACATGCTAGAGCATCGGTAAATCTTGAAAACATTATGCTAAGTGAAAGCAGTCAGTCACAAAAAAATTGCATAACATATGATTCCATTTATAAGAAGTGTCCAGAACAGGCAAATCCACAGAATGACAGAAAGTAGATATGGTTTGCTTAGGGATAGGATGGAGAAGTTGAGGAGAAATAAATAGGGGCTGCTATAGGTAGCAGCCTTTTGGGGGTGATGACATGTTCTAAAATAAATTGGGATGATGGTTGTACCATTCCACAAATATATTAAAACTATTGAATTGTACATTATGAATGGGTAAATTGTATAAGAATTATAACTTAGTTTTTTAGGTTTTTAAAGTTTTTAAATTTGAACTTTTATTGATGGCTCAGGGGTGCTTGTGCAGGTTTGTTACATGGGGAACTTGTGTGTCACAGGGGCAGATCTTTGATCCTCACTCTCCTCTGTCAAGTAGGCCTGTGTCTGTTGTTCCCTTCTTTGTGTACTTATGTCCTCAATGTTTAGCTTCCACTTATAACATGAGAACATGCGGTATTTGGTTTTATGTTCCCGTGTGATACTGGCCTCTAGCTTCATTCTAACTTAGTATTTTTTATTTTAAAAAAAGTGAACAAGAATAATGTAAACAAACAAAAACTAGCTTAAATAATGTAAACATTATTAATAATTAATAATTATTAGCATAATTAATAATTAATAACATTATTAATAATTAATAATGTAAACAACAAACAAAAACTAGTCTAAATCTTTCAAACCAGCTAAGGAGAAAAAGGAAAGAATAAGGAAAACTCTATCAATTCAACAGGAGGCAAAAAGAAGCAAGAAAGGAAATTAGAAGAATCAAAGAAGCAAATAAACAAAAAATTACCTGGTAATAATTAAATCTAAATATATTCACATTCATAAGCTTAAAATCATCTATCAAAATATGGCAACAACAATAACCAATATCACTGTTACAAATAGTAAAAGTCAAACTTTTTGTTGTTCATTAAAAACATCCTTAATACAAAATCACAGAGAACACAGTATTTGCAAATAAAGAAATGGGCAAGCTATACCTATAAATGTAAATAAAAGAAAGAAAGTTGTGTAACATTTCCAACATGAAGAAAATTGAATTTAATAGTGTATTATTAGGAATAAAAAGGGACTCTACATATTGATTACATATTCCACAAAGAAAATATAACAATCATGAATATATAAGTCATAATATATTTAGACAATGAAATACATCGCGACAATTAAAACGAATGAGCTAGGTCTTCATAAATCTTAAAAATGCATTATTGAGTGGAAAAACAAGATACATCTCAAAACATAAAGAACGATACTTTATGTGTACTTTTATATAAGTTCTAGAACATAGAACAATGTATCTTATATATGGATAAATATATAGTCCACAGTTTTTATAATTGTATGACATATTTTATGCTTAAATTAACGCTTAAATTCATTTTTCTGCTCCTTTAATCTAGGAATTGCAGGGAATAAAGGAAGTATTTTACTCCTTCATAGTATCTGAATTTGTGTAGTTTTTACCAATGGAAGCTAAATCCACACTTGGGTTCAAATTCCAGAAAATATACAGGATGCCTACAATATTCCTGGTCTGTTGTTTTATATTGGGAATAGGAAGATGAATGAGATACAGCCCCTGCCCTGAGGGACCTTCCAGAATGAGGGATAATAAAAGATAAACAACAATGTGATGTGACAGATGGAGGGATGAAAAAGTTCAGAGAGAACATACCCATCTCTCTCTGTGGGCTTTCTGGAGGAGGTGCCTCCTGCAGGAGTTTGAAAGAATGGGTGTCGCTCTTCAGATGAAAGTGATAGGTGAGGCTGGTGGGAACAAAAGCATGCAGCCAGATCAGCAAGGTCTGTGTGGGCACCCCACGTGGTTTGGGCATGAAGTTCAGGGAATGGATGGCATAGGTGGAGAGTATGCCTGGCCAGAGAGATGGGCAGGGGAAGATCACTGAGGACAATGTAGGCATGCCAAAGAACTGGAACTTGAACATAGGGGAAAACAGGAGCCACCACAGGGTTTTTTTGTTGTTGTTGATTGTTTGTTTGTTTGTTTTTTTAAGCAGGGCAGGAACATGACCAGATTTCTGTTTTAGATACTTCATCCAGACAGCCAGGTGGAAGAGTCAGACTCAGAGCCAGGAAGTGACTCAGAGAGGGGGAAGATCTGAGGCAGAACCTGGGGTTGGAGAAGTAGATACACCTAAGGAGATTTAGTAAGATTGGCATGAGATGGTGAGGAATTTGGAAATACAGCCAGGTTGGGGCTTGGTTGATTAGGAGGGGGTGATCTACAGGGTTTGGGGTGGGTGGATGTGTGAAGACAATTATGGGTTCATTTTCTGATGCTTCATGGCTCTGAAGGCCACCAAGGAGTTCAATCAACCCCCTCATTCTCATGACTGTGGACTGTGCAATTTATCCAGGTCATTGACAAAAAGTGTGGGAAGAAATGATTCGTAAATTATTTCAGCTTGTGGCTTTTTGATATTTCCTTGTAATAATTATCTTGAATTCACATTATCTGCTTTATGACAAGGAACACTGACACAAGGATTGCACTGCAAAGTTAAGCATTGCTGAATTGTATTGAAATAAGAGGATTGCTAATGTGTATTCCTGACATTTTAGCAGTATCAAATCTGATTTCATCACATTTACAAGGTACTATGAGCTGGGACCCAGAGGCGGTGTGTTATCATCGCCTAACATAGTGTTCCTTAATTATCAGCACTCTCACACTTCCTGCATAGCAGATTGGAATTGCTAGAAATAGCACAAACTTGAAAATTAGCGTTTTTCTCTTAAATAATCAGGATGCTATATTTATGGTTTTTATGGGATTGGTGTCTTCACGAAGGTAAACTAATTTCACACTCAAAGGTGAGGTATTTTTCTCCCTTCTTTTACTCCCCCATTTTCTAGAGTCTATTTTTTCAGTTTCTCAAAATTCATGAATAATCCTCTTCATTTCCCCCCTCCCCAAAAGGGTGTTTCTGCACTTGGCTTGCCCTTGTGATAATTCACTATGTTGGCAATGAGCCCATGAAGAAATGGAAGATTTTGCTCTTCTTTACAGTTACTCATCAGCCTGTGACATTAGCAATACTTGATCAAATGAATTGCACAATTTTTAAACTTCAAGAAAAGTCCAAATGCCTTGTCTAGTTCACTGAGTTCTGAATCACATATATACTACTGCCCATCTACTGACAATTGAGTGGAAAAGGAAAAGAGAAGTGAGAGAAAATTAAACAAGGACTAATGAATGGGTAGAATTCTGAGTGGTCTTTGGCACAGAAGTGCAGTAGATGTATTCAATGTAATGAGGTTTCCTCCACATGTAGATCATTTTTCTTCCCCTGTACCACCTTATCCTGCAGCACAGGCACATGATTCCCTATGGGGAGCCCCATGCAGGCCCACTTCTCCAATATGGATCCCTGGTGTAGAATCCCTCTCCTATCAGATTAAAACTGCCATCTTGCATTTAGATTGATACTGCCAATCTTAGAAAGTAAAATTTTGGAGCCAATTAATCCTCCAATATAAATGGGGAGTGTTCAGCATGCTAGTGATTCTCATTACGGGAATTTCAGGAAGTGTGAAGAGGTAAAGTGTGGAATCTGAAGTCCTGGGAAAAACAAAGTATTCAAGGTTTTGGATGCCTTTCCAGAGTTCCAGAAGCTTTTAGTTATGCTGTCTGTTCATAAGGCCAACCTTGGAAGAATGCACAGCCAGTACTGTCAGCATCACTCAAGTTGTACTCTCTTGTTATACTTCTGTGGTGAGCTTTGCATTGAATGACAGGTTCTTTCTGGCAAAGACATTGTAAACTTGAGGGAAGAAGTGTAGCTAATACATCTTTGTTTTTGCAATGTTGTAGCTGTGCACAGTGCCTGACTGTTGTGGGTGTTTGGTAAATTGATTCTGATAATAGACAAGGAGAGAGAAATAGAGCAAGAGTGAGAGTGAGAGCGAGAGCGAGAGCGAGAGAGAGAGAAAACAGAGAGACGGAATGACAGAAACAGAACAGGGATGGGAAAGATATAAGAAATGTTAAAATAGGGGCCAGGCTCAGTGGCTCATGATGTAATCTTAGCACTTTGAGAGGCTGAGACGAATGGATCACCTGAGGCCAGGAGTTCAAGACCAGCCTGGCCAAAAGTGGTAAAACCCCGTCTCTATTAAAAATACAAAAAGTACCCAGGCATGGTGGTGCGCACCTGTAATCCCAGTTACTCAGGAGGCTGAGGCGGGAGAATTGCTTGAACCTTGGAGGAGGATGTTGCAGTGAGTGGAGATTGCACCACTGAACTCCAGCCTGGGTGACAAAGTGAGACTCTGTCTAAAGAAAAAAAAAAGTTAAAATAATACTTAGCTGAAAAGAAGGAAGAAGAGGCTCAAAAGCACATAAAAACTAAAATGTAAAACAAAAGAGAAATTTAGAATTCTAGGTTTTTAGGCTTAGGGTAGAAAGAGATTTTAGAGGGCACTGAAGTCTGCTCCCATCTGAAGCCAGATTTCTGTGTCCTTGGATCATAGGAGGCTTTGTCTGTCTGGTATCATTAAGAAGTCAGCAAGGCTGGGTGGTCAGACATGATCTCCTTGAAGGTGGTGAACAGTGTAGGTGTTGGGCACTGGCCTGTGATGTAAGGCCTCCACATAGGGAATCACAACCCTGAAGGGAGACTGTTGTGAATTTTGACTGGTTTTACCACCTGGCATCATGTCTTCTTTCAAGGAAAATGACTCCAATTTACTACTGGAAGACCACCCCTCTCCATTCTCAGGCTAGATGCTGTAGGTAGTGGCTTGGTCGGTCACAGTAATGCATTCCCCTGGCTGCTGTGAGTGGTTCAAGGATGGGCACACAACCCAATCCCAATCCAGGAGAAGAAAACACAAACTTGGCACTTTTTGGAGCTGTTAGGAAAGAAGACCACCAACTCCAAATTTTCCTAAACATAAAAAATGCCGTCTAGTTTCTTCTGGCATGGTGGAGTAAAGAGACTCATGAATCCTCTGTTCAGAATACAACTAACAAACTGAAAATCATTATCAAAAACAACCATTTCAGAGGTCTGGAAATTGACCAGAGGCAAACAACATATTGAGAGGTGTTTATTCATGTAAAAACCGCTGAGCTTCAGATAAGAAGGGTAGAGTATGTGGCATTCCTGCCGGGGACTACTTTATTTCTTATTTCCCTTCCCTTAAGCTTAGTATCCAAAGTGGTTCTACCAGGGTGGGGTGGGGCACAGATACTAGAAGCTTAGCCATAACTGGGAAAAAATATTTGCAAATCATGGTATGCAAAGGATTTGTATTCAAAATATGTAACGAATACTTACAATCAAATAATAAGAAAGCAAGCAACCCAATTTAAAAACAGGTAAAAATTTGAATTAGATGTTTTACCAAGGAGATATACAAATGGCTAATATGCGCATGATAAGGTGCTCAGCATCATTAGTCATTAGGGAAATGAAGTTTTAAGCCACAATAAGATATCATTACACACCTGCTAGGATGGCTATAATCAAAATGGCAAAAATCAAGGCAATCCTAAGCAAAAAGAACAAAGCAGGAGGCATCGTGCTGCCTGACTTCAAACTGTACTGCAGGGCTACAGTAACTAAAACAGCATGGTACTGGTACAAGAACAGACACACCGACCAATGAAACAGAATAGAGAGCTCAGAAATTAGACTGCACACCTACAACTGTCTGATATTTGACAAACCTGACAAAAACAAGCAATGGGGAAAGGATGCCCTATTCAATAAAAATGGTACTGGGATAACTGGCTAGCCATATGCAGAAAACTGAAACTGGATCCCTTCCCCACACCATATATTAAAATTAACTCGACAGATTAAAGAGTTAAATGTAAAATCCCAAACTATAGAAACCCTGGAAGACAACCTAGGCAATGCTATTCAAGACATAGGGACAGGCGAAGATTTCATGATGAAGATGCCAAAGCAATTGCAACAAAAACAAACATTGATAAGTGGGATCTAATTAAACTAAAGAGCTTCTGCACAGCAAAAGAAACACAGTAAACAGACAACCTACACAATGGGAGAATATTTTTGCAAACTATTGCATCTGACGAAGGTCTAATATCCAGCATCTATAAGGAATTTAAACTGACAAGAAAAAGAACTAATAACCCCACTAAAAATTGGGCAAAGGACATGAGCAACACGTTTCAAAAGAAGACATACATGCAGCAAACAATCATATGAAAAAAAGATCAACATCACTTATCATTAGAGAAATGCAAATCAAAACTACAATGATATACTATCTCACATCAGTCAGAATGGCTACTATTAAAAAGTCAAAAAATATCCAGTGAAACCCCATTTCTACTAAAAATACAAAAAAAAAATTAGCTGGGCATGGTGGCAGGTGCCTGTAGTCCCAGCTACTCCGGAGGATGAGGCAGGAGAATGGCATGAACCTGGGAGGCGGAGCTTGCAGTGAGCCGAGATAGGGCCACTGCATTCCAGCCTGGATGAAGAGCCGAGGAAAAGGAACACTTATATACTGTTGGTGGGAGTGTAAATTAGTTCAACCATTGTGGAAGACAGTGTGACGATTTCTCCAAGACCTAAAGACAGGAATACCATTTGACCCAACAATCCCACTACTGGATGTATACCCAAAGGAATAAAAATCATTCAGGCAGGGCATGGTGGTCCATGCCTCTAATCCCAGCACTTTGGGAGGCCGAGGCAGGTGGATCACCTGAGGTCAAGAGTTCAAGACCAGCCTGGCTAACATGGAGAAACCCCGTCTCTACTAAAAATACAAAAATTAGCTGGGTGTGGTGGCACACGCCTGTAATCCCAGTTACTCAGGAGGTTGAGGCAGGAGAATCGCTTGAATACAGGACACAGAGGTTGCAGTGAGCCGAGATTGTGCCACTGGACTCCAGCCTGGGTGACAGAATGAGACTCCATCTAAAAAAAAATGAATATAAATCATTCTATTATAAAGGCACACATGAGCATGTTTACTGCAGCACTATTCACAATAGCAAAGACATGGAATCAACCTAAATGTATTCATATGCATAGTATTCTACGGTGTATTCTTGATAGACTGGATAAAGAAAATGTGGTACATATACACCATAGAATACCATGCAGCCATCAAAAAAACGAATGAGGGCATGTACTTTGCAGAGACATGGATGGAGCTGGAGGCCATTATCCTTAGCAAACTAACACAGGAACAGAAAACCAAATAGAGCATGTTCTCATTTATAAGCGGGAGCTAAATGAGAACACATGGACACATAGAGGGGAACAACACTCACTGGGGCCTATCAGAAGGTGAAAGGTGGCAGGAGAGAGAGGACCAGGAAAAATAATGATGGATACTAGGCTTTATTCCTGGTTGATGAAATAATCTATATAACAAACCCCCATAACACACATTTACCTATGTAACAAACTTGCATATTCTGCTCATGTACCCCTGAACTTAAAATAAGTTTTAAAAATGGCAAAGTCAAGTGCTGGAGAAGGTGTGGAGAAACAAATCCTTGTACATTACTGGTAGAAAAGTAGGCAGACTTTGGAAAACAGTTTGGCACTTAAAAAAATTAAACATGGGCCGGGCGCGGTGGCTCACGCCTGTAATCCCAGCACTTTGGGAGGCCGAGGCGGGCGGATCACGAGGTCAGGAGATCGAGACCATCCTGGCTTACACGGTGAAACCCTGTCTCTACTAAAAATACAAAAAATTAGCCAGGTGTGGTAGCGGGCGCCTGTAGTCCCAGCTACTCGGGAGGCTGAGGCAGGAGAATGGCGTGAACCCGGGAGGCGGAGCTTGCAGTGAGCCGAGTTCGCGCCACTGCACTCCAGCCTGGGCGACAGAGCGAGACTCCGTCTCAAAAAAAAAAAAAAAAAAAAAAAAAAAAAAAAAAAATTAAACATGAATTTACTATATGACTCAACAATTTTATCCTTAGATACCTACCCAAGAGAAGTACAAATATATGTTTACACAAACACCTGTACACAAAATGTCGTAGCAGCATCATGTGTAATAGCCCAAAGTAGAAACAATCCAAATGTATATCAACTAGTGAATAAATAAATGAAATGCAGTTTACCTATACAATGAAATATTATTCAGCAACAAAAATGATATTCTGATACATGCTACAGCATGGATGAACCTTGAAAATGTTATGCTAAATGAAAGAAGCCAGATACAAAACACTATAAGTTATTTATTAGGTTGTTATTTATTACTTTCATTGAATGGCAAAAATCACAATTATGTTTGCAGCAACCTAATATTTCTATTTATATAAAATGTCCTAAAAGGGAAAATCAGTAGCGACAGAAAGCAGGTCAATGGTTGTCTGGATCTGGGGATGGGAGCAGAGATTGATTACAAACAGGCACCAGAACGTTTTTAGATAGAGAAACAAGTTCTAAAATTAAATTATGGTCCTGGTTGCATGACTCTAAAAATTTGCTAAAAATATTCAATTGCACACTTACAATAAGTGAATTTTATGGTATTAAATTATACCTCAATAAAGTTGTAAAAAAAAGGAAGAGATGCCTAGCTTCACTAGTGGTAAGAGACATGCAAAGTAAAGGACCTGATAAATAACATTTTTCACCTATCAGATTGTCAAAAATAGTAAAGAGTTAAATCATGTATCACTAGTAAATATGCAGGAAAAAGTGGAAGTAATAATTATTTCAGCTTTTAAATAAAGAAACATGGAAATAACTTTTAAATTTAAAAACACCTGGCAGGGTACAGTGGCTCACACCTGTAACCCTAGCACTCTGGGAGGCCGGCGTGGAAGGATTGCTTGAGCCCAGCAGTTTAGGCTCCAGAGAGCTATGATTGTGCTACTGCACTCCAGCCTATGCAAAAGGACAACACCTTGTCTCTTAAAACCAAACCAAACCAAACCAAAACACACCTATGTTCTTTGGCTCTGGAATCCCACATCTTGAAATTTATCCCATAGGAAGATACAGCAGTAAGTATACATTTTTTTTTTAACAGGCAAGGAAGACTTTATTCAAGACTATTTCAATAGAGGAGACAAACTGAACTCAACTTCCTCAAAACAAAGGGCTGGAGAGTTCTTCTTTTTTTTTTTTTTTAAGTTGTGGGATACATGTGCTGAGCCTACAGGTTTGTTACATAGGTATACATGTGCCATGGTGGTTTGCTGCACCTATCAACTTGTCATTTACATTAGGTATTTCTCCTAATGCTATCCCTCCCCCAGACCCTGATCCTATGACAGGCCCTGGTGTGTGATGTTCCCTGACCTGTGTCCAAGTGTTCTCATTGTTCAATTCCCACCTATGAGTGAGAACATGTGGTGTTTGATTTTCTGTCCTTGTGATAGTTTGCTGAGAATGATGGTTTCCAGCTTCATCCATGTCCCTGCAAAGGACATGAACTCATCCTTTTTTATGGCTGCATAGTATTCTATGGTGTTTATGTGCCATATTTTCTTAATCCAGTCTATCGTTGATGGACATTTGGGTTGATTCCAAGTCTTTGCTGTTGTGAATAGTGCCGCAATAAACATATGTGTGCATGTGTCTTTATAGTAGCATGATTTATAATCCTTTGGGTATATACCCAGTAATGGGACTGCTGGGTCGAATGGTATATCTAGTTCTAGATCCTTAAGGAATTGCCACACTGTCTTTCACAATGGTGGAACTAGTTTACACTCCCACCAACAGTGTAAAAGCATTCTTATTTCTCCACATCCTCTCCAGCATCTGTTGTTTCCTGACATTTTGATGATCGCCATTCTAACTGGTGTGAGATGGTATCTCATTGTGGTTTTGATTTGCATTTCCCTGATGGCCAGTGATGATGAGCATTTTTTCATATGTCTGTTGGCTGCATAAATATCTTCTTTTGAGAAGTGTCTCTTCATATCCTTTGCCCACTTTTTGATGGGTTTTTTTTTCTTGTAAATTTGTTTAGTTCTTTGTAGATTCTGGATATTAGCCCTTTGTCAGATGGGTAGATTGTAAAAATTTTCTCCCATACTGTAGGTTGCCTGTTCACTCTGATGGTAATTTCTTTTGCTGTGCAGAAGCTCTTTAGTTTAATTAGATCCCATTTGTCAATTTTGGCTTTTGTTGCCATTGTCATGAAGTCCTTGTCCACGCCTATGTCCTGAATGGTATTGTCTAGGTTTTCTTCTAGGGTTTTTATGGTTTTAGGTCTAACATGTAAGTCTTTAATCCATCTTGAATTAATTTTTGTATAAGGTGTAAGGAAGGGATCCAGTTTCAGCTTTCTACATATGGCTAGCCAGTTTTCCCAGCACCATTTATTAAATAGGGAATCCTTTCCCCATTTCTTGTTTTTGTCAGGTTTGTCAAAGATCAGATGGTTGTAGATGTGTGGTATTATTTTTGAGGGCTCTGTTCTGTTCCTTTGGTCTATATCTCTGTTTTGGTACCAGTACCATGCTGTTTTGGTTACTGTAGCCTCACAGCATAGTTTGAAGTCAGGTAGCATGATGCCTCCAGCTTTGTTCTTTTGGCTTAGGATAGTCTTGGCTATGTGGGCTCTTTTTTCGTTCCATATGAACTTTAAAGTAGTTTTTTCCAATTCTGTGAAGAAAGTCATTAGTAGCTTGATGTGATGGCATTGAATCTATAAATTACCTTGGGCAGTATGGCCATTTTCATGATATTGATTCTTCCTATCCATGAGCATGGAATGTTCTTCCATTTGTTTGTATCCTCTTTTATATCCTTGAGCAGTGGTTTGTAGTTCTCCTTGAAGAGGTCCTTCACATCCCTTGTAAGTTGGATTCCTACGTATTTTATTCTTTGTAGCAATTGTGAATGGGAATTAACTCATGATTTGGTTCTCTGCTTGTCTGTTAATGGTGTATAGGAATGCTTGTGATTTTTGCACATTGATTTTGTATCCTGAGACTTTGCTGAAGTTGCTTATCAACTTAAGGAGATTTGGGGCTGAGACAATGGGGTTTCTAGATATACAATCATGTCATCTGCAAATAGCGACAATTTGACTTCCTCTTTTCCTAATTGAATACCCTTTATTTCTTTCTCCTGCCTGATTGCCCTGGCCAGAACTTCCAACACAATGTTGAATAGGAGTGGTGAGAGAGGGCATCCCTGTCTTGCAGCAGTTTTCAAAGGGAATTCTCCCAGTTTTTGCCCATTCAGTATGATATTGGCTGTGGGTTGTCATAAATAGTTCTTATTATTTTGAGATACATGCCATCACTACCTAGTTTCTTGAGAGTTTTTAGCATGAAGGGCTGCTGAATTTTGTTGAAGGCCTTTTCTGCATCTATTGACATAATCATGTGGTTATTGCTGTTCGTTCTGTTTATGTGATGGATTACGTTAATTGACTTGTGTATGTTGAACCAGCCTTGCATTCCTGGGATGAAGCTGACTTGATTATGGTGGATAAGCTTTTTGATGTGCTGCTGGATTCGATTTGCCAGTACTTCATTGAGGATTTTTGCATCAATGTTCATCAGGGATATTGGTCTAAAATTCTCTTTTTGTTGTGTCTCTGCCAGGCTTTGGTATCAGGATGATGCTGGCCTCATAAAATGAGTTAGTGAGGATTCTCTCTTTTTCTATTGATTGGAATAGTTTCAGAAGGAATGGTACCAGCTCCTCTTTGTGCCTCTGGTAGAATTCGGCTGTGAATCCGTCTGGTCCTGGACTTTTTTTGACTGGTAGGCTATTGATTATTGCCTCAATTTCAGGACCTGTTATTGGTCTATTCAGAGATTCCACTTCTTCCTGGTTTAGTCTTGGGAGGGGTACGTGTCCAGGAATTTATCCATTTCTTCTAGATTTTCTACTTTATTTCCACAGATGTGTTTATACTATTCTCTGATGGTAGTTTGTATTTCTGTGAGATTGGTGGTGATATCCCCTTTATCATTTTTTATTGTGTCTATTTGATTCTTCTCTCTTTTCTTCTTTATTAGTCTTGCTAGTGGCCTATCAATTTTGTTGATCTTTTCAAAAAACCAGCTGCTGGATTCATTGATTTTTTGAAGGGTTTTTTTGTGTCTCTATCTCCTTCTGTCTCTCAGACAAACTAAGATCTGCTCTGATCTTAGTTATTTCTTGCCTTCTGCTAGCTTTTGAATTTGTTTGCTGTTGCTTCTCTAGTTCTTTTAATTGTGATGTTAGGGTGTCAATTTTAGATCTTTCCTGCTTTCTCTTGTGGTCATTTAGTGGTATAAATTTCCCTCTACAAACTGCTTGAAATGTGTCCCAGAGATTCTGGTACGTTGTGTTTTTGTTCTCATTGGTTTCAAAGAACATCTTTATTTCTACCTTCATTTTATTATTTACCCAGTAGTCATTCAGGAGCAGGTTGTTCAGTTTCCATGTAGTTGTGTGATTTTGAGTGAGTTTCTTAATCCTGAGTTCTAATTTGATTGCACTGTGGTCTGAGAGACAGTCTGTTTTGATTTCTGTTCTTTTACATTTGCTGAGGAGTGCTTTACTTTCAACTCTGTGGTCAATTTTGGAATAAGTGCAGTGTGGTACTGAGAAGAATGTATATTCTGTTGATTTGGAGTGGAGAATTCTATAGATGTCTATTAGTTCTGCTTGGTGCAGAGCTGAGTTCAAGTCCTGGATATCCTTGTTAACCTTCTGTCTCATTGATCTGTCCAATATTGACAGTGGGGTGTTAAAGTCTCCCATTATTATTGTGTGGGAGTCTAAGTCTCTTTGTAGGTCTCTAAGGACTTGCTTTATGAGTCTGGGTGCTCCTATATTGGGTGCATATATATTTAGGATACTTATCTCTTCTCGTTGAATTGATCCCTTTACCATTATGTAATGGCCTTCTTTGTCTCTTTTGATGTTTGTTGGTTTAAAGTCTGTTTTATCAGAGATGAGGATTGCCACTCCTGCTTTTTTTTTGCTCTCCATTGGCTTGGTAGATCTTCCTCCATCCCTTTATTTTGAGCCTATGTGTGTCTTCTGCACGTGAGATGGATCTCCTGAATACAGCACACTGATGGGTCTTGACTCTCTATCCAATTTGCCAGTTTGTGTCTCTTAATTGGGGTATTTAGCCCATTTACACTTAAGGTTAATATTGTTATGTGTGAATTTGATCCTGATATTATGATGTTAGCTGGTTATTTTGCCCGTTAGTTGATGCAGTTTCTCCCTTGCATCAATGGTCTTTACAATTTGGCATGTTTTTGCAGTGGCTGATATTGGTTGTTCCTTTCCATGTTTAGTGCTTCCTTCAGGAGCTCTTGTAAGGCAGGCCTGATCGTGACAAAATCTTTCAGCATTTGCTTGTCTGTAAAGGATTTTATTTCTCCTTCTCTTATGAGGCTAAGTTTGGCTGGATATGAAATTGTGGGTTGAAAATTCTTTTCTTTAAGAATGTTAAATATTGGCCCCACTCTCTTCTGGCTTGTAGAGTTTCTGCTGAGAGATCCGCTGTTAGTCTGATGGGTTTCCCTTTGTGGGTAACCCGACCTTTCTCTCTGGCTGCCCTTAACATTTTTTCCTTCATTTCAACCTTGGTGAATCTCACAATTATGTGTCTTGGGGTTACTCTTTTCGAGGAGTATCTTTGTGGTGTTCTCTGTATTTCCTGAATTTGAATATTGGCCTGCCTTGCTAGGTTGGGGAAATTCTCCTGGACAATATCCTGAAGAGTGTTTTCCATCGTGGTTCCATTTTCCCCGTCACTTTCAGGTACACCAATCAAATGTAGATTTGGTCTTTCCACATACTCCCATATTTCTTGGAGGCTTTGTTCATTTCTTTTTACTCTTTTTTATCTAAACTTCTCTTCTCACTTTATTTCATTCATTTGATCTTCAATCACTGATACCCTTTCTTCCACTTGATCAGATCGGCTACTGAAGCTTGTGCATGCATCACATAGTTCTCGTGCCATGGTTTTCAGCTCCATCAGCTCATTTAAGGTCTTCTCTACATTGTTTATTCTAGTTAGCCATTTCAAGGTTTTTAGCTTCCTTGCGATGGGTTTGAACATCATCATGTAGCTCAGAGAAGTTTGTTATTACCCACCTTCTGAAGCCTACTTCTGTGAACTCATCAAAATCATTCTCCTTCCAGCTTTGTTCCATTGGTGGCAAGGAGCTGCGATCCTTTGGAGGAGAAGAGGCTCTCTGGTTTTTAGAATTTTCAGCTTTTCTGCTCTGGTTTCTCCCCATCTTTGTGGTTTTATCTACCTTTGGTCTTTGACGATGGTGACCTACAGATGGGGTTTTGGTATGGATGTCCTTTTTGTTGACGTTGATGCTATTCCTTTCCATTTGTTAGTTTTCCTTCTAACAGGTCCCTCAGCTGCAGTTCTGTTGGAGTTTGCTAGAGGTCCACTCCAGACCCTGTTTGCCTGAGTATCACCAGAGGAGGCTGCAGAACAGCAAATATTGCTGCCTAATCCTTCCTCTGGAAGCTTGGTCCCAGAGGAGCACCTGGCTGTATGAGGAGTCAGTCAGTCCCTACTGGGAGGTGTCTCCTAGTTAGGCTACACTGGGGTCAGGGATCCACTGGAGGAGGCAGTCTCTCTGTTCTCAGAGCTCAAACGCCATGCTGGGAGAACCACTACTCTCTTTAGAGCTGTCAGACAGGGAAGTTTAAGTCTGCAGAAGTTTCTGCTGCCTTTTGTTCTGCTATGCCCTGCCCCCAGAGGTGGAGTCAACAGAGGCAGCAGGCCTTGCTGAGCTGTGGTGGGCTCCACCCACTTCGAGCTTCCCTGGCTGCTTTGTTTACCTACTCAAGCCTCAGCAATGGTGGACGCCCCTCCCCCTGCCAGGCTGCTGCCCCGCAGGTCAATCTCGGACTGCTGTGCTAGCAGTGAGCAAGGCTCTGTGGGTGTGGGACCTACCAAGCCAGGTGCAGGATATAATCTCCTGGTGTGCCCTTTGCTAAGACTGTTGGAAAAGCACAGTATTTAGGTGGGAATGTCCCATTTTTCCAGGTACAGTCTGTCATGGCTTCCCTTGGCTAGGAAAGGGAAATCCCCTGACCCCTTGCACTTCCCGGGTGAGATGATGCCCCATCCTGCTTTGGCTCACCCTCCGTGGGCTGCACCCACTGTTCAACCAGTCCCAGTGAGATGAACCAGGTACTTCAGTTGGACATGCAGAAATCACCCTTCTTCTGCATCGATCATGTTGGGAGCTGCAGACCAGAGCTCTTCCTATTCGGCCATCTTGGAAGGGATCTGTAAATTGCATTTGTCTTTATAGTAGAATGATTGATAATCCTTTGGGTCTATACCCAGTAATGGGATTGCTGGGTCAAATGGTATTTCTGGTTCTAGATCCTTGAGGAATCACCACATTGTCTTCCACAATGGTTGAACTAATTTACACTCCCACCAACAGCGTAAAAGCATTCCTATTTCTCCACATCCTCCAGCATCCATTGTTTCCAGACTTCTTAATAATCGCTATTCTAACTGGTGTGAGATGGTATCTCATTATGGTTTTGATTTGCATTTCTCTAATGACCACTGATGATGAGCTTTTTTTCATTTGTTTGTTGGCCACATAAATACCTTCTTTTGAGAAGTGTCTGTTCATATCCTTTACCCACTTTTTGATGGGGTTTTTTGTTTTTTCCTTGTAAATTTGTTTAAGTTCTTTGTAGATTCTGGCTATTAGACATTTTTCAGATGGATAGACTGAAAAAATTTCCTCTCATACTGTAGGTTGCCTGTTCACTCTGATGATATTTTCTTTTGCTAAGCAGAAGCTCTTTAGTTTAATTAGATCCCGTTTGTCAATTTTGGCTTTTGTTGCAATTGCTTTTGGTGTTCTAGTCATGAAGTCTTTGCCCATACCTATGTCCTGAATGGTATTGCCTAGGTTTTCTTCTAGGGTTTTTATGGTTTTAGGTTTTCTATTTAAGTTTTTAATCCATCTTGAGTTAATATTTGTATAAGGTGTAAGGAAGGGGTCCAATTTCTGTTTTCTGCATATAGCTAGCCAGTTTTCCCAGCACCATTTATTAAATAGGGAATCCTTTGCCCATTGATTTTTTTTTCTCAGATTTGTCAAATATCAGATGGCTGTAGATGTGTGGTGTTATTTCTGAGGCCTCTGTTCTGTTCCACTGGTCTATATATCTGTTTTGATACTTTGAAAACTGGCACAAGATAAGGATGCCTTCTCTCACCATTCCTATTCAACATATTATTGGAAGTTCTGGCCAGAGCAACAAGGCAAAAGAAAGAAATAAAGCATATTTAAATAGGAAGAGAGGAAGTCAAATTATCTCTGTTTGCAGATAACATAATTGAATATTTAGAAAACCCCATCATCTCAGCCCCAAATCTCCTTAAGCTGATAAGCAACTTCAGCAAAGTCTCAGGATACAAAATCAATGTGCAAAAATCACAAGGATTCCTATACACCAATAATAGACAAGCAGAGAGCCAAATCATGAGTGAACTCCCATTCACAATCACTACAAAGAGAATAAAATACCTAGGAATACAACTAACAAGGGATGTGAAGGACCTCTTCAAGGAGAACTACAAACCACTGCTCAAGGAAATAAGAGAGGACACAAACAAATGGAAAAACATTCCACGCTCATGTATAGGAAGAATCAATATCATGAAAATGGCCATACTGCCCAAAGTAATTTATAGATTCAATGCTATTCCCATCAAGCTACCATTGACTTTCTTCACAGAACTAGAAAAAAACTACTTTAAATTTCATATGGAACCAAAAAAGAGACCGTATAGCCAAGACAATCCTAAGCAAAAAGAACAAAGCTGGAGGCATCATGCTACCCGACTTCAAACTATACAGTAAGTATACATTTTAAAGAATTTTGTTGCAGCATTCTATTTAGTAGCAAAATGAAAACAACAACCTGGAAACAAAGGAATGTGTATCAATGTGGAATGAATAAATGGTGATACATCCATATTATGGCTGTAGAGTTCAATTATAGTTAAGTTGAAGAGGAAGTGAGTTAACATGGGTGAATTGGGTAGGTACGCAATCCTTGATAGGGCTGGATTGAGGGTGCAGAGTGAATTTGTAGAATACAAGCATTGAACTGGCCCACCAAGATTGCTCCTCTCTCTGGCATGATCAGATAACAATGATGGTAGATTGTTGTCAGTAGTTGATTGGTAGATAATGGTGGTATTATTGTTCTCAATTATTTGCTCCCCTTACTTGTTAGGGGATTATATTTTCCACCCCATTAACATAAAGTGTGGCCACATGATTTGCTTTGATGCAATGTCAGTGGGGGTGATGTGTGCCAGCTTCAAATAAAGGTGTTAAGTGCCTTTACATAGTTCTGCTGTCTTTTCAATCTAGCACAACTATGATATGTCCTTGATATGGGCTGCTCCTTCACCCTGAGTTCAAGAATAATGAAGACACAGGAGTAGAGGCAAATCAAACCCATAGCCAAGGTGTATGCTCAGAGAGAAATTACTCTTTGTCTTTAGCCAATAAGATTTTTTTTAAGCAGCATGATCTAGCAAAAGCTGACTAATAAAGCTAGAGATTCAGGAAGCTGCAGCCTCAATTTCTGGACCCAAGATGCACTATGGTAGTCAGGATTTAAAGCAGCAAATAAGTGCCTTGCCCTTGACTCTTGGTATCCATGAAGCTAGGCACCAGTCACTGGGACTCCTAGGACAGCTCCCATGTAGCAGCCTCCATGACTGCAGCTGAGATGCCAGAAACAGTCAAGGCAAAATTCCTCCACACTTTGACTTCTGAATCTCTCAGGTACCTGTTTGGTAGAAACTAGGTCAAATGAGCAATCACAGGTCTAGGAGAGGCTGGAGATGTTGTCCTTAACACTCAGTAAGACATACTCCAACAAGATTAGATTGCAGGTGAGTGAGCTCGGCTTCAATATCTGCCACTCATATCACGAACTATCATTTAAGCTTTAGAAAGAATGAATTAACCTTCATCATTTAGGTTGTGGTCTCCAAATGGCATTTTATACTAGAAGACTGTCAAAGACTAGCAGACATGCCAAAAGAATATAGCAGTCAATCATAGGAGTTTCTGTTGGCTACAGTTGGGAAAACTTGAGTATTAAAATAATGATTGCAAAAAAAAATAAAATTTATCAAATATATACAAATAAGTTTTAGTGATACCCAAACAATGTTTGAAATAATGGATTTAGGCCCTTTAGTCCCAGTATCATTGAGTGAAAAGCTGTGGGAAAACTACAATAGATGGATAGGTTGACAGCACCTGAACCACCAATCCGTCTCCATATTACTGAAGGCGAAACAACCAGATGCAATGCAACAGGAAGCCAAAAGAGTTTAATCAAAATATCTAAATTGGGGATTAGATATTGGGCATAGTAGCTTACACTTGTAATCCCAGCATTTTGGGAGGCCAAGTTGGAAAGACTGATTGAAGCCAAGAGTTTGAGACCAGCCAGAACATCAAAGCTAGACTCCATCTCTACAAAATAAAAATGAAACAAACAAACAAACAAACAAAAAACAACTGGTGAGGGGGCCAGTGGTGTGCCGTTGTAGTGTCAGCTACTAGAGAGCCTGAGGTAGGCGGATCACTTATGCCCAGGTGTTCAAGGCTGTAGTGCGCTATGAATGCACCACAGCAATCCAGCTTGGGAGACAGAGCAACACCCCTTCTCAAAATAAATAAATAGATAGATGAGAGATAGATAGATGGATAGAATCAAGCCTCTAGCTCTAACTGCTAGTTTACAGGAAATACAGGAAATAGGTTACAAGTTAATTGACACCTTGAGGGTGTGGTTGGCTTACTTCAGACTGTAGTAAATTTTACTAAGCAAATGGACAGGTCTCTTCATGTGCGCGCACACACACACACACACACACACACACACACACACACACACAGTGCCTGTTTAAAAGGGGAGAAACGAAAACTATTATGACTTAAGACAAGTATCAATGAAATGTAACTTGAGGTCTTTAGAACCTGATTAAACACACCAGGTATAAAAAGAGACTTTTTCAGACAATAAGAAAATGCTAAACACACAGTATTACATGATATTAAGCAATTGTTCATTCTGTAAAGGATGATAGGTATTGTGATTATTTTTAAGCTCTTCATCTGTTAAAATACATAGTGAAATATTATAGTAAAATATTTATGGGTAAAATGCTATCATGTCTGAAATTCTCTATAAAATACTCCAGCCCCTACTAGAAAGAAGGAAGGAAGGAAGGAAGGAAGGAAGGAAGGAAGGAAATGAAGGTGTATTTGTTTTTCATTGTTGCTGTTGCAAATTATTAGAAACTGAGAAGCCTAAAAAAACACACATTTATTATCTTGCAGTTGTATGATTTGGAAGTCTGATGCTGGTCTCACTGGGCTAAAGTTAAAAGTGTTGGTGGGACTGTGTTCTTTCCTGAGGACATAGGAGATAATCCATGTCCTTACCTTTTCCAGCTTCCAGAGGCCATGGCTCATGGCCCTCTTTCTCCATTTTCAAAACCAGCAAGATGTGATTTCTTTAATCATCTTTCCATAGTTGCATGTTCTCTAATTACAGTGAGAAAAGATACTCTTATTTTAAGGATTCACAAAATTAGGTTGAGCCCACATGGACAATAAAGGATAATTTCTTCATCTCATGTTATTTAAATTTAAGCATATCTGCAAAGTCCCTTTGCTATGTAAGGTAACATATTCACAGAGAATTAGGATGTGGACATCTTTGAGGGGGCAATATTCTGCTTACCAGAGGAAGGACTAATGAAACAAGATTGGGAAAATATAAATATTGATCATTGTTGAAGCTGAGTGACGGATATGTGGGAGTTCATCATATGTTTCTCACTTCTTTTGTTTATGTATGAAACTTCCATAATGAAAACTCACAAAATATCATTGGGTGTTTTGTTAGTCCACTTTGCATTACTATAAAGGAATACCTGAGCCCAGATAATTTATAAAGAAAAGAGGTTTATTTTTCACAGTTCTGCAGGCTGGACAGGAAGTATGGCGCTGACATCTTCTCCTGGTAAGGCCCCAGGAAGCCTTAAATCATGGCAGATGGCAAAGGTGGAGCAGCCATGTCACATAGCGAGAGCAGGAGCCAGAGAGAGAAAGGATGAGATGCTAGGCTCCTTTAAACAACTAGCTCTCTTGTAAGCTAACAGAATGAGAACTCACTCATTACTATGGGGAGGGCAACAAGCCATTCATGAGGGATCCACACCCATGACCCAACACCTCACACTAGGCCCCACCTCCAACTTTGGGGATCACATTTCAACACAAGATTTGGAAGGGATGCACATCCTAAACCTTATCAAGTGCATTGCAGCTGACGATTTACACGATGAATTATAAAGTGGTAAAAGCAAACTTCAAAGAAGTACAAGTAATATAATCCCAGTTTAATAACACAGCAATGACTTAAATTCTTTATATTTGTTTGCTCCCCTCCCCTCCCCTCCCCCCTCCTCTCCTCTCTTCTCCTCTCCTCTCCCCTTCCTTCCTTCCCTCCCTTGCTTTCTTTTCTCTCTCTCTCCCTCCCTCCCTCCCTTCCTTCCTTCTTCCTTCCTTCCTTCCTTCCTTCCTTCCTTCCTTCCTTCCTTCCTTCCTTCCTTCCCTTCCTTCTTCATCATTTATCTACATATGATTAAATGAACCTTGAGAAAGGCAGGACAGAATATTTAGGTAAGCTGTTAATATATTGGCTATATAAGATGTGTCTATTGGAATAGGGGAGAGGTACACAAAAATCCAAACAGAGTTCAATAATTACTTGATTTTAAAAGTGAGCATATAAGCCAATTTATGTAAAGTTTATATATGAAAATCTATATTTGTATAGAGTCATGCACTGTATACATGTTGACTGAAATAACATTTCAGTCAACAATGAAGGTACATATATAATTGTAGTTCCATAAGATTATAATAAAACTAAAAAGTTTTTATCGCCTAGTGCAACACATTACTCACATATTTGTGGTGATGCTGATGTAAACAAATCTACTTTGCTGCCAGACATATAAAATTATAACATATATAATTATGAGTAGTACATAGTACTTAATGATAATAGATGACTATGTTACTGGTTTATGTACTTACTATACTATAATTTTTCATTATTTTAGAGTACATTTGTACATTTCTTCTACATATATGCACACACACATATAAACTGTGTGTATTTATGTATCCATCTACCTTTCTACTCTCTCTGTATATACATATTGACTGTAGAACAGCCTCAGGCAAGTTCTTCAGGGGGAATTCCAGAAGAAGGCTTTGTTACAGATGATGACAGCTTCATGTATATTATTACCCCTGAAGACCTTCTAGTGGAACAAGGTGTGTAGGTGGAACAAGATGTGGAGGTGGAAGACAGCACTATGGCTAATGTGTATGTTTGTGTCTTAGGTTTTAATAACATAGTCTAAAAAGTTAAAAAAAATAAGTAAAAATAAAAAGTATATAAAATACAAATATAAAACAATTTGTATAGCTGTGTACTGTGTTTGTCTTTTAAGCTACATGTTAATATAAAAGAGTTAAAAAGTTTATAAAGTGAAAATGTTACAGTAAGCTAAGATTAACTTATTGAAGAAAAAATATTTTTATGTAAATTTAGTATAGCCTAGTGCACTGTGTTTGTAAAGTGTACAGTAGTGTACAATACGAGGCCTTCACGTTCACTCACCACTCACTCACTCACTCACCCATAGCGACTTCCCATCCTGCAAGTTCCATTCATGATATGGGCCCTATTCAGGTGTACCATTTTTAAACTTTTACACCATATTTTTACTGTATCTTTTCCATGTTTAGATATGTACAGATACAGAAATACTTACCATTATGTTACAATTGCCGATAATATTCAGTACAGTAACATGCTGTACAGTTCTGTAGCCTAGGAGCAATAGGCTATGCCACATAGCTTAAGTGTGTAGTAGGTTATACCATATAGGGCTGTGTAAGTGCACTCTAATGTTCACACAATGACAAAATTGCCTAATGACACATTTGTTAGAATGCATTCCCATTGTTAAGCAATATGTGACTATATTTGTGTCATTTACATAGAGATACATGAATGGATACATGAATGGATGAAATCACCAGAATCTAGTTATCTCAGGGTAGAAAGTATTTGGGGTGATTTTTATTTTCCCCTTGCCATTTTCTATATTGCTTGAATTTTTTCAATAAACATACATTCTAAAAAATCATAACACAGACAATAAAGTGATTTTAATTGTGGAAAATAAAACATGAATGAATATTATGAATATTCCTTGTGTCATAGACTTCACCTCCACCCCCTGCTTCCTTCCTCTCTCACACCTCCTTAACAGAGGTAGAACTAAAATTCTACATACCATTGACACTGAAGATGATTCTGCATGGTTTAGAGGGAGAAAGTAGGGTCTAATATGCCAAACTTTACACGTTGTTAGAAGATATACAATAAAAATATATATTAAAAGTTTTGAGCAACCATTAAAAGAACAGAAATTGTAACTATCAAACCAACAAAAGGGGGAAAATGTGTATGTGTGTGTGTGTGTGTGTGCACAAAATAAAACCAGTGGAAAGAGGAAGTTTAGGAAAGAGAAAAAAATGATAAGTAAAACATGACAAACAAAGAATAAAAAAGTATATATTGGTAATCACATGTGTAAACATATTCAACTAACCATATTAAAGTACAGGGACTACCATGTTGACTAGAAATCAAATTGTTTTAAAATCCATTTCTTCACTGCTTATAAGAGTCACAACTAAAATTAATGTAGAAAGGTTAAAAGCATGAGCAGGCTCTTTGGTGCAATGGATAGCACATTGGACTTGTAGCCTAAATTGAAAAAGTAAATGATGGAAATAGCATATAAGACAAATGCTAGCCACAAGAAAGTTGTTCCATGAGATAAAATAGAATTTAAGGTGAAAAGCACTAAGACCTTGCATAAGTGGTATAATTCATTGAGATATATTAATTGTGACCTTATGCTACTAGTAACATGACCTAGAAATAGGATACAAGGTAAAAATGATAATCCCTAGTCCCAGTGGGAGGGTTTAATATAGAACCATCACAAACTGATGAATCAGGAAGACAAAAATTAGTCAAGGGCTTTAGGACCCATGAGTTCCACAAAAAATGGCACAGAAACAGAGCTGGGCAGGTAGAAGGAAGGAGGAGAAAAGTTTTGGGGGATGCCCATTTCCAGTCATCCTCAGGCACACGTCAGTGAAGATATAAACCTCAAATTTATTCTTTGCTCTGAGCTCATTCTCTTGGGTTTCAGAATCTGTTACCCTGCAGCCTAGAGAGATCAGCCAAGTCTTTAAGGCCAAATCAAAGCCAATTCAGACATTGGAATACAAATTGAGAAGAATTATTTGCTACTCACATACATTTTTTCAAGTATATGTAAGTTTTGGGCCAAGGAGAGGTGAAGGAATGTTTTATTCTGAAAATAAAGGATTGAAAAGAAACAACATTAATGTGAATGATGTTTACAGTGTGCTGTTAACAATCCTTGTGAGTGAAACTCAAATGCTAGAGTGATCACTCACTCTGAATTGCTCGCTTTGCAAAATGGTTTGCCACAGGGCACCCTTGAGTAATGAGTTCCTTGGTGCATTTTGTTTGGGGCACTTGTTTCCAAGGTGCAGCTGACAGCAGTTCTGGGGCCAGGAGTCCTTCACAGGAAGGAACGCCTAGCTTGGTACACTTTGCTTCTTATAGTTAGACTCCTGCAGCTGGGAATGGAACCACTGCCTTGGTGCAGTTGTACACCAGACTGCACATTCCAGGTGGCATTAGGGAGCTGGGGCCACTGGTGCTCCCAGTTCCCAGGGCCCACTCCTTAATTAAATGATGATGGGGTCATAAACCCACTGCTGGAGCATTCTTAGTAATGAAACTAGAAAGGATTATGGCTACGATGCCAGCCTTGTCCAGCAGTGCCAGACCAAGGGGATGGGGGTCTGAGAGTCTATTTAGAGTGGGAAAAACAAAACACTTCTGGAAAAGTCGTGAGCTCAAGAGAAATTCATCACAATGGGGAAAGCTGCACAGCTGGACACATTTCAATAACGTATAACTTGAGTGAATAACAGCTCACTGCAGAAAAATAAGAAAACATAGGCAAGCAAGAAGACAGAAAGTACCCCATTTGTCAGGTATGCCTGATAACCTGGCACTGTTTTTCTCCTGGAGGTGTTTTCCAATTTGAAATACCAAACAGAGGCTGAAAAGATAAATAGAGCTTTAATTATCTCATGAGGATGGATGTGGTAGACAAAAATATGAAGTGGAGCCCAACATCAGAGAGAGGCCTGGTAAACACCAAGCTTTCAACTAGGACTTTTAAAAGTTTGCAGCTTAGTAATACAGAAGCCTACTTGTGAATTATCTCAAAACCTGTCTGAATTTAAGCAAACTGTGCCCTTCCTAAATGCCTGATACAAGAAGACTAAATTCTTTTTGGAGAAATATAGCATTATCCAGTACCTTAAATGATTTCTTCAATTGTTCATATGCAATATCTGGCCTGCAACAACAATTGACAAGCATAGAAAAAAGAAAAAAATAAAATGACTCATGATCAAGATTTTAAAAAATTGGCAATATAAAAGGTCTGTAGGATATCCAGTTATTGGAGGCTTTAAACTATGATTCAGATTTTAGAAAATAAAAAAGAAGATAATTATAGTTGAGAACTGAAAACTACATATAAACTATATATAAAATGCATCAAATGGAAAAATTAATTACTCAATGACCTTTTAGATGCAGAACCTAGAATATCAATGCTTAACTCAAAGGAATGAATCCATGAGGACAGCATTTCAGGTGGTGCTGGAGGGAGAACAGCTCAGTCTGCTTTTACAAGACAGGGTGGGTTTTGTGGCCAGGTCAGAGTTCTTCCAGGACTCCTAATACCACCATTTAGTTGGAGTGATAATGAATAGTAGATGTGCTTTTAGCAGAAGGGCAATAAATTGTTTGATGAAAGATTTACTCTCATCCCCCCCCAAGGAATCTCTTCTCTTAATGGTCCTGTCAATAGTGTCTTTCAGGGAAGACATACAGTAAGTGGCACTTTTATGGAAGCTGATTGCCGAGCTCAGCCCTAAGAGCTAGATTCTGAGAGCTAGCTGGGATTAACAAGAGATGCATTATTACAATCCAGGGGAAAATCTCCTATTTGAGTTGTGTAAATGCGTTATATTTCTATAGCACTTTACCTCTTATTTATTTTTTGATAATCTAGTACATTTCTTGGAGAAAATGGGATAAAATTGCAGCAAGATAAATTTATGCCTATAATAAGGATGAATTTCTTATTGTGATGGTCATTAGGTTTAGGAAAGGGATTTTGCAAGGCAGTTGTGAAATCTCTGTCTCCTGAGGCTCATGAGAACAGACTCAGACACATTGGCTTATCTGGGGGTGGGGAAACTGGCCAGTTTGGTTTTCATCTTTTCTGTAGCAAAAACAAAAAGGCTAGAGAACATTAACCCTAAAATCTTAGGGCCTACCCATTCTTCCTGCTGCTCCCAAGCCTGCTCAGTCCCATCAGGTTCTGGGATTTCCTCTCCCTGACCCGCACACCTACTTTCTATTCAAGGGCTACATTTTATCTTCATTGTTGTCCCCATTTGCCCCATGCTCCCTTCCCCACTTCTGTTTGGGAGCCACGGGTGATGTCATAGGGGACAGAAATGGGTTTGGGCTCAGACATCCAAACATTCATCCACATACACTGAAGGAGGGCTTGCCATGGGCTGGGCATTGTGTAGAGCACACTGGTTAGAGCAATGTTTTGCCTTCATTCTACCGTGGGAGACAAAAATAAACCAGCAAATAAAAATATGAATAACGTGCTGTCAGGTAGGGATAAGTGGTAGAAACAAAGCAGAGTAAGGCATTAAAAAATGACTGGGGCAGAAGATAGTGCATTAGAGGTAAGGCGGTCAGAAAGGCCTTTCTTAAGAGATAATATTGGAGCAGAGACCTGAGTGAAATAGTGCAGAAACCATGTGAAAATGGGGAGAAATACTAGTGCCAAGGCCCTGAGACTGGAATGTTCTCAGAGTGTTTAAGAAACAGAAAGGAGGTCAATATGGCTGAGCTGAAGGAGCCAGATGGAGCATGATCAGAGATGAGACTGGAAAGCTAGGCAGGGGCCAGGCCATATGGGGGCTTGTTGGACATGCAAGCATTTTGGATTTAATTCTCAGTGATGTGGGACTGAGACAGCTTTGAAAGATTTTGAGGTGGGAAGTGACATAATTTGATTTCTATTTCTAAGGGGCTGCTCTGGTTGCTGTGTGGAATAGATTGGTTGGGTATGGTGGGAGACAGGGGTCAGGGATGAGGCTATGGCAACAGGCCAGGTGAGAAGCGATATTGGCTTGGTCCAGGGCAGCAGCAGTCAAGTGATGACTCATTTTGATACTAAGTCTGAATTCTGGCACTGCCTCTTACAAACTGTGACCTTGGGCAAGTTGTTTAGTTTCTCTGAACTTCAATTTCTTCTTTTTAAAAAATTGAAGATGAATATATAATACTTTATGGCCATTTGGTGCACTGTGGGCCCTCACAAGGGTCTTCACAGCAAAACTTCTGTCTTCTAGATCATTGTCCTCCTTCCCCTGAAAGGGAGTTCCTACAACCAATTTTTAAGCCTTGGGTGCAGATTGTTGAGTTAGCCTCTTCAGTTTGTGGCTCATAATCATCGTTGGTCCATGCCTCTTTTGTTTTATTTACTTCCTTATTCTCCATTCTCTATTCCCATTTCCTTCTAGCTTCTGCCCTCAGTCAGTCATTCTAAAGTGTTTAATGTGTATCCTTCTATAAATGACATACTGTTGTTCTGTATACTTGTATTTTAAATTTACCTAAATGGTATTGTATCATATATATTTCATTATTTTTCTTATTTTACTGAGCTCTGTGTTTTCCAGATCCATCCTCATTGCCATGTACATAGTTGATTGGTTACTGCTAACTGTTATCTAGTACATACATTATGGTGAGCATCACAATTTAACTAGCTACTCTTCCAACCTCCTGCAACCTGAAAGTTCAACATCTGCATACTCGTGCCCCTTGAACCTGTGTGAGAATTACTTGGGGCATATGCCCCAGGAGCAGAGTAGCTGGGTCATAGGTATGTGTATACCTAACTTGATTAAGTACCACCAGACTGTTTTTCAGAATGGCTGTACCACATTCATCAGCAGCACAAGACAATTTCCATGCCCCTACTTTCCCTCCAGCATTTGGCATTATCCAGTTTTCCAATTTTACAAGACTAATAAGTTCTAAGCTCAGAACTTATTAGTTCTCTTTGTTATTTAATTAGCATTTCTCTGATTAAAAATGAGTTTGAGCATCTCTTCACATGTTTATTAGCCCTTTGAGTTTTTTTCTATAAAATGCTAAGTCATATCCTTTGAACATTTTAAATTCAGGGTTGCTATCTATTTTCCATTTGACTTGCAGAAGTTTCTTGTATATTATAAATAATACATTTTTTGTTGATATAAAATGCCACAAATATATTCTTCCATTCCGTCCATTCTGTCACCTATTAACACCTATTAACTCTTTCCATATATCTTACATTGAACTGAAAAATACAAAAATACTTTTGATATGATTAAATCCACCTGTTTTCTGCTATGTGTTTTGTGTTTTTGAAACTGCTTAGGAAGTGCTTTCCTACCTCTATGTCACAGTGATATTATGCTTTCTATATTTTATCCTAATCATTATAGACATTTATCTTACACATTTAGATCTTGTATCCATTTGGAATAAAATTATATCAAGTATCATTGGATACCTGATATTAAATATTAGGATATTGGAATAAAATGATATTAGGATCCTGCTTTATTTTTCTTGTGTTCCAGTTTTGCCAGCCCTGTTATTAAACAATATTTTCTTTGATTCACAGTGTCATTTTATCCTATAAGAAGCATGGTAATGGGTCTGTATTAGCCCTCTATTCTGTTCTTTTGGTTTGTATTTTGTTTGTAGAACAATATTAGACTGTTTTTATTACTGTGGCTTTATAGTATATTTTATTATCTGATAAAGCCTTCTTTATTCTTCTTAAGGTTGACTTATTTAACTATACATTTTTATTCTTCCATAGAAATTATTGAGGCACAACTTGCATACATCAAAGGTTATATATAATTTTCAGTGGGCGCAGTGGCTCATGCCTGTAATCCCAACACTTAGGAAGCCGAGGTGGGAGGATTGCTTGAACTCAAGAGTTTGAGGCCAACCTAGGCAACCTAGCAAGACTCTGTCTTGAAAAAAATGATATATATAATTTTCAAATTCTTAAGCTGAATACTTATGATCTTTCCATGTTTGTTATGTATAAGAGTATATCTCAATTTATATGGAAGAATAAAATTTTTTACTAAATTTTTAATTTTAAATGTTTGTGGGTTCATAGTAGGTGTATATATTTATGAGGTATATGAGATATTTTGATACAGGCATGTAATGTGTAGTAATCACAAGCACAGGTAACCAAAGCAAAAGTGGACAAATAGGATCACAACAACTTAAAAAAGCTTTTGCACAGCAAAGGAAACAATCAATAAAAAGAATAAAAATTTTTAATTAGCTGAGACAGTCTTAGGATGTAGAATATTTTTATCACCCCAGAAAATTTCCATGTGAACTTCTGTCAATCCCCCCCACACTATGATCATTTTGTTTACTACTACCATTGATTAGTTTTTCCTGAATAGAACCTCATGTAGATGGAATTAGACAGCCCATATTCTTTTAGATCTAGGTTTTATTTTTTAAGTTTCACCACTGTTATTGCAAGTATTTACATTTCATTCCTTTTTAGTGCTGAGTAGGTTTGTTTTTCCATTTACCTGTTGACAGACACTTGTAACCGCTCTGAATTTTTTGATGTTATATAAATGAACATTATAAACATTATTGTTGAACTCTTTTTGTGGTCACATGTTTCATTTGTCTTTGGTAAATACTTAGAATAAATATTGCTAGGTCTTAGGGTATAGACTTACATTTAACTTTATAAAACAATGCCAAACTAATTTTCAGAATCACTGTAGGCTAGGCATGGTAGCTCACACCTGTAATCCCAGCACTTTGGGAGGCCAAGGTGGTTGGAGCACCTGAGGTCGGGAGTTTGAGACAGCCTGGCCAGCACAGTGAGACACTGTCTCTATTAAAAATACAAAAATTAGCCGGGTGTGGTGGTGGGCACCTGTAATCCCAGGTACTTGGGAGGCTGAGGCAAGAGAATCACTTAAACTCAGAAGGCAGAGGTTGCAGTGAGTCAAGATCGTGCCATTGCACTCCAGCCTGGGTGACAGAGTGAGACTCTGTCTCAAAAAGCAAACAAGCAAAAAAAAAAAATCACTGTAGCAGTTTACATTTCACCAGCAATGTCTGAGAGTTGCAGTTGCTCCACATTCTCATCGACATTTGGTATTGTCAGTCTTTTAGATAAAAGCTATTCTAGTGGGTATGAAATGTATCTCGTTTTAATTTGCATTTCCCTGGTGACTAATGATGGTGAAAACTTTACCTGTGCTTATTGCGTAATCTTTCATGAAGTGACTCTTCAGTCTCTTCCCTATTTTTTCTTGGATTACTTATCTTTTCATTATTGACTTATAGACGTTCTCAGCACTCCCTCCTCACTTCAATGTGTTGAACACGAGTCTTTTGTCAAATAAATATATTGTGAATTTTTTTCCAATATATCTATTGGAAATTTAAAATTTTCCAATTTTCCATATTTTCCAATATGGCTTGCCTTTTCATTTTCTAAATGGTACCATTTTATCAGCAGAAAGTTTTAATTTTGTGGGAGCTTAATTTATCATTTTTATTTTATGGTTAGTTCTTTTTGAGTTATCATTAAGAAATCTTTACCTACCCATGGTCACAAAGACATTCTTGTATGTTTTATTTAAGAAAGTTTATGGTTCTAATATTTAAAGTTAGGTCTATAATCTCTCTGAAATTATTATTTTTTACATATGTTACTGAGCTAGATTTTAATTTTTTTTCCTCCACAGAGATATCAGTTGTTTAGCACATTCTGTTAAAAAGACTTTCCTTTCCTCACTGAATTACTTTGGTTCTTTGGTCAAAAATCTCTATATGTGTAGGCATATTTTGGGATTTTCTATTCTGTTTCATTGACCTACAGGTTTTTTTTAATGCTGATAACACATGGTCTTGATTACTGTAACTTTACAGTAGGTTTTGAAATCAGGTAGTGTAAGTCCTCCAACTTTGTTCTTATTTTTTCAGATTATTTTGAATATTCTAGATTCTTTACATTTCCATATACATTTTAGAATTAGACTTACCTTTTCAATTTATTTTTTAAAATACTTCTAAAATTTCAACTGGGATTGTACTAAATCTTTTGGTTAATTTAGAGAAAGTAGACAATTTTATCAGCTTTGAATAGTATAACCCACGAATATGATGCTATCTTTCCATTTTGTTCTTTAATTTCTCCCAGAAATATTTTATAATTTTCAGGGTAGAAGTCTTGCTTATCTTTTGTTACATTCATCTTAGGTATTTTTTTTTACTTTTAAAATTTCATTTTCTGTTTATTCATACTAATATATAAATATATAATAAATTTTTAAATGTTGATCTCATATCC
Source organism: Homo sapiens (assembly GCF_000001405.40). Taxonomy (NCBI): domain Eukaryota; kingdom Metazoa; phylum Chordata; class Mammalia; order Primates; family Hominidae; genus Homo; species Homo sapiens. The sequence continues at coordinate 139,899,071 of NC_000003.12, forward strand.
TTTAACCTTAGTAAAGTCAATTACCAAATTTAGGTGATTCCATAGTATTTTCTACATATAAAATTATGGTATTTGTGAATAAAGACTGTTTTTATTCTTCCTTTTCAATTTTTGCACTTTTTTTTTTCTTGTCTTATTGCACTGAGTTAAGAGTTCTCGGACAATGTTGTAGAGAAGTGGTGAGAGAAGAAATCTTTGGAAACAGTTGTTCCCAATCTTAAGGTATTCAATGTTTTACTTTTTACATTCAAATGTGAACTTTTTACTGCATGCTTTTCACTGTTGCCTTATATTAGATCAAGGAAGTTCCCTTCTGTGGTAGGCAATATAATGGCTCCCGAAGACGTCCATGTCCTAATTTCAGAAGCCTAAAAATATGTTATGTTACTTGCCAAAGTGGAATTAAGATTACAGATGGAATTAAATTTGCTAATTGGCCTTAAAATAATAGATAATTCTAGATTACCTGGATAGGCCCAAAGTAATCACAAAGGTCCTTAAAAGTGGAAGAGGGAAGCAAAAGAAGAGAGTCAGATGGAGATGGAACTACTAGAAAAATGGCCAGAGAGATCCATTGTTGGTGGTGTTGAAGGTGGAGAAAGAGGGCTACGTGCCAAGAATGTAGATATCCTGTAAAAACTGGAAAATGCAAGAGAGCAAATTCTCCTGTTGTGCCTCTGGAAAGGCACACAGCCCTGCCAATGTCTTGATTTGAGTCCAGTGAAAACTGTTTAAGATTTCAAATTCTCAAAACTGTAAGATCATGTTTGTGTTGTTTAAGCCACTATATCTATGGTTGTTTGTTACAGCAGCAATAGGAAACTAATACACTTTCAAATTTGACTTTTCTTAGAGGTTGTTTTTTAAATAAATGAGTGCTTTGCTGTTTCCGCTCTTGACCATGCATCACACTGTCTTGATTGTCCTGTGTCTCATAATTTTTAAACTGTATTTCAGACACTGTGTTAAAATCACAGTAGAGACTGAGGTAAATAATTTTGTCCTCCAGGAAAAGGCATGATTGATTCTTCTTTTCTCAGGCTGCTTAGTGTAGGGGATGAGTTAATCTAAAGTCTAGTTCAACTGGGCCCAGAGATTTCTTGAACTTTTAATTTGTTTCAATTCCCACTGGCTTCAAATATTTTGAGGGTAGAATCAAGACTTCCCCTTCAGTAGGGTTGGGGATCCAGGGATCCAGGGCTCTGAGTATCTCTTTATACTTTACAGCTTAACTACCAGCTTTCTGAGCCATGTTAGCTCTTTTGCTGTGAGGAGTTCACTCTGATTTCTGTCCCCACCCTGTCTTTCTACACCCCAGGAAATCTCTCTCTGCCTTGTTCCCCTGCTCCAGTTTTCAGAGGGCCACCTCAATGTACCTGTTGAGGTTCGTGATGTCTTTGAACTTTTCAAGAGGTTTTCAGCTCTCCAGCCTGTCCTCAACTGATGGCAGCTACTTTTTATGAAGGCCAGCATGCCCCAGAGGAAATCTTTTTAGTTCTCCTGTTTCATGTAAATTATAAAGTACATTTATCAAGTCCCTTTAACACTCCAGCTGGAAAATTAATTGGACTTACATTGAATTTATAAACTAATTTGGGGAGAATTCACATTCTTGTGATATTAACTGGCCCATTCATGACTTTGGAATGGGTCTCCATTTATTCAGATCATCATACATACATATATTTTTATTTGTTATAACTTTAAATTTTACTCACTGTAGGCATTTTTATTCTTACATATTTTGTGTTTTTTGTAGCTATTGTGAATGGTATCTTTTTAGAAATTATATTTGCCAGTTATTATACACTAGATTATTACTAGTGTAAAGAAATGATACTAATTTTTGAAATTGCTCTTCAATCCAGTAACTTCAGCAAGTTCTTGTATTTTGTTTGATTCTGCTGTTGTTTCTTGGTAGATGTTTATAACATTTCCAAATACTGAGTGTTTTATTTTCCAAGTATTTTACCTCTTTTTTTTCCCACTGCTGGCCTGGACTTGAGTGCTCTGTTGATCAGTGGCAGACAATCATTTTTATACCACCTGATGCTTCCCAGCCCCATTTCATGTCTTCCTGGCCACAGCTGTATTGAACTAAAAATGAGCACCTGATGTAAGCTGGGCTAATCAGATCCTCTCCCCCAGGAATTTGGGGTTGGAATTCAGAATTGGTGGGCAGCCTCTCTCCGGCAGGTGAATTAAAGGATATTGTAAATGTTGAACGGAAGCAGCCATGTTTGGTCACTTGCACACAAAAACAGAGAGAGAGAGGAGGAAGCAAGGAAAAAGAAGGCAGTTTAAGAGAGTGCAGAGAGAGAGAGAACAGGCAGACAAAAGGACACACAGAGACAGACACACAGATAATTATAAAGACATATGGAGAGATATACCATGAAGAGGCAAGGTCAGGGAGGCACACCCTACACATGCAGCCACACTTTTAGAGAAAGAGATGGACACACAGAAAGAAAGGCAGACAGGAATGGAGAAAAATGCAGAGACAGACACAGCAGGTAGAGAGAGAGAGAGACAGACAGACAGACTGGAGTCCCAGACTCAGAGAAGCCATATGAGACCATCAAAGATACAGAGGCAGAGAAGCTGCTTCCACTCCTGGGGTCTGCATGGCTTGTTGGCTGCAGCTCCTTGGGAGGACTGTCTATAATTTCTGCCCACAGGTTTGGTGAGATTCCTCTGAATCCTCATAACAAATCTGATTTTACATAAGCTTGCTTGAGGGGCTTCTTTTGACATTAAATGCACAATCCAGCCCAGAGCTCTTCTCTGCACTCCAGTTTTGAACAAAACTTTACTGTAGCTTAAAAGTTCAAAGACACCACAAACCTAACCCTTCCAAATGAAGCTCTTGATTATTTCCTCCCAAACACAACATCACACCCCTGTCCTACATTCTCAGAAATACAGGAGCCACTTTTGATTCCTCCCTTTCCCTCAGCCCCTATAGCCAACCCATCACTTCATTTGGTTAGTTGTGTCTGTAATTGGTCCACATTTCTCCATTTGCACATCCCCATCCTGGTCTAGCCACCATTGTCCCTCACCTGTATCACCCCAGCAGCCTCCTCATTTGTCATCCTGCCTTCGCTTTTACCCACTCCTATCCATTCTTTATACAGTTTCCAGAGGATTCCTCTTAAAATGTATATTATCTCATAACATGTCCCTGCTTACTTTTAGAAAGGCTTCCTATTCCACTTTGCACAAAATGTGGCACCTACTGCAGCTTAGCAGGCCTGCAGGACCTGCACCTACATCCTCCCTCAGTCACTAGGTGCCACGCCACACACCAAGCCCATACTGACCTCAGGGCAGTGGCACCTGCTGGGGTCTCTGCCCTGACACTTTCTATGGTCAGCTTCTTATCAGGAAGGTCTCACTTAAGTGTCATTATACCAGGAAGGTCTCACTTAAGTGTCATTATACCTGTTAGATGCTGTTTAAGTTCTTTCCTTATCAATCTATCTTTGCCAGTGGGTGCTTTGCCCTCATTTAGGAAGTCCTCTCACATGAAAGCCTAAACCCTGTGATCCTGGATGGTGCAACTCAAAGTCCCTCCAGGGAAGGTTCCAGGAACTCGGTTGTGAGCAGTTTTATCCTCCACTGAACTCTCAGATCACTTTGTCCTCTAAGTTCTTGTGACCACATTGGCAAGGAAGATATGTTTTGGGGTGTCTGTCTACCTCACAAACATCTCCTGTTTTGACAGACTGCCACCCCACAGCCACAGGAAGGGTCCCAGAGCTGTCTGCATCACATGGCCCATCTCCATATATTCCCCCATAGTTGATTGGATGAGAAAGGGCCAGGTTGGGTTAGCTGGACTCTCTGTCCTGGGATGCTGCTTTAGGCCTGAGAGGCATTGATTTCAAGCTGTGTTTTGAGGCTAGAACTAAGGCATTGTGGAGCAACCATGTGACCTGTGCAGCAGAGAGTATGGGGATGAGGCAAAAGGCAAGCTGGAGGAGCTGCTTCTAGTCTCAGGTCAGCCCCTGGGAGCCCTAGCTGTTCTTCCCTTTCCTGATGTAGTCATATCTATGTCTTTATAGTGAACAATTCCATGGCTTATGTCTACAGCTTGCTTTAGCTAATTTGTATAGATTTCTGCTACATACAACCACAAGTCTTGACTAAATTGGATATTTATGGCAGTGTGTTATGGTTACCACATCTTTCCTCTGAGCTTTCAGCTTCTGGAGGGCAGAAATCTGATTCCACACATTTTTGTATCCTCACAGTGCCTAGTGCAGTGTGATATGAACAGTAGGGTTTCAATTACAAATTTGTCAAATAAATGAACTATTTATACTAGAAAATATATCCAGATGACCTTATTTATATTGTCTACGAAATAGAACTAAATGCAGTAATAATGTTTTCCAAGAAACAGTGATTAATCTTAAAAATGCTTAGTATTCAAACAGCAGATACTTAAGAAAGTTTTCATTTTAATGTGAACTCAAGCAATCATATCTTGTAAGTAACTTTTTTTGATCCTTCTCTGCTTCTGAATCTTCAGTGACTCCCAGTGCCTACTGAATTCTATCCAAAATCTTAGAGTGGGAATTCAAGATCCCCCAGAATATGGTCCTAGGTTCTCTTCTCCATTTTATCTTCTGTCTCATACTCCAGTCAGATTAGACCACTCCTGATTCTTCCTCTCAACCATTTTGCTTAGACTCCTACTATAATACTTACGATGCCCTCCCTTCATCTTTACTCTCAAAATTCTTAGCTTCTTCTTGGAGTTGGGAACTGCATTTCTTTTTTACTTTATACAAATTCAACTTGCTCCCTCTTCCTCCAGAAATTCTCAAAGCAGTGCACAAAGGATCATGGTAGGAAGGGAAGTACATATGCAGGGGCTTGAGCTCAAAGAACCAAGGTGTAAGAAACGCTCATAAGTAAAATTAGTCCATCAATTAAATACTTTCAACAAATGCTTCCTGGGTACTTACAACATACAGACACTGCACCAATTGTTAAGGTTTTTCTTAATTTTTCAATAGCCCCTTCTCCACAATTGTTGACATGGACAAGTGGTATTTCCTCAATCCTTTTGAAAAGAATAGAAAACTACAGCTTTAGCTAGCCCTTACCCACCAGCTTGAAGTCCATTAACCCATTTCTGTAGAAAAATTCTTGAGCCTTCAATAAATAATAGCTTCAAGGATTTAAGCCCTGGAGACTGTGAGAACATAAAGAAAAAGGTACCCTCCTCCTCGTCTGGCTGAACCTAGGGATGTCAAGGAGGACTTCCTGGAGGAGGTAAACTGAGTTATGTTTGAAAATTATGGTGAATTTGTTTCTGGCAACCCATCTGAAGCTGCCTTTTGGTCTTCCCACACCATCACTCCTCTCCTTCTAGGTCTGGAGAGGTGGCTGAAGTGTGAATGCTTCTCCCACAAACCTTTTAGATAGACCAAAAATACCCCAGTGTCACTTACATTCATAATTAACCCTTAAGCACTTCATTTTATGAAGAGTAGCATTGTCTTCTCAGTTATTTCTGTGCTAATTCAGACTTTGAGAAATCAAGTTTGCTGAAGGTGAGGGGCCCCCAGACGCAGGGTGACAGTTGGTCAGGATCAGCACTTGCTGTTTTCTATATTCAGCATCTTAATGCGGCTGGCAAAAATCCATACTGCACGGCCTGCGCCTGCTGCACAAGTCTCTTTGGGTCATAGAAAACTCTATAATATTCATTTTCCAGAAATCGAAAATTTCCCTTCAGGTAACACATCAAGATTTACAGCACCTTGGACAAAATTAGGCATTGGATTAGGAATTCAATGCATGACAATCTGTCTTCCTTCCAGAGAGATATTGTTGCACAAATCAGAAAATCATAGCCTGGTTGTATAATCAACAACATTTCATTCCAGAAAGCATATTATAGCTGGAGTGATAAGGCCTATTGAAGCCACGGATGGCAATTCTTGAGGTTTCTGAACAGCCACACTTTCTGGGAACCCTTGTGGCTTTTCCAAACGCATTTGAGCATTTGAGGATTTTCAAGTCAGCTCTGTTCCTTGTAACAGGAGCTGATACAGCCAAGGTCATGGGTTCATTCCAACAAGGGACAGTTTTCTTCACTTTTTATGGCTATATTTTCAATCTTTAAAGCTGTTCCAGTGAATATCTTCCATGTTAAAAAAAAAACACAAAAATAAATCTACTAATCCCACATCTCATTCTTGTTACAATCTTATTTTTCAAATCCTTCACAGCCAAGCAACAACATTAATACATGTCATGTTTCCCCTAATTACCATTTATGGCACACTTACTATTTGTCAAATACACAATGTTTTATCTAATTTTATTTCATCACAGCAATCCTATAAGATCAGTATTGATATACCTATTTCTAGGTTGAAAAACAGAGGTTTGGAGAGGTCAAGAAAGTTCTTTGAGGTGCCACAGCTAAGACGTGGCACAGTGAGGATGACTTTCTGGGCCTCTTTTCACTCCCACTTGTACCCAGGGCAGCCTGGCTTTCTCCTCCATGGGGTTGCTGCAATGACTCTCATTGAGGACATCAGTGACTACAGTTAAATCCAGTGGAAAGTTTTCACTCCTTACCTTAGCTGACCTCTCTGCAGCATTTGCCACGGCCCTCTTCCCTCAGCCTGCATGATGCCATGCCTTCTGAGTCTCCTTCACCTCCACTGGATGCTCCTTCTGTCTCCTGTGTAGCTTTGCTTGTCTCTGTCATCTCTTGATGTTGGTGTTATTGGGAGTCCTGTGCACCTCACAGGGTGCCCACCCTCAGATGGTCTCATGGATCCCCATGGCTGCAGCAGCCATCTGTACGCTGCCAACTCCTAGGTCTGTATCTCAGCTTGGCCCTCTCTTCTCAGTCTCAGACCTGAAGGTCCCACCGCCCACTGGACCTCAATGTCCTGGATGCCCTGCAGGCACATCAAGTCCACACTAAAGGGAACATATGACACAGTAGTCCTTAGGGACAATCAAGATTGACCCAATCAGGCCTCCCACCACTGTGGATCTCTTACCTTATTCACACACTCTACATAGCTCTGTGTGGCTCAAGCTCCCCACCGCCCAACCTCCTATCCACTTCTCCTGCTGTCTGGGATTTATATACCTCTTCTCTGAATGATCCTTCCACTTTCTTGCTCTCATTGACACCTGAGTTCCCACTAGGAATATGACTGTCTCAGCAGCCTTCTCAAGTAGAGGCTGTCTTTTCCCTTTCAGAGCCTAGGCTTGAGAGAGGTGTCCTCCTTGCTCCTCATTGTCATTTCCTGGTGGTCATGTCTTCCTTATTCCTAGACAGGTCTCCATGACAGGCCTCCATGCTAGTTTGTTTGACTTGAACATCATTGGGTTATACACTGTCTAACACTGTTTGTTGCAATTATATACTCTCCTCTTAGTGACTCTTCTTCTGGTATCAGTCATCAAAGATTTTAACGCCTGGCTCACTGTATTTTTCTCCTCCACTAGCTCTGCCATCACTTGTTGTGACTTCAGCATTCCTGGAGATGAGTCATCTAACTTCCTGACCTCTCAGTTGCTTAACTGACTCATCTCCAATAATACCTTCCTCCACTCCACTTCAGTCATCCCCTCCCAGGGCCCACCAAAGACCTTGTCTTTAAAAGATCTTAACCCCAGAGTCTTAATGCTATGCATAGCTACTCTGACCACTGCCAGCTTTCCTGCTTGTTTCCTTTAGTGTCCTCCTTCTGGCAAGTCTTTGACTCACTGGGATCTCTAACATTGAGCCTGCCACATTTTCACTACCCAACACCATGATTTCTGTTATTTTAAAACTTCTATTCCATCACTATATTTAATTCTTGGATACACCTCTGCTTCTCTCTCTCTCTCTTTTTTTTTCATTATACTTTCCTGGAAAAATCCTAATCCTGTCAGTTAAAGCCAACTTTCCAAACATTCTACACCTGCATCTAAGTAGTTAGCCCTGGCCACAGAAAAATATCAAGTCTCATGTCTTAGTTCACTTTGAGCTGCTATAACAGAATGCCTGAGACTTGGCAATTTATACAGAATAGAGATTTGTTTCTCCCAGTTCTGGAGGCTGGGAAGTCCAAGGGTAAAGGTTCCACATCTGATGAGGGCATTCTTGCTGTTCATCCCATGGCAGAAGGCATCAAATTCATGAGAGAGAGAGAGAAGCGGGGACAAACTCATTTTTTTTTTTTTTTGAGACAAGATCTCGGCTCACTGCAACCTCCACCTCCCAAGTTCAAACAATTCTCTTGCATCAGCCTCCCGAGTAGCTGGGATTATAGGCATGCTCTACCATGCTCAGCTAATTTTTTGTATTTTTTAGTAAAGACAGGGTTTCACTATGTTGGCCAGGCTAGTCTTGAACTCTTGACCTCAAGTGATCTACCCACCTCAGCCTCCTAAACTGCTGGGTTACAGGCGTGAGCCACCGTGCCCAGCCATAAACTCATTTTTTATCAGGTGCCCACTCATGCATTAATGGCATCACTCCATTCATGACAGAAGAGGCTTTATGAGGTCCTACCTCTCAAAACTGTTACATTAGGGACTGAGTTCCAGCACAGAAACTTTGGGGAGACACATTTGAACCATAATACCTCATTTAAAATGTATCTTCACAGATCTCAGTGGGTCTCTAGATCTAAACAACTATTTCACACTTCTTTTTTTTTTTTCAAACTTCCCATCTTCTCACTCTCAGCATGAATCTTGCTTCTTCTTTCACTGAGAAAAAATAAATAGGAAGAAAACTGCCTCAATCTCCCACTAGCACATCCACCAGCCTACCTTCATTTGTGTCCAAGTGCTCTGCCTTTCCCCTTATAACAATGGATCCATTGTTCCTGCTCCACTCTAAGGCCAACCATTCTACCTGTATACTGGCTTCCTCAAGCGTTATTCTCCTACAGTTTTTCACTCTCTTTTTTTCTGTAACATCAGAATTCTCTTCTCTATTGGCTCATTCTTATCAGCTTACAAGCATGCTTTAACTACCATCTTAAAAGCAGAACATTCCTTGACCCCATATTCCTTTCTACTGCCCTATTTCTTTGCTCTCCTTTATAGCAAATTTTGTTGAAAAATTTTATAGTCACTGTCTCCACTTCCTCATCTGTTGTTTTTTGAGTGCACCAAAAAATAGCATGTGTCTTGACCACTTGACTGATTTCATTCTTGCTCCATGCTGCCAAATTAAAAAATCTATTCCCAATCTTTTTCTTAATTGTCAATCACTCTTTCTTTCTTGAAACCCTGTCTTTGCTTGACCACTGGGATACCAGGATTGACTTCTGTCTTGAAATATAGACTCTGCCTATCTGTCCAATTTGTATGTTTAACTAGCATTTCAAACTTAACCAACTTAGTATTGTTGATTTCTACCTAAACCTATGCCTAAATCTGTTTGTTGCAATTATTAGTTGTAAATCATTGGGAAAAAATCCATACCTGTGTACCTTAGTATCTTATTTGTAAATTGGGTGTGATAATATTACCTAATGTATAATATTGTAGTGAGGATTAAATGAGATAATAACATGAAAAGCACTGCTCTTAAAGCCTGGCATATAGCACGTGCACAATAAATGATGGTTCTTCCTGTATCCCTGCCCACACTGGTGTCTCCTCTTGAGTGTTCTCCACTCAGTGAATGGCATCATCCAGTCACCCAAGTCAGAGCTGATATCACCCTTAACCCCTTCCTATTACTAACGTCCCACATCAGTCAATAACTAAGCGCTCTCAAGCCTACCTTTTAAAATATTTCTCAAGCCCCTCTGTTTTGTTCTGTTTTGTTTCTACCCCACTCCCCTTATCCTCACTGCAGTCCATCTCTTGCCTGGCTGCAGCTTCTTGTTGGTTTTCTAGTCCTGTCTCCATCCTGTAGCCAGTGATTAACTTAAAATTCATTATCTTCTCATATAATTTCCCTTCAACTTATCCTGAGTTATCTCAGGAAGTGATTCAAATTCCCTCACATTTCTGTGCATTACGATTACTCAACAGGACACTTTTGAATTTGGCCTCAGCTCCTTTTCCCCTCTCACTGCTTCCCACCCTGTCTCCAAAGCCATGGTACAGAATTTAGGAACCATTTGCCATTTCCAGAATTTGCCATGAGTTCTTACATCAAGGCTTCTGTATGCATGGTTTCTTCTGTCTACGACAGTATATTACCTACCCACCTCACCCTTTTTACCAGACTAACTCATATCAGTTAGTGTCGGTCCACATATTTCCATTTCTAAGAGGCTGGGGTTGATTCTTCCTGTCCAGGGTTAGCCACTCCATCCTGCCAGCACTCATAGCTTCTTATACTTCCCTTGTGATTGCCCATTCAAATGATATGTTTTCCCACCAGCTCTGAGATCCTGGAGGGAAGAACCTCATGCTCAAAACTCCTGGAGAACACATGGTCTTTTTGGAATGCTGTCCAGTTTATTGATATCTTAGATGTACACCTAATTGAGTACAGCACACACGTACTTATGTGTGCCTTGACATACTTTTTTTTTTGATAATTAAAATGAAGCTCCAGGGTTATATGGTCTGTAAGATTCTTTCTAATTCTAAAATATTAGAACTGTCTGGTGTATTGGGCTCTATGGGGTCAGGATGCCACTCACCAGAATTGAAGAACTGAAGATACTGGAGGATTCTGAGCCCACCCTTACCCAGCCTAAAATAGCTGGGCAATTACTTTTTACTTTCCTATCTAGTTGTTTAGAAACCATGTAGACACTGTCTAAAAGCAAAGTTATTATTAAACCGTTTTCTTTGGGGAATGACTTAACTGTTTTAAATTCATTTTCGACCCAAGCTTCTTAGAATAATGGAGACAGCTAGATATAACAATTAAATGGTGCTACTCCCCAAAGGCCACTTGTTCCAGTTTATAATCCTGTTCCTGCCACACTATAGCAAACAATCCTTCCTACTGTGACTCCCCTTGGTGTGTTAATGAATTCATCTACTTACAAACCAGTGCTATTGCAGGCCTCGTTGACTCTTTGGAGGAGGAAAGTTTCAGCAGTTAGTTGTCTGGCATCTAGGTGAACCTGATGGAGAGAGACAAACTTTTTTATTTCTCTTCATAATAGATAAACTAATTTCTTTAATAGATAAATGATTGTCTATTAATAGATAAACTGTTAATTTCTTTAATAGATAACCTAATTTCTCCAAAAACCCAAACCCAGACCCAAGTTTTGGGTTTTTTGAGAAATTAGGTTATCTAGTATGGAGTGCCTATTTCACTCTGGGTCTCTGTGCTACCTAGTAGTGATGTGAAGACGAACAATACGCAGTCCCTGGCCTTAAGAAACTCAACAGCTAGAGAAGGGACAGCAAGAACAATAAAGTGTGAGATGTGATATGACAGAGGGAAGGAAGCCCAGGTGTGGGAATGCAGAAGACAGATACCTAACCCACATGAAGGCATTGGAGAAGGTTTCTGGAAGGTTCTGGATTTTTATGATGAGGCCTAAGTAATAAGTAGTAATTCGTCTGGCAAAGAAAAAAGTATAAAAGGTAAAAGAGCATAAGAAAGAGGGGAAAAACAAGAAAATGCATGTTTAAAACTCTAGGGGAATGAGAAAGAATGGCACCAGAGATCTGCAGTTCATATGCATTTCTCTAAGGAATGGCTGTAGGGTATGAGAAAGGAGCATTAGAGACATGGGCACCTCAGGGGCTTTCCCCATGAAGAGCCAGGCAATTGTCTGATGTCTAAGAGCCTTTGTATTTCTGAAATTGTAGGACACTTTGGTGCTTGGCAATAAATGGGGCTAAGGTATCACCAAATAGAATGGATACTGAAGGGTAATGAAGATACTTAAGAATTCTGAGACCATCTCTATCCGTTTAAAAATATCCATGTAGCTAATTGCACTTATTCCCCTTTCTGTTCAGTTGTTTGCAAAACATGTAGACACTATAAGAGCAGAAAGTTATTACACTGCCATGTTGAAGAGATTTACCTGATTTCTGAAGGCAATAGGGAGCCGTTGAAGATTCCTAAGCAAGGAAGTAACCTGATTTATGTAGTCTTTTAGAAACATCAATCTGCAGGAGCAGGAGAGATGGAGAATGCATTTGAGGGCAGAGATGAGAGGTAAGGGGACAAATGAAGAAGCTATTATGCTGTCAGTATCATCTGCAAGGACTAGAAAAGTCATTCTGCCTTCATGTTGCCACAGGCAGCCATAAGTGGGACCTGTGCAGGCTGGCAGAGAGGGAGACATGCTATGGGAGCTGTGAGAGGAACCAGAGGAACCAGCCCTTTCTGCTTGGGTCCTCTGTCTGCCCAGCTACTCCCTTTAGCCCCCATTAACAAGGTCATCTCACCCTTCTTTTTGATATCCCACCTCTGGTCCTTTTATTATTATTATTTTACTTTAAGTTCTGGGATACATGTGCAGAACGTGCAGGTTTGTTACATAGATATACATGTGCCATGGTGGTTTGCCTTACTTATCATCCTGTCATCTAGGTTTTAAGCCCCACATGCACTAGGTATTTGTCCTAATGCTCTCCCTCCCCTTACTCCCCACTCCCTGACAGGCCCCAGTGTATGATGTTCCCCTCCCTGTGTCCATGTGTTCTCATCGTCCAACTCCCACTTATGAGTGAGAACATGTGGTGTTTGGTTTTCTGTTCCTGTGTTAGTTTGCTGAGAATGATGGCTTCCAGCTTCATCCATGTCCCTGCAAAGGAGATGAACTCATTCTTTTTTATGGCTGCATAGTATTCCATGGTGTATATGTGCCACATTTTCTTTACCCAGTCTATCATTGATGGCCATTTGGGTTGGTTCCAAGTCTTCGCTATTGTAAATAGTGCTGCAATAAACATACGTGTGCGTGTGTCTTTACAGTAGAATGATTTATAATCCTTTGGGCATATATCCAGTAATGGGATTGCTGGGTCAAATGGTATTTCTAGTTCTAGATCCTTGAGGAATCACCACACTGTCTTCCACAATGGTTGAACTAATTTACCCTCACACCAACAGTGTAAAAGCGTTCCTATTTTTCCACATCCTCTCCAGCATCTGTTGTTTCCTGACTTTTTAATGATCGCCATTCTAACTGGTGTGAGATGGTATCTCATTGTGGTTTTGATTTGCATTTCTCTAATGACCCCACCTCTGGTCCTTTAAGCTAGTCCAACCAAACTTGTCCCAGATCCAAAGTCCTCACCCTCCCTTCCCTAACCTGACTTCCTCCTGCTTTGTTTCAGAGACCAGCACCACCAACCACTCGGCCTCCCAGGCTAGAAGCCTGGCCTGGATTTTTCCTTCCACCATCTATATCCAACCCACCTCCTAGTTCTGCCACTTTTTGCTTTTGATTATTTCTGGACTCCACTACCCTCAGTCAGCCCCAGGTACATCTGGCCTGGATTGCCACCCTGAATTCCTCGCCACTCTGCCTTCACATATTCTTTCCCTCAGCAGGGGCTTGTCACCAATGCCAGAGCAATCCTTCTGGAATGCAGAGCCCCCTCCTGACTCTCCACGACCCCTGAAGAGAGGCCAAACCGTTTGGTGCTCCCTACAAAGCTCTAGCCCCTGCCCAGCTCTCAGGCTCAGCCTCTCTCAGGCCCTGCTCCATGAGTAGAGGCTCCTCAGCCCCAAGCTAATCATCTTTCTTCTCCAAGCACCGTCTTGCTGCTTATCACCTTCCTACTTTTGCTTATGGTTCATCCTCTTTCTGACCTGCCCTCCTGATATCCCATCTTCCTCTTTACCGAGTTAGTTTCTACTCCCTTTTCAAGGCAGACCAAGAGTCAAGCCCTCCAGAAGCCTTGCCTGGCCCCGCCTGGGCGCAGTGGCCTTCCTCCATGGTTCAGCAGCCTCTGGCTGCCTCTCCAAGCATATTCACCCTGTGCTATAGCTGTTGTGTCTTCACTGGCCTCTTTCTTCCTGAATTATATGTTCCGATGGGACAGCGATTCTGTTGGGTTTATTTCTGCATGGCACAGACAGCAAGGCTTGGCCAACTTAGTAGGCACTTGATATATATTTGTTGAAAAATGAATGAAGCCATAGGTAACATGTACTGAAGGCTTCTTTCGTGCCAGGCCCCATGCTTACTTGACTTAAATGATCTTATTGGATCCTTATGTCATCCCAACAGGAACGTATTATTAAATGGAGTTTTAGAAGTACAGTCACCCTGTGGTATCTGAGGTGGATTGGTTCCAGGACTACAAGGCTCAAGTTCCTGATGTAAAATAACATAGTACTTGCACATAATCTATGTACATCCTCCCATGTACTTTAAATCATCTCTAGATTACTTATAATACCTAATATAATACATATATGTTACTACATTAGCATAGACTTAACATAGTACTAGGTGAATTTTTAAATTTTACTTTTCGGAATTTTGTGGGATTTTTTCCCAAATATTTTCCAGACGTGGTTAGTTGAATCCATGAAGGCAGGACCCATGGATACAAAGGGTCTGTATAAGCGTTAGAGCCAGAATTTAATCCCATCGTCTATACTCTGGAACTTGAGCTCTTTATCACAAATGAAATCACCTACTATGACAATGAAGAAAGCTGGGGCCCCCGGGGCCATGATGATTGTAAAGGAATTGCCCTCTGGAAATGAAAGATGGATGAGTGGAAGGGTTCAGGGTCTTTCTCTACTTGGCTTTCAACAGCCAGATAGAGGCATTGCATTTTTTAATTTAAAATTTTATTTTTAGTTGATTCAATGATTTATGGCATAGAATGGTGAATATAATAAATAATAATGCATTGTATATTTCAAAATGGCTAAAAGAGTACATTTTAAATGTTTTCACTACCAAAAAAATGAGTACATCAGGCAATGGATTTCTTAACCCATTGCACTTTTAACTTCCTCTCTCTTATTCCAAGGCTATAAGTCTGACTCCTATTCACATCAAATCCAGCCAAGTCTCAACTTGCTGCTGCTTCTGCCTCTGGACTTGGCTTTTAAATTGTCCTCTTTTTCCATGTTCCTTATTGCCTCTCATGAAGAACTTCTAACATAACTTGCCTCAGATTCTGGGTGAATACTGGACAGTTCTTATCCTGAAGGCTGACACAGCTTGAAGCTCAACCCTGCAATGAAGTTGGGGAGCATTTGCCGGAAGCCTGGCTCATAGCTCTCTAGCTGGAGCCAGCAGTTCAGTTTGACCTAGGGTGGGGGAGATGGTAGCTCGTCTCCATCTTTTATTCTGTTTATGGCTTAGCCTAGCTCAGGCTTGGGGCACAGCAAGGAGCTCGATAAATACTTGCTGAATTCAATTGAGAACCATCCTGCAACCAGGGACTTGTGATTCGCTGCCCAGCCTGCTGTTGGATATTCTAGTCATTTCCAAAAGGGGGCTTTTGTGTAAACTATCTGCTGGCTTTGCCTCCTAGAGTCCAGGTAGAGTAAATGCTTCATGAGATCCAGAAGATTAACCGATAAGAACAAATTATTCTACTTTTTTGTTCCTCCTGAAGCCATTTTCACACATAGTACTCTGTTAAGAAGCAGGATTGAGTCATTTATTTCTACATCAGTGAATCAAATCTGTCTATATAAGGCTTCTGTATCCCGAGAAAAAAACAGTTTGTGTGTGTGTGTGTGTGTGTGTGTGTGTGTGTGTGTGTGTGTGTCCATGCATGCGTGTATTTTCAGGCTAAAGGGATTAACTTCTCTGGGAGCTGAAAATTCTTCAGGAGTGTTGTGCATATTAGCCTAAGACTCTGCAATAACTGAAATGTGATCCTCTCTTCATTAGCTAATCAGTGGTCTTCCTATTACTTCCTATAGCAGACACTTGTAATTCAGTCTCCTTAATTTTAAATTTCATTTGAAAGGCAATAGCCTTCCAATACAAGGCAATATTTCCTATGTATGCCCTCTTTAGCCTTCTTTGGAGTGACCTGCATTAGCCTTACCCCCTTTGTTTGGTAGAGAAAGAGACCAGCTGCCCACACTGCTGATTTGTGAACTTCAATTTGTTTCCAAGCTGCCAAATGGCATGGGTAGAGCACCGAACATGAGGCCAGGCCAGGGCTCCACAGTTGGGAGGGCGGAGAGCTTAGTGCTTGGCAAAGTGCTCTACAGAACTCAGCCAGGCTAACAAAGCACAGAGTACTCTTCCAGGCCAGGACAGGCGACACTGGGCACATGGAAGTGTCCAGTGGCCTGAAAAACACATCATAGTCTGAATACAGAAGCTCAGAGTGGATTCCAAACTGCCTACCACCAAGGGCATGGTTAGATACGACGAAAAAAGATACTCTTTCAAGCATGGCCAACATCTGACCATTTTAATTTGGAGATCTCTGTCCAGGCCACAGGAGCACAGCTTGTCCATAATTCTCATATCTTTTTTTTTTTTAGTTATCAGTTTTTATAGAATGTAGCTATGCACCATGTTCTACGAGAGCTATTTGGACCTTGTTCCATTAGTCAGAGCTACCAAATGTTTCCCTTTTCTTTTTTTTTTTTTTTAGGTATGTGAATTTATTTATTTATTTTTATTTTTTTTACAATTTTTTAAGAGTTTTTATTTTTATTTATTTATTTTATTATTATTATACTTTAAGTTTTAGGGTACATGTGCACAATGTGCAGGTTAGTTACATATGTATACATGTGCCATGCTGGTGTGCTGCACCCATTAACTCGTCATTTAGCATTAGGTATATCTCCTAATGCTATGCCTCCTTGCTCTTCCCACACCACAACAGTCCCCAGAGTGTGATGTTCCCCTTCCTGTGTCCATGTGTTCTCATTGTTCAATTCCCACCTATGAGTGAGAACATGTGGTGTTTGGTTTTTTGTCCTTGTGATAGTTCACTGAGAATGATGATTTCCAATTTGAAAATGTTTCCCTTTTCAAAAGGCCATTTTCATTTTCCTCAATGGCAGTTCAAATTTATTTTTATTAGAAGTGAAAAATTTTGTGCCTCTCTCAAGCCCATTTCTCATCCTTAGAAGCACATTTTCCTCTTTAATCTTTGGATGAGGCTCAGATTTGGAGTTTCCTCACCATCTAGGGCAATGTGTGCTTGTTTAGAAGAAGAGGTGATCTGGAGGCAGAGGCCATGGCATGAATTGAATGAAGTCACCTCATGATTTTTCTCAACACTTACTCTGTTCCACTTCAGTCTCATCACCTCAACACTAAGAGGAGAGGCTTCCATCTTCCCCCCAATCAGCCTGGTCTTGCCTTTGCAAATATTCCAGGTGGAAGTAAACCTAGGGTTTAATTAGGACTGCAATGACAAGATTTATGAGACCATTTCATTTCCCTAAAACCCCACTGTAGCTTCATGAGATGCATGCAAAGAGGCAGTGTTTGCAGGGATAATCTGAGACTGGAATCTCAACGGCACATTGTTTATCTTGGATTGAAAACTCAACCGGCAGGCAGTGATCTAGGATATGTAGAGGAAAAGTCACATTTGCTATACCTGTGTTTCTTCTGTAATGTAGCAACACATACCCAAAGGGCATGTAACTGCTCTCCTTGGTATTTTGAGAAGCTGTGTGTTGGGCTCTAGTTAATAATTATTTCCCACAATTTAATTAAAACTGGAAGGCAAAGATAATCTCCTCCTTCACAGCTTTACTTACATGTTGCATCTGATTCCAGGATATCAGCTTCTGGAGTCTGGAATCATGAAGTCTGGAAGCAAAGAGCTCTTCCTCTGAGCCAGTTAAGGCTATCGAAGATAAGAACCAGTTTCCCTAGCTGAGTTGGTGGTTTTTTGTTGCCTCTCAAACCTCATTTGGAGGCTCATCTTGCTCTGTGTTCTTCAAGAAGTCCTGTCTAGGCTGGAAGTCCCTCTTCCGTAAACTGGGTCACAGCAACAGAGCACACAGCTGTGAAAACACAAGGGCAAGATCTGCCGGACTTGGGAATATCTCCCTTTGAAGGTGACAAGGCAGAGACTAAATCAGGAACATGCTCACACTTGCTCCCCAAACTGAGAGCCTCAGAGAGAGGTTGGCTTTCTGAAGGTTCTCACCTCGTGTCTCCACACCTGTGTCCTGTGGATCCACACACAGTTGTCTCAAATACGCTTTGCGATATATTTGGAAAAGAGATTTTTACAAGCTCCATTTGTCTTATTTTGTGATTACCCACTGTGCAACTTACTTTACATCTCCAACTTCCTCCTGCATCCTAGGGAAATGCAGTCTCGCAATGGGAAACAGAGTCCCTCTGCCACCCTGTGTTGGTCACTGGGTGAGCAAAGTCAGCCGCCCAGGTGAACCAGAACCTGCAGACCCCCTTAATAAGCCAAGCCCCGCCTGTCAGGTTGACAGCGGAAGGAGACACTTGGTGCGGGGAGATGTAGCTGGGCTTGGTAGCCCTGATTGTAGTCTTCTTATGTTTACATCCCCTTGAAGATTCCCGGCAAGTCACCACTCTCCTCACCACAGTGGCTTCATGGAGTGCCATTCCCCTTCCAAATCCTAATGACTTGTAGCTTTTCACTTATTTCCCTATGCGCAGCTGTTGGCAACAGGTGGGAATATTTAACCGAGACTCTACAACAAGCTCCTGGATAACACTAAGGAATAAACACACAGTAACTGGCAGCTCAATCGATCTGGGACTCCTACTTGGGGCCTCCTGGACCACCTCCATCATCAGCGGCCATCCCCACTGACCACTCTCACCAGCACACCCAAGTCCCTCAGGTCCAAGCTCTTCCCAAGATGCCAGCCCTCTTCAGTCCCAAGTCCTCCTTCCAAGGAACTATGTCTGGTCAGATGACCATCCCCTTCCATGGGTGATGCCCCTCCCTTCCCTTCTCAGGATACGTAGCCCCAACCCTCACTATCAAAATCCATCCTCTGCTGTGTGCACTGAGTAGGGGGCTGAGAGATAGAATGAAGAGCAGGTGAAAAGGCGGGAGACATTTTGTTCCAGAAGTAGTGAGTAGTAGTAAGTAGAAGTGGTGAGATATGGAATGTCCAGTAAATCTCTCCTCCCTTCCCTCATCATTTGCCAAACTACATCACACAAACCTTCTTCTGTAAGCACCTAGCTAGAAGATTGAAGATCTCTGTTAAAAAGAATTCATTTTCACAACTGATATAACATATTTAATCATTAACAATAATTCTTTAATGCCCTACACTCTTTTGTCATTGTCTCTTTTCTTGCCTGCCTCCTCTTCATGATGCAACCGCCTGGGGGAAAGATCTGTGGGTCTTTTTTTCTTTTTAATGTCCATTGCCTAAAATACAGTGTTGCCTAAAAAAGCATGACAACGAATAAATCTTAGGCACTCTCAGCCAGCACTGCATGAGGGAGTCCTGACCAGCAGGGGTTATTTTATGATTGTCCTGTTTGGAACCTGAAGCCTGGAATGAAAATAAATTTAGACTAGAAAGCATTCAATAATTAAACTTTAGTAACTTATATTGTAGATAGCAAAACATCCAATTAAAAAATTTATGAGTGCCAACTGTGTGTCTGGCTTGTGCTAGCTGCTGAAGATAAAGATAATAAGACTCGGCCCCTGCCCTCAAGGGGCTTACACTCCAGAGGTAAACCTATCCTGATGTTTGTCATAATCATGTCTGCGTTGTGCTTTATAGTTTTACTATATATGTATGTATCCATAAGTAATACAACCTACTTTTGCCTCTGAAATCTTATATAAAAGGAATGACATCACAGATACATCCATGTTTTTAAGTGTGTAGCTGTAGTTTGTTCATTTTCATTATTTTATTTTATTCCATTGAATGAAGATGTCACTATTTATTTATCCCTTCTACTGAGAATTGACATTTGGGGCATTTTCAGTTTGAAACTGTTTCAAACAATGCTTCCATAAACACTCTTGCCCATGTTTCCTGATCCACACCTGTAAGTTTCTCTTGGGGAAATATCTAGGAATAGTATTGTTGGGTCACTGCGTTACATCTTAAATTTTACTATGTAACAGTTTGTCAAAGAATTGTAGCAATTTCCACTCCAACCTGTAAGATAAGATAGTCTCCTTGATCCAAATTCTCACCAACATTTGATACAATCAGACGTTTAATTTTGGACAATTTAGTGGTTATAATTAATATTATAAATTAATGAGCCTACATATATTCAGGATACTAGAACTTAGTCACTTAGATGTATTACAAATACCTTCTAATGTGGCTCCTGTTTTCACTCTCTTTATGGTACTGGAAGATACTTATTTTTAATTTAATATAATGTTTTCCTTTATGGTATTTCTTGTTTATTGTTAAAAAAATACTCCCCTATCCCAAGGCCTTGAAGATGTTCTCCTATATTATCTTCTGAAAACTTTATGGATTTGCCTTTCATGTAGGGTTTTTTTTTTTCCTCCACATGGAATTGGTATAGGGTAAGGATTGAATTTCATTTGGTTTCCTTATGGATATCCAATTATCCCAGCACAATTTATTGAAAAGGCATTATGTCCTCATCTGTATCCAATACCTCTTTATCCATATATAGGTACATTTCTTCATACTTCATTCTAGTCCCCTGGCCTAGTTGTTAGTCTCTGAACAAATAGCATTCTATCTTAATTACTATAGCTTTATAATAAGTTTTGATATAAGGTAAAGCAGGGTCTCATACCTTGTTCCAAAAGAGTGTAATGGTTTTTCTTGTCCTCCTGTATTTATAAAATACATTTTAGACCAGCTTATAAAGCTCCACAAAACAAACAGTAAGCAATACTTTTTGGATTCTTATTGAGATTTCATTGAATTGATATGTTATTTTGGAGATAAATGACATCTTTACAATTAATACTTTTGATCCCATAACTTGGTATCTCTAGTCACTTTTTTAGGTCTTTTTAGTGTCTCTTGAAAATGTTTCATAATAATCTCTATAAAGGCTGCTTATACATTCCTAGTTATTTCATATTTTTTGATGCTTATATTTTTAAATTTTTTATTTTTAATTATTTGTACCTGGTACATGGAAATGCAAATGATTTTTGCATCCTGTTTTAGTATCTGATAATCTTGCTAAAGTTCTTATTAATTCTAATGATTTACATATAGACTTTTTTTAACTTTCTACATTCAGTCATATAACCTGAATCTGAAGAAAACAATAATTGTTTCCTTTTTATCTCAATCCTCAGAGCTTTTTCTTTCTTTCTTTTTTTTTTTTTTTTTGAGACGGAGTCTCGCTCTGTTGCCCAGGCTGGAGTGCAGTGGCGCGCGATCTCGGCTCACTGCAAGCTCCGCCTCCCGGGTTCACGCCATTCTCCTGCCTCAGCCTCCCAAGTAGCTGGGACTACAGGCGCCCACCACCGCGCCCAGCTAATTTTTTGTATTTTTAGTAGAGACGGGGTTTCACCGTTTTAGCCGGGATGGTCTCGATCTCCTGACCTCGTGATCCGCCTGCCTCGGCCTCCCAATTCTTTCTTTTTTTTAATCATGCTTACTAAATCCTCTAGTGCAAAGCTGAACAGAAGTCATGAGAGCAGCATTCTTACCTAATTCCCAGTCTCAGAAGGGAAAGCTTTCAAAGTTTCACAATTAAATGTGATATTTAATACATGACTTTTATGTATATTAATATGTAGTATACATAATATAAACTTAAATATAATACATACATAGATATGTATACAGAAGTGGATATATTCACTTTATAAGGGTGACGAACTTTCATAGTTTTCTGAGACTTTTTAAAAAATCATGAATATACATATAATTTTAAAAACACCTCTCTGCATCTTTTAAATTAGCATTCCATTTATTTCTTTAAATATCTTAATGTGGTGAATTACATTACTCTGTTTTCTGCAATTAAATGAACCTTGTGTTTTTGCAATAAACCCTAATCTTCAATACCTTGTTAGGTCACCTTGATAATTTTTTTTTTCCTAGGGGAAGGAAATTCTTTTCATGTAAGTTCATTAGTGAGTTTGCTTTTTAATTTCCTCTCTTTCTGTGCAGTCCTTGTCAGATTTGGCCATCATGATTTAGCCATTCTTACTTTTTCTATCTTTAGAAAATTTTATGTAAGATTGAAACTATTGGTTTCTTGAAAGCTTAGTAAAATGTCCAATGAAAACTGACTAAGTCTGGTGGGGTAAGATAGAAATTACTGAATCAATATAGATACATTGCTTGTCAGTATTCTCGTATTTTTCTTATATTTGTGTTGTATATAATACTTATATTGTTAATTTGTATTTAAATTATTTTGAAACTTTTCAATCCTTCTGAAAGGTTTCAAGAATCATTTAGTGAGTACTCATACCCTTCAGGTAGATTCATCAATTGTTAACATTTTGCCACGTTTGTACTTTCCTGCTTGCTGGAATTATCTTTCTCTTTCACCTTCTCCATCTCTCTCCTCCCTGTCTTTCACACACAAACACAGACAACATCTTGACATGGATTTTTATGAAAGATTTACCTTGTTTTAAATTTATTAGAATTTCTGTACTTGAGACTTGGTAAGGCTCAACAATTCTAAAACATTCTCAGAAACTATTTTTATATTATCTCTTCTTTTTATTTCTTCTGGAATTTCAGTTATAGTATTCTCCCTTTATCTTTTAGTTCCTTGAACTTTCTTTTAAATTTTTAAACCACTGGCCTGAATTTTACATACTTATTTGGATCTATTTTACAATTCAAAATGTATCTCTTTAGCTACATCAAGTTTGTTGATTATGTTACTCATTTTGGTTTTTTAGTCAAATATATTTATTGTATATTTTTTATTTCTAAAGTTGAATTTGTTTTTTTTCCAAAATCTTCTTGTTCATATATGATCCCTTCTATTCTATTGATCTTTCTAAGCTTGTCTTTTATTTCTTTAGATATATCTTCAACATAATTTAGACTTTTATGTCTGTAAATTCCAATACCTGGTGCTTTTGTGTATGTTTCTGTTGTCTCCTCTTTCTGCCTGTTTGTGTTCATGTAAGTGTACATAGTATTTTGTGCTACTTGTTTTATCTCACCCTTTACCTGTGGCGATTCTTTGATGCCTAGGTAAAGTTTTATTCCTCAGTGCACACAGTTGCTTCTGCCACCTGTAGGTGCTACCATTTTGGGACCTTCATTTTTACTTTCTGCATAGTAGGGTGACTATAGTTAACATAGTTAACAACAATGTATTGTATATTTCAAAATAGGTGGAAGAGAGGATTTGAAATCTTCCCAACACAGAACTAATAAATGCTCACTGTGCTGGATATCTTAAATATTCTAATTTGACTATTACATGTTCTATGCATGTAACAAAATATCACATGTACCCCAGAAATATGTACAAACATTATGTGCCAATTAAAAAACCACAAACGGCAAAACCAGCTTTGGTGCTCACACACTTCCCGGTGTTTCCGGTTTCACTTAATTTTAGATTTTGCGGAATCCTTATTTTTGCATCAGCTCAGGAATGTGTTTAAAACTTCTCTATTTTGTCCATTATTTTAATATCTAATCTATCACTCTGTTGAAACAGAAAATTTCCAACTTTTATTTTATGTTTGTCATTATGTATTTTGGTTTCCCCATGTGATGGGAGAATTTCTATTTCATTAAATTTAATTTAGTTTTATTCTATTTGATTTAATTTAATATTCCATTAAATATATATCATAATTTATAAACTTATCTTCTGTTAAAGGTTTATATTTTATATTTTCATAATTATGAAAAATGCTGCAACAAACATTTACATATGTTTTCATGTGCATGGGTATATTTTAAATATGTATAACTAGTAGTTATGGCTAGATGTTATGGGTAACATTTTGTCCTCCAAAAACTAGTACCTCAGAATATGACCTTATTTGGAAATACAGTTGTCACACAGTATCCATGGGTGATTGGTTCCAGGACTCCTCATGGATGCCAGAAATCCATGGATGCTCAAGTCCCTTATATAAAATGGCATAGTGTTTGTGCCTATCCTACGTATGTCCTTCCATGTACCTTAAATCATCTCTAGAGTACAGTGAAATAAAATGTTATGTAGTTCATTGTTACACTGTATTGTTTAGAAAATGATGACAAGGGCTGGGTGCAGAGGCTTATGCCTGTAATCCCAGGACTTTGGGAGGCCGAGGTGGGCAGATCACCTGAGGTCAGGAGTTCGAGACCAGCCTGGCCAACATGGTGAAATCCCATCTCTACTAAAAATACAAAAATTAGCTGGGCATGGTGGCCCGTGCCTGTAATCCCAGTTACTTGGGAGGCTGAGACAGGAGAATTGCTTGAACCCGGGAGGTGGAGGTTGCAGTGAGCCGAGAACACGCCATTGCACTGCAGTCTGGCACGAACAGTGAAACTCCATCTCAAAAAAAGAAAAGAAAAGAAAAGAATGACAAGAAAAAACATCTATCCGTGTTTACTACAGATGCTTTTTTTTTTTCTTTCAAATATTTCAATTAGCTGTTGGTTGAATCCACAGACGTGGAACCTACAGCCCCCACAGCTATTGAGGGCTGACTGCAGTCATTGCAGATGTATTTAGTTCAGTTAAGATGAGGTCACATTGAAGTAGGGTGGCTCCTAATCTCATATGACTGGTGTTTGTCTAAGAAGATGGCAGTGTAAAGATACAGAGACACAAGGAGAATGCAATGTGAAGATTGAGGTGGAGATTATGCTGCCTCCAGCCCGCAAACATCCAGAGCTACTAAAAGCCAGAAAAGGCAAGGAAGGGTCTTCCTCTAGAGGCTTCGGAAGGCACCACACAACTGACATCTTGAATTTGGACATCTAGCCTCCCGAACTGTGACAGAATAAATTTCTATTGTTTAAACCAGCTGGTTGGTGGTGGTGCTTTGTTACGGCAGCACTAGGAAATTAATATACTAGGTTGCAGAGTATGTGCATATTCAGTTTTAGTAGATTCTATCTCATGCTGTCTAAAGTGGTTGTACCAATTATATTTCCATTAGCAGTGTATAAATAGTCCCATTGCTCCTTATTCTCGCTAATATATAGTATTATTAGACTTTTAAAACTTTTCTAATTTGTTAAGTGTGAAATAGTATTTTGCTGTTATTTTTAACTTTTATTTCCCCAATGACCTATAATATTGAACATTTTTTTCTTGTGCATTTTCCTATCAGACTTATTTTTTATGGATTGCCAGTTTATAAATTTCCCCTTTTTTCTTAATTGTTTATTGTTACTGATTCGTAGAAATTCTTCATATATGTGAGACCAATCCTTTGTTAGTTACAAGAGTCACAGATATCAATCTTCACCTCATGGCTTTCTATTTCCCTTTATTTTTGGTGTCTTTTGATGAACAAAATTTCTTAATTTTGATGTGTTGAATATATCAATACTTTTCTTCATGATTTGTGCCTTTTGTGTTTAAGAAATTCTTTCTTACTTTTAAGTCATACAAATATTCTACTAATATTTTTTCTAAAACTTATAATTTTGTATTTTTCAGATTAAGCCATTGTTCCATTGAAATGATTTTATTACCATTGATAGAGTAGTCCATCTTTTCCTTCATTGACTTCTAAGCATACATTAAGTATTTATACAAGTATGTTTCTATTTCCAAGTTATCTATTCTGTTCCATTTCTCTATTTTTCTATTGCTTTAGCAATATCACACAATCCTAAGAACTATTGTTGTTCATTTTATGACTTTTTGTCTGGGATACTCAACAGAAAATTCCCCAGACTTTCTTATTTTCTAAGATAAGCATTAAAGGCTATTATTTCTAAATTCCATTCAGCTTCATTCTGTAAGTGTTGATATGTAGTATTTTCACTGTTGTTCAGTTCTAAATGTTTTCTAATTTGTATTTTTACTTTCTCTTTTATCTATTGGCCATGTAGAAGATTTTCCCCTCAATTTCCAAATATGTGCATATTAAAAATTGTTATTAATTGTATTTTGGTATAATAGTAACAAAAATATTGTCTACATAATAGAGATTCCTTAGTATTTGTTGAGATGTACTTTATAAATAGCTAACTTGTGCCTGAAGATAAATTGTTTCCTTTAATTGTTAATTGCTAGGTTTAAATTTGTCCATTTGAGCAGTTGTTAATAGTGTTGTTCAAATTGTCTCTATTGTTACTAACGTTTATTGTTTTGGTCCATACATTGCAAAATGAAGTACATTAACATCTTTTATTATGACTGTGAATTTGTGAGTCTTTTATTCTGTAAATTTTTGCTTTTCTGTATATTTTGAGATTATGTTACTAAGTGCATGGAGGATTAGAACTGTTATGTCTTTCTGACAAATTGAACATTTTACCTTTATATAGTGATCCTCATTAATTTTAGAACTTTTTTGCCTTAAATTTTATTTTATGTGAAAATAAAAAGCAACACTTATGATCTATATATATGTATACACACACACATATATGTGTATACACAATATAATACATATGTAAATATATATGCATACTCACATATACATTGTACATTTCAACTTTTCTGTGTACTTATATTTTCAGTGTGCCAATTGCAAACATATGATAGCATTAAAATATATCTAACTTCAGAATCTCTATTATTAATACATAAGTCTAATCCTTCCCTTTTTAGTGTGGTACATAGGAACTTATCATATCAATTTATTTTGTTCTAATAAACCTGCTTTTCTATTCTTCACGTTTTATTCCTTTACTATCATTTATTGGATGGGTTTCCTTTCATTCCCCTCTTCTTCTTGATTTTTTGGAAACTATTTGTTCTCTATCTAATCTTTAACTGTTCACCCTTAAAATCTTGACAAGAACACTTGCATGAGAAAAGTCTGAAAGTATTCTATATCTTTACTCTCCTTTTGAACAATATATGGAACCTAGGATATTTTAATCTTGATCCCTCTATTTTAGTTTTCATGTTACTTTTGTCTAGTATTTTGTTCCTATTTTGCTTACATCCCATGCAAATTACTCATTATTTAACTCTTATTTTAATTTTGTTTAAATCTTGTTTAGATCAATATATCTTTGTTGTTCACGATGCCTTCTTTCATCTTAAGGTTTTCTTTCATGATGGCCTGTTGGTTTTAAATGAGCACGGGGTATCTAAGAATGTCTAGATATCATATTCACTTTTGAGTGACAGCTTAAATATTTAAATAATTTATTAATTACAGACCTGTTTTAAGCACTTTGATGATACAGGCATCTAGTGAATTTCTATGAAGAGTGTAAAGGAAACCTTAATCTTTGTTTGCAAAGTACAAAGTTTCATATTCATGTATATGAATTGTATCATATAAATACTCAAAAATCCTTAATCATTGTTTATGTAGCTCCTCTTTGACGTTTCCCCCCCTCTTTCTTCCACTCACTCTCTCTCTTACTCCTCCTAGTTCAGCATTAAATCAATCTCTAGACCAGTTTTAAGGAAATGTATTTAGAATGGATTTTAGTAGTCTGCTTTAAGAGTATTCATCCCTGAATCCTAAAGTCAAAAAATAGCTGGATATCTTTTACCATAAAGTCAGCCTCCAATATTCAGTTACTTATAGACTAAAGCAGGAATGAAGCCACACTTTGCCCTTTAGGCATGGCATTGGGTGTTTAAGGTCCTTCAATTCCCCCACGGGCAAATACATACCGTTTATCATGTGCCATCCACTCTACACCACTTTTTGGCATTCCCAGATGTTATAGAACATTGTATGAAGATGATATAATATATCCTGTCCCCTTTGGACACATGATTCATGACACATAACCACGCCAACCTGGAAAAAAATTTCTTAAATACTGAGAAATGAAAGACATAAAACTTTAAAATTACTTAGGTGAAATGATTTCCTTGGAGCAGTCTAGCAAGTCAGCTTGTCGATCTTAGACTAGAAGGCTCTGAAGAGCAGGCATAGGCTGCTTTTTGAGTTGGGAAAGCAAATGAACGTTTAACCCTTCTCTTCTCTTTCATAGGGATCTCTCCATTGGGGTGTTTGTGTGGAAGGCATTTCCTGACTCCTAGCTCAGTCAGCTCCAGGCATTTTAAGCACTGGTGTTTGTGCACTCTACTTATTGACTCTGACTATGTACCAAGACATGATATAGAAAAAGAGTTCTGAACCAGGACTCAAGAAAACTAGAATCTAGCCCAGGCTGTGTGAGCTTAAGCCAGTGATGTAACCTCTCTTTGCATCCATTTCCTTATGTATAAAACGAAAACAGTATCTGTACTACTCACCCTTTAAAATGCTTTCTTACTTAACACCACCCTCCCACCCATGAGTATGAATTTTGCAGTATCATGCTCAAGCTACATGAAAATATAAGTTCTAGATTTTTATAAGAAGAATATACATTTAAGTGATTTTTCAATAGGATGTTTATGTCAATAGTCAAAAAAGAGGGATGCAGGACAAAACGTGCTCTGCTCAGAGAAGGTAAACCATTCATTCATGCATTCATTCATTCACTCAGTAAATAACTATCTAGCACCCATGTGTCAGGCACATGAGTCTCGCCTCTCCTGCAATTTAGGTTCTATTGGGAGGAGGCTGGAAATAAATGAGCAAGTAAACTTTCAAGAAAATATCAGCAAGGAGTGATTACAGAGAATTAAAAAAGAAACGCTATATAGAGTAATGGAATGACTTCCCTGGAGAAGTGACATTTAAAATGAAACCTGAATGCCATGTGATGTAAGAGGGAAGTACAATCCCAGTTTAAAGCAAAGGCAGGAAAGAGCTGGTTATGTTCAAAGGACCAAAGGCCAGTAGGCAAGGTGGGAGAGGTCAGAGAAGCAGGCAGGAATAATCAAGTTGGGCTTTGTGAGTTAGACTAAAATGGTTTAATTTTTTTTTTTTTATTTTAAGAGTGATGAGAAGCCTCTTGAAGACTTTAAGATAAGCAAGTGCTTGGGGAGGTAGAAAAAATATTTATTTTGGAAGTAAGACTGAGAAGGTTATTTGGGGAGAAAGAGGAAGAGACTGTAGGTAGGTGTATTAGTGTGGAGGGCTGCATAACAAAATACCACAGACTGTGTGGCTTAATAACTTATTTTCTGACAATTTTGGAGGTGGGAAGTTCAAGATCAAGGTGTTGGCAGGGTTGGTTTCTTCTTAGGCCTCTCTCCTGGGCTGGTAGATGGCTGTCTTTTCTCTGTCTTCACATTATATTTCCAAATCTCCTCTTCTTAGAAGGAAAGGCACCAGTCATATTAAATTAAGGCCCACCTTAATAACCTCACTTTAACTTAATTACCACTTTAAAGGCCATATCTTCAAATACAGTCATATTCTGAATCATATTCTGAGGTACCAGTGGTTAGACCTTCAACACAAGACTTTTTGAGAAACACAATTCAGCCCCACTACAGTAGAGGGTCTAGCGTGAGCAAAGGTGTAGAAGCAGGATTGGTGTGGTCCCTATTGAAAAACAGTGGAGTCCCCAGACTGGCTGGAGCAGAGTTTACATAAAATGGAGTCACAGGAAATCAGGTTATCAATGGAAGTTGAGGCCAGGCTGGTGAGGGACTTGAATTTTTGTTAAGCAACTTTGGCCTTCTGCAGTAAGTCTTGATGAGTCTTGGAAAGTATCTGAGCAGTGTAGGAGAGCTAGGTATTGATGATCAAACCACTGGTTATGTGAAAGCCTTGCAGGAGAGGATGGAGTCAGGAGACAGCCTGAGGTGTGGAGCTTGAGTCAGGCCCTTAGGGACAGAAAGGAAATAAAAGAGAAAGGAACATCTCTAGGGAAGATCTCCAGTACCAACTGAGACAGTGGGGAAACAGGATTCCAACCTGGGAAACTTCAGAGAATCACTGAAAGACAACGACTTCTGTGTAAAACCTGGGATTATGGCCAGAATGAGTCAGGGTAGTGCATTTGGTCTCTGTACAAACCCTGCACCTACAGCTGTGGTGGAGGCTGGACACATTGCCTCACTTGGCTGGAAAAACATGGCTTCAGAGTCAGACAGGACCCAGACAATTCAAATTCCAGCTTCTTCATTTTTAGCAGTGCACCTTAATTTCTTTGAGCAAGTTGCTGAATCTCTTTGAAACTTAATCTCCCTAGATGTCCAATGGAAATGATAAATCACCTTTCTAGACTTTTGGAGGGTTGAAGTAATATGTGCAGTGTCTGGCTCATCGTAGGTGCTCAATAAGTGGTAGGTTCCTTCTCATCTCCCTTAGTGGAACAAAGCCCTGGAATGACACAGAGCAGATAGATTTAGGTACTTGAGACACATCTGAATTGCTCTGGCAGGGCACGTGGGCTGGTGCTTCCTGTGGCAGGATTGGCAAAGGTGCTGGTGGGGCTGGAGCTTCTGTGGTGTCATGTGTGTCCATATCTGTCCACGTTTTACCTGCATAGAAAACACCAAATACTGGATCAAGTCAGGCAAAAGGCTATCCACAACCTGTGTGGCCCTGGGTGAGTGTCCATTGTAACTATCAATGGCCCTATTTACTGTATCCCTACCATCTGGCATGGAAAGAATTCAGCAGTTTACAGTTCATTTTACTCTGAAAACAACCTGCTTCATTAGTCTAAGTTTATAGATGAGGAAACTGAGGTTCAGAGTAAGTAGCTTTCTCGAGTCAGACATCATTAGAAAACAGGAAAGCTAGGTTTGCAACTTAGGTCTGTCTGATTCTAGAAATCATTTTCTTTCCACTAAGCTCTACTTATTCCTTGCCTTGGCTTCTACAAGTCTCAACATCTGAGCTACAAAATAGGACTAATTACACATGACTTGCCTCGAAATATAATATTTATCTTTTCCCAGCCTTTGTTGTAGGGAACAAATGAAAATAAATATGTTCTATTTCCTCTAGATGTATTATAAATGACACCAAAACTTAGTGGTATAAACAACCATTTGATTACATTCATGGATTCTATGGGTCAGGAATTTGGGCAGGGCATAGTGGGAAGAATTATTTGGAACTTTCAGGATAACTCAAATGTTGGACTCAGCTGGGGCTGTAAACTACTTATATACAGCCTTTCTGCATGGCCTGTGATCCTTAAAACATGGCGGCCTTAGCGTAGTTAGAATTCTTACATGGAGGCTCCAGCCTCCATATGTGAGCATCCTAGCAAGCAAGGCAAATGCTGCATCACCATTATTATCTAGTCTGGGAAGTCACACAGCATCACTGCTGGTGCAGTCTACTGATAGAAACAATGCTCAGATTCAAGGCTGTTTGGATTCAAGGAGAAGAGATATAGATTCCATCTCTCAATGGAGGAAGAGCCACAGAATTTTATGGCTGCTTAAAAAAACAAACAAGCAAAACACCACAGGGCATAAAATTCCAAGGAAAGTATACATAAGTGTACTGGAATAATGCCTTGCTATTATTAATGATATCTTTGTTTTCAGCCAGGGCACTCCACCTTGCCAAGCATAAAACACTCATGTCCAAACAATGCTGAACTGGATTTGGTTGTGAACAAGCTTTTTTTTTTTTTTTTAACTTTTTCCTGAAGAGAAATGCCTAAACTTTTTTTAAAAGAAGTTCCTTTGGCAGCAACAGCGTAAAAACTTCCAAGAACAATGTTAAAAAATCTGCAAACTGTCCAGTTGTTCAAGCGTCATGAAGCCCCAGTTTTACCTGTCAAGATGGGAAAAAAGAATGACAAATGACTCTAGTTCTGTAAAGATCAGCTTTTCAACCTTTCTTTTAAAGTTAAGTACTTTTAGTTGAATTAAATCTGGGTCATGGAGAAAGCCTCAGTTTAATTTTCTTTTTAAAAATAAGTTTCCATAAGTATATATAATTTATTTATTTTCTTTGATTACCCAGCTTAAATTATTTAGGGCCTGTGTTTTGGTGCTTAATTGGGCAACGCATTAATGATCCTGGTGAAATGAGAGGAAATGGCTATGTTTATATGGGGCCTATGCCAGTTAGATTCTATTTTCTGGAATAGGGGAGTTATTTATTTATTAAGAACTATTGACCCAGATAAATTACCTGAGATTCATTATTACACTGCCAGGTGGTGCCCCAGACTTGAGGCTTAGAGTGACCAAGCTTTACATCATCCTGTTCACCATTTTTTTTTTTTGAGATGGAGTCTTGCTCTGTCACCCAGGCTGCAGTGCAGTGGCATGATCTCGGCTCACAGCAATCTCTGCCTCCCAGGTTCAAGCGAGTCTCCTGCCTCAGCTTCCCGAGTAGCTGGGACTACAGGCACGCACCACCACACCTGACTAATTTTTGTATTTTTAGTAGAGATGGGGTTTCACCATGTTGGCCAGGCTGGTCTTGAACTCCTGACCTCGTGATCCGCCCGCCTCGGCCTCCCAAAGTGCTGGGATTACAGGCATGAGCCACCGCGCCCGGCCCTGTTCACCATTTTTTGAATAAAATCTTTAGAGGAATATGCCACAATACTAAGTCCAGAATAAGTAATGGATATTCAGAGATTTGTATCTCTACTTTGGTGACAGTTGGCTATTTAAATTGGTCCTTAATCAGAGGTAGTGATAGATAAAGGTTTTTTAAAAATCAAATCCCCAAAGCTATCTTTTCTGATTTGAAACTATTTTTTGTTGCTTACTTATCCCGCATGCCTCTCCCAAAGTCATGATGTGTGGGAGAAAGATGAAATTTGGAATTAAGCAGACATGAATTGATATTCTGCACAATTATGCAAATATGGATAAGTTGCTCAAACTTTCTGAGCCAGTAATCTGATTATGATTAAATAGGGAAAATAGCACAATTGTCTTAGTCAATTTTCTGTTGCTTATAACAGAATACCTGAAACTAGGTAATTTATAAAGAAAACAAATTTATTTCTTAAAATTATGGAGGCTGAGAGGCCTGAGGTTGAGAGTCCAAATCTGGTGAGGTCCTTCTTGTTCATGTGGATTCTGTAGAGGTGGCAAAGGGCATCACATCATGTAATAGCTCAGGTCTCTCTACTTCTTGTTATAAAACTACCAGTCCCATTCCCATGATAACCCATTGATCTATTGACACATTAATATATTAATCTATGCACAGATTAATCTATTCATGAGAGCAGAGCCATCATGAACCAGCCCCCTGCCAAATGTCTCACCTCTCAATACTGCCACATTGAGGATTAAGCTTCAACATGAGTTTTGGAGGGGACACATATTCAAACCACAGCACACTTGTTGCAAAGATTAAAGAAGGTGTAGGTGTGGAATGTATATCCTCCATTGTAAAGCCTGGCATGGAAAGAATGAGGACTCATTAACTGTTAGGTTGCTTTACCCCATCTTTTGCATCTGCAATGGCCCAGCAGAAGCAGACAGCACAGTAGTGCTCCATACAAATGATGTGGACTTAAAAGCTCTTATGTCTGAGTATTTCTAAGGCTGAACTTACTTACTTTTATCTCCTCTAAGGCAGGTCATTGTTGCCTGTTCCCCAAATGAATCAAATCAAATGTGTGACTGGCACACTTGTTTTCAGAGATATAGGAAGTAGGATAAGGGGAAGACATTTTTACATTTATTGAACATTGACTATGTGCAACATACTGTTTAACATATTTTTAAAATTTACTTCTTGTAATGATCTTATGAAGTAGGCATAATGCTGCTCAATCAATTGCTCCAGAACATAATGAATTAATGCAAAAACCACTTATTGTATCTCATAAGTCAGCTGGATAGTTCTGATGTGAGCCAGGCTTGGCTGATCTTGGTTGAGCTTACCTGGGCTTGCTCATGTGTCTGTGGTTAGCCAGCCTGTAGGCCAGTTGGTTCTGACCAGCCTAGTGTGACCTTGGCTGTCTGAAACAGCTCAGTTCTACTCCATGCAGTCTCCTACCCTTCTGCAGGTTAGCTTAGGCTTGTTCTCATGTCAGCAGCAGGGATTCAAGGCAGGAAGAAGCAACATGCATGCCACTGTCCCACTGACCAAAGCAAATCATATGGCCTAGCTCAGAGTTGGGGTGGGAGGGCACATCCAAAGGAAACAGATTCAGAGAAGCATGGACAAATGGCCATTAGTGCACTTGATCTACCACAATAGGCATTGTTATTACCCTCATTGGTAGAGGAGGAGATGGAGGCTAGCAATTTTGTGCCTGTTGGTAACTGGCCCACCCCCTAGTGTTTTTCTTTGCTGTGTTCTTTCCTGGCTATCTCTCCATGGAGATGCTTCCTAATAAGCTACATTTCCCCCTGTTTCTCATTATTTGGTCTGAATTTGAAACTTCACATAAAATTATTAGGACCAATCAGTGATCTTAACAAAGCCCAGTATAATGACATCAAAGAACAGTGCAGGTAAGTCAGTAAGATAGGTCTACTTATTAGAGAAAATGAAGGGAGGAGGGCAGATATGTAGTTGGGTGGAGCATAAATGGAAGAAAATGAGACAAATTTACATTTCTCTTCTATTTTCTGGCTTTTTTATTTTCCCTGGGTCAGCTACCACCTTTCCATGCCATCTTTTCTAGATTCTGAAACCAACATCTGACAAAGGCAAGGTCCTGGTGTCGGCCTGGGACATTTACTAGATTTTTGACCCTGAACAAGGAAGTTACCTAACTTCCCTGAGCCTCTATTTCATCATGTGTGAAATGAGAATAATAGCGCACATGTTGATTTGTGGGCTAAAGGAGACCTGAAGGTAAAGAGCCCCACATGGGTCTGAGCCCCATGCAGCCACCATGATTCACTGCTGTCCCCAAGCACATCCTGGTGCCTGAAATCCTGAAGAGTTGGCTTTCACCACTGCAGAGGCTCTGAGTGAGCTGCCAGGGCAGCAGAGGGAGGCTGAGCTGCAGGAGTGCTGTTAATGGATTTTATGGCTTTGTTGAGTACCTCAAACTACAGTTATTAATTAGAGGATGCTGTTTAGGCACTCTTGCAATATATACATTTTGTTAATTGATTTGTATAGGCTCATAGCTAGCAACATAAAGAATGTGCAGGACCATAACACTTACAAGGGATTGTAATTGCCTTTGCTGCCCTCTCTGGCTCCCCAAGCAGGGAACAAAAGCTTTGAGGATAGGACCCACTCTCTCCTCTGTCTTTGGATCTCCAACGACTAATCCAGTGCTCACTGTCAGGGTGATACAGCCTGTCTAGATGCTCAGCAAACGTCTTGAATCAATGACTAAATAAATAATATTGTTTGTTTCTGTATTTCCATATCTACTTTATTTCCAAACTATTCCTCATAAACCCTGCATTGTGTGTGATGTTGGCATTTCATTTAGGTAAATATGGTCAAGGATTTATTCTGAGTCCTTACTGTTTTTTTTTTTTTTTTTTTTGAGTACCTTTGTAATTTTTTCACGGCCTAGAGATGGTTGAGGATGCAAAGATATGCACTGGCTCCTGCACTCAGGGAACTGACAATACTCAACGGCACGAGATTTTACAATGCATGACGTCAAGTAGCCTGTTCTTAGAGATGCGGAGTGACAACATAAAGGTGGCAACTTCTTGCATGGCACCATACCGCAGGGAATTTTAAGTTTGACACCCCGCCCCCGCCACTGCAGCCTCAGCAGGCCCAGCACCCCAAGTTTTCTGATCTAGCTGTTCTATCAGCCTCTAAGAGCCGCGGCTGCCCCTGCTTCTCGGAGATGACGCGGAGCCCTGCCATTGCCATCCAGGTCCAAGGCTATCTACTCTGCCCGACAACCCCTAGCACCACTAGGCGCTGCTCTAGTGTGCGCCTGGCGCCCTCCCCAGACCAGTCGACGCAGAACGCCCAGAGACCCAGCCAAGGGCAAGACCCTTAGCGACGCCCGTCAGTCCTCTCCGCCCAGATATCAGTTCAAAGGGCATGGCAGGTCAGGGTCCCTCGCGCCACCCCAGATGACCCTCAGGCCTCGGGTGGCCACTTTCTGGGGGAGCCCTCCATCCCTTGCGGCAGCTTTTCCGAGAGTCGGAGTGGAGGCGCGGGGCTGGAGGGCTCTCCGGAGCCGCCCACCAGGGTCCTCTGGGGGCCCGGTCCCGACTGGGCAGGGGGACCTGGACAGGGCCCCGGAGCGTGGAGACGGCTGAGGAAAGTTGGGGGTCGGGGCCTTGGGGCGGGGAGCGCGGAACCCGGCGCCGATGCCCGCGTTCATGAATATGCACGAGCCACCTCCCTCCCTCCGTGACGTCACGGGCCGTCCCGGGGTGAGCGCCTGAGCCGCTCCGGGTCCGCGCCAGTGAGCGCGGCTGCTGCCGGCGAGCTAGCGGCGCAGCGGCGGGAACCCGAGGCCGAGCGCCGCGGCGGCAGCGCTAGAAGCGCACCCATCGGGCACGGCGAGGCGGCCCACGGTGCGGCAGGCACCGGGAGGCGAGAGCCGGCGCGGACAGTAGGCGGCGGCTGCAGCTCGTTGGCGGCTGCTGCGAGGATGCTGCCTGGGCGGCTGTGCTGGGTGCCGCTCCTGCTGGCGCTGGGCGTGGGGAGCGGCAGCGGCGGTGGCGGGGACAGCCGGCAGCGCCGCCTCCTCGCGGCTAAAGGTGGGTGCTGGGGAAGTTTGCTCTTCTCCCAGGAGGGAGGCAGGGCAGGCTTGAGGGTGAAAGCGGCAAGGACCTAGGCTCAAGCTGGATTTGCCCACCCTCCCTTGCCGCAGCTTCTTTGGCCTCTGTGCGCCCTGGATTCCCGAAGTCAGTTCCCTGCGCAGCGGACCAGAGAGGTCCACCCGCGGACGTCAACTCAACCCCTGGGCGGGGTCCGGGGGCTGAGCAGAAGGCGAGGTCTGGGGAGTACGGACAACTTTGAGGGCTGTCTGTGCCGGGGTGGGAGCGCAGTGGGTGAGTTTCGAGCTCTGGCCCAGGGACGGCTAGAGCAGGGCGCTGGCGCGCCGTGGGGACAAGCAGGTGTCTGCTCCTGCCTGGGGGAAGGATCAGCGGCGGTGCTTTCAAGGAGGGAGCCGAGCTGTGACTTGTCTCCCAGCTCGGGGATGGAGTGGAAACTTGTAGGCTCCAGGGAAGGCCCCGCTGACACTCCTCAAGCTCCCCCAGGGCGTCTCTGACTCCCCGGGGAACGTGTACCCTCCGGGTAGGCGGCGGGGTCCGGAAGAAGCGCGGGATGTGAGGCTCCCCGCTGCCTTTCCTACTCCGCTCTGACTACCGAGGACCGAGGAGCCTAACCTGGCACCACTCCCCTGCCCACCCTGTTCCTTTGAAGAGCTTGACCTCCCCGCGCCTCCCGCCCGGAAGGAAGCTAGATCCAAGCGAACGCCTGGCTCTGTCAGGCGAGCCTGGAAGCCGGCGAACCCCGGACTTTGACAGCTGCCTGGGAGCGTCGGGAGCTCTGGGGTGGGGGGCCGGGTCTGAAACAGGAGGTCACGTGCTTGCAGGGGGTGGGGAGGCGAGGGAAGAGCAGAGCTGGTGGGGAACAGTGGTGGGCTCAGGGGAGGCTGTGGCAGATCCTAGCTGGGGCGCACAGCTTAGTGATAACTTGTTGATTCTCTGCGCTGTTCATAAGTAGGGCTTGCGTTTGGTTTGTGGACTGTGGCCAAATCCGCCAGGTGACAATGAGGGGTACTTGGTCCCCAAATCCTGCCTGGCAATCATCAGAGGGCGGAGGGGTTTGCGCCTGTCAGAAAATAGATTCCCTGTTAGAGACAGCCTGATTCGGACGCTTGCTTTGAGCTACACTTGACCACTAGCTTAGGGGAGGAAATGCCTATCAGGCTGCATTACTCTTGGAGGTTGGGGAGAGCTGGAGGCAGGCAGTTCGCCTTGTCTGGGCTTTAGAAACTGGCCCTCCAATAACTTAGGAGTGATATATTTGAGAAGAACATGGGAGATTATGTTTATCTGTAATTTTTAAATTTTTTGGTGTCATCGTTTTGAAAATATTTTATAAGCAGGCATTCTGTTTCTTTTCAGCATTTTTTTTCTTGGTGTATCTTTGACAGGCAGTTTCTATTTTTAGAAATGAGAAATTTCATGAGAGAAAAACTCGTTATGAAAATATCTCAGAGTGCGGTAAAGAAGTGGCTGATATGAAGGGATCAAGCTGAGAGACTGTTGTTTTGGTGAAGACAAGAATAAAAAACAATGAACTTCCAAACATCTCCCCCCTGCTTTCCCAATATAGACACTTTGTTAAACAGGCAAATTACTTTTTTGGGGGGTGGGGGGGAGGAGATTTCCCATCACTTTGTAGCACAGTAATTGATATAAGCAGATGTCTGCAAACGGGAGTTTGAAGGAGGGTGAGAAGCACACAGCAAGTGCAGAACAGGGAAGAAATCATTTGGGAAGAGGATCTGGTGTGAGTAGTAATAATGCACGGCTGAGTTCTCAGGTCAGAATGGGAAGCTTCATAGAGGTAAGCGAGAAAGAGAAGGAGAGAGATAAAAAAGGAAAATAAAAACCCCAGGCTTTCAATGATTCACTTTATGTGGATAATTATGTGCATTTTAACCAACATCCGACTTAGAACATATTCATTTTTTGGTTAAAACTAGGCATTTGTCAGGTCGGGCATGGTGGCTCATGCCTGTAATCCCAGCACTTTGGGAGGCCGAGGCGGGCGGATCACCTGAGGTTAGGGGTTCGAGACCAGCCTGACCAACATGGAGAAACCCCGTCTCTACTAAAAAAAAAAAAAAAAAAAATTAGATGGGTGTGGTGACACGCACCTGTAATCCCAGCTACTCGGGAGGCTGAGGCAGGAGAATCACTTGAACCCGGGAGGCAGAGGTTTCAATGAGCCGAGATCGCGCTATTACACTCCAGCCTGGGCAACAAGAATGAAACTCCGTCTCAAAAACAAACAAACAAACAAACAAACTAGACATTTGTTTTTCCAGGGTAAAAAGTTTATTGGCCCTGCAGATTGAGAGTTAACTGTCCGAATTCCCCTTGTTCTCGCTTCTTTCCCCTTCCAACCACTGGGGGGCTGCAAAGAGCTCTGTTTGCTGCTGATTTTTTTTTCAAGATAAATGTGTAATATTTGATTACAACAGAGACATTTATTATGACACTTTAGTTAGTATTTACAGGACTGACTTTCCTTATAACAATGCACTTGCATTTTATGTTTCCAAATCATATGATCTCTGAAGAATGTTTGAAATGATAAAGCTGTATGTTTTGTGTATAATGCACCCTGCCTCTGACTTTGCCATTTTTAAGGTTCATACCATTGTTATTCCCATCACAAAAAAAAAAAAAAAAAAATCAGGAAGGCGTGTGAAGATTGAACAAAAAACCAGATACTTCTTTCGTACAATTCTGTATTCATGTGTAGAAAAACACTGGGAGTCTGGAGTCAAGCTTTCTGACAGAGTTGAATGCACCCTCCAAACAACTGTCTGGAAGCATGTGCTCCCAGCTTCAGTCTTGTGTAAGATGTTGTGTCTGTGGTGCACAGCTTGTTCTGCCTTTGTGCTTCTTGCTTCTTGCTTCTTGCTTTAGGGACTCGAGCAGTTAATCCCGGACAACTACCTGGGGTTTTCACAGAATCACTGTACTTTCAGTGTAGACATATTTCCAATTTCAGAAATCACACAGTGGCCAGGCAATTATAACTCCTTCCCTTCACCCTTACATATTTTGGCTATTCAAAAAAGATAAATACTTCTTGGATTCCATGAAGAGACCAGATCACATGCTCATGTTCTATGAGTAAAGCTGGTAAGGTGTTGTGGACCCAAAGAGTTTCTGGAGGCAGAGAAAGACATGTCTTATCCAAGGGAAGGAAGACAATGCAATCTAGACAACACCTCAAAGTTTGTGCTAAATTTGGCAAAATGTCAGTGGTCCCAAGACCTCAAGGACTTGGTACACAGTCCTTCTTAAGTTCCCAACATCTAGGCATAGAGGTCATTTGGAACAATACTCAAGTATAGACCATCAATTGTTGTAGTGCCCGCCTTGTGTGCTAAGAGCCTTGCTCAGTGCTCTGGTTCTGAGCCAGTAGCAGAGGACCACCCTCCACCCCTCCCACCCCTACCTTTCTTTTTTTTTTAATTTTTATTATTATTATACTTTAAGTTTTAGGGTTGAGGAGCTTCTGTTTTAGTTGGAGAGACAAGATTTTTATGTGAAAATTTTAAGAGAGTGGCAGCGGAGAGAATTTGTCCAAAGTATAGTATTGACTGTGATAGAGACACAGGCAAAGGAGATGGGAGTGCAGAGACAAAGTTTACAAAAGCAGCATGTGGTAATAGGTAAGGAGGAGGATGGAGCAGAATTATAACAACAGTATGGTGTAATTGTAGTAATTTCAGTGTATGGAGTCCCTCTTTAGTATGTCACAGGCACTGTTGCTAATCCCATTACATGGGCAATCTCTAACTCTTACAACACATGCAGAGCCAGTGTTAGCCCATTTCACAGATGAAGAAACAAATTCTATGAGAGGGTAAATGAACTTGCCAAGACCTCCAGCTAGAGGGTGTGGCACTGGGATGAGAATATAAAGGTCACTATACCCAGTGCCCCCTATTTGTCAGATAGTCTTCCCAGTGGTTTTGAAAGCAGGTCTAGGGACCACAAGGAAGCTGAGCTGTTTGCATCTTTGAGTTACCCAGGAGCCCTTGTGGTCCTGCCCACAGAAGAGCACAGTATGAGTGTCTAAGGCTGTTTAAAAGGGCATGCAGGTGAGGTGAGGGAAACGGACCTTGCTCTCACCATGGAAACCAATGTTCTCGCTTAGAGCAGTCACCTCATTCTCTCTCCCACAGATTCAAAAACCATCCTTGAATATTCCAGATTGCACACTGCAGAACTTCCTGCAGGGGCAAAGGTAGTGTGGAATTTTTATGGTGGATTGTTCTAAGTCATCTTTGGGTAAGTAGCAGGTGTCTTCTAGTGGTATAACAGAGTCATTTTTCCAACTGAAGCACAAATGCCAAAAAGCCCTCAGCAATGCATCAGAAAGTGTACTCTGACCTGCTGCCATCCTGAAACGCCTGTGGTTCTTGGACCGGAATGTGCCCTTTACCTCTCTTGGATTCTCTGGGCATCAAGCTAGTAGGTCACCTTCCTCAGCCCAATTTTCACTGTTACTCAAGATTTGGCCTTCCATAAGGAACCTTCCCAGGCTGGTTACTTCTGAGTGACTTGCCTCTCTTTCCTGCATGCCTGTGTTTCCTTGTCTGACTCTAGTCCTCAGGGCTCAAAGACCAGTGCTAGAGGCTCATTCTGACTCTCCTGGTATCTCCAGAGCCTTGCCTCAAGATATGAGATGAGCAGTATGCAGTGATTTGCTTGGTGAACACACCTGTTTGTAATCCCTAGTGCTGTCATTTCTTGACATAGACAATTTATGTGTTTTTCCTTCTCCTCTATAAAGTAAAATTTGGGCATATGGCCAGAAAAACTTGAGTTCCAAACCTGGCCCTACTGCTTCCTAGTTAGATGATCTTGGACAAGTTAGTTAACCCATCTGAGACTCAGTTTCCTCATCTCTAAAATGGGGATACAGAGATCTACCTTGTAAAATAGTTGTCAGGGCACTTAGCCCAGTTTGGGGCATGTAAAATGCACTAAATATACAATGACTAATTATTGATCACTTGAACAGTTAGTTTAGTGTCTGAGATTTGGTGAATTTTTTTTTTTCTGATCTCTTAGAAATCCAATAGCTTTGTTCATATCTTTTCTCAGCTCAAACTGTTATCCGTTCCTCTGTTTCTCAGTCTCTCTCTGCCTCTCTCTCCTTGTGTGGATATGCACCTGTGTGTAAATATCATATATAAATGTAAATGCACATGCATACACACGCATTTGGCTTGACTTGTTTGTAAAAAGACATGCTTTTTTTCACTAGTCTATGGATGTCTTTGAAGCCAGAGCTCCATCTCATTCATCTCAAAGGCCCTGGCACTTAGTGCAGGGCCAGCTCAGAGTAAAGGTCAGCAATATTTGCTATCTAAGTAAATAAACAAGCCTGTCTCCATGTGCTAGTGCCAGAGGTGTGGGAGGTTCTGGTCTCTGGAGGGAGAGCTTATGTGGTGTGATCTGGGTTGTAAGGAAAGATCTCCTGCCCAGTTCATACTTTCCTCCAAGCCCTGCTACCTGAGAAAACAGAAAGGCATACTTTTTTGTTTAAGGTATTGACAAGTTTTGTGATAATACATGTTTATATGGAATGGGGTAACTGAAGCTATGATATTCAAATAACAGCTTGAAATCGATGATTGTTTTATTAGCTGTTATCTAACCCATGACTAATTGGACCCTGTGGAAATGGTTCCCTGGGAAAGACAGGTTTTGAGGGTAGACCATGGGGAGGCCTGAGCTGGGGAAGAGCACTGAGCTGAAGATCCTGGCACTGTGTAGGACAGAGGATCATGCTCTGAGATTTGGGAAAGAAACAAGCAGTAGGCCAGAGGGAGTATTGGTCAGAGGAGAATGGTTAGAATGAGAGTTAGCCCTTCCAGACATGCACTAGGTCCTGTTCTCTAGCCTTTTCAGCCAATTACTATTTCTCAGCCTCCTGTTAT
The DNA here is from genome assembly GCF_000001405.40 of Homo sapiens. Taxonomy (NCBI): domain Eukaryota; kingdom Metazoa; phylum Chordata; class Mammalia; order Primates; family Hominidae; genus Homo; species Homo sapiens. The sequence continues at coordinate 139,941,432 of NC_000003.12, forward strand.
TCTCTGTGAGGGGAACAAAAAGATAAAAGCAAGTTCCAATTATCAAAGAGTTCACACTCTGTCTAGGGCAAACACTGCACATCACACATCACACAAACTATTGCAGAACTTGGTGACTTATGGGAAAATCATAGATTGTGCATCACAGACCCCCCGAAGCCTTGCAGGAAAGGAAGAAGTTGGCAACAATAGAGGTCAGGAAAGACTTATGGAGAAAGTAAAAGGGATGTTGATGGGTGGGTAGGCATTGGGTAAGCATATGTCAGGGGCAGGGGTTTGCACTGGACAGGTAAATACAAGGTGGTAAGAGTGATTGGCACACAGGCACGAGTGAAGAGGGAGCTCAGCCAGGTCAAATATTATTTCTGCATCAGATTCCAGAGCTAATAAAACAGTGAATGTTTATTGAGTTCATACTATGTGCCAAGCACTATCTTGAAGCACTTCACATATGTCGGTTGGTTTGATCCTCGTACCAACCCTATGAAGGAGGTAAATCTACAATCTTATTTTTACAGAGGAGTAAACTGAGTCACTGAGAAGTGAGGTAACTTGCCCAAAGTCTCAGAGCTCAGAGGTGGTAAAACTGGGGTTACAAACTCAGAATACACTGGTAGGCATGGGTTCCCCTCTTCACACAGGCTTACCTATTCAGAATGATGTGATGTCTGCTTGAGGAAGGCTCTGAGTGAGGTCAGAGAGGCTCTGCTGCCCTGGAAGGCATTGCCTTGCTGTCCAAGAATATTTGCTTGGATTTTACTTCAAAATTGCTGAAAGAATCGGTTTCCCTGAAAGCCTCACTCTCTGACTCACTTCTCCAAGTGAGCAATACCTGTTTCTTCTCATCCAGACAGCTTGAAGCCCTCCTCACCTCCTGTCATGCTTGGCCTCAAGCAGAGGAGGCAGCCTTCTGCACTGTATAGTCCCAGATGTGTTTGGAGGGGTCTCCTGCACCAGAAAGACTATCCCAGCTGGCTGGCCTTTGTACCGACAGTTCTCCTGATTCGGTTATTCATTTGGGTTAAATATTGCCCTCTTCTGACTCCGTTTTAGGCCAGGATACATACTTTTAAACATATTAGGTGGCTAGATAACAAAGTGGATAAGAAGGGGATGTTGAGAGGTGTGCATGGCAAGGGCGGGAGGAGATCATATAGGAATAGCAGATAACCAGACTGTTGATCGGGCTGCCTTTTCTTCCACTCTCACGGCAGGATTTTATATATGCCCATTGTATTGTTCTCAGATACCCCTCTTACACATTGGTAAATGCACATTACAGGGCATATAGCAGCAGATCAAAAATCAGGACAAGGGGTCAGACTGTGTGCAGTTGATTGCAATCCAGCACCAGCGAGCCAGTGTGGTGAGCTAGGTGACATCTTGGACCATGGCCACTTGAAGCCCATTTCTTTCACTACTGAGCAGTTTTCTAACTCTAAGGACAGGCAACTTATTTCCAATACTTTCTCAGGATCTTGCTTGTCTCCAGCTCAAGACCCTCTACTCATATCAGTCCTCCCCAGAGATTGGCCAGAGATGCCCCTGATCAATACTTTTTTTCCCTAGCTCACTTTGAGCCTCCTACCCCACCCAAGGCTCACTCAGTATCTGTTTCCTTTAGGATGCCGCAGCCCCATATGTCCCAAACTAAGCTCTCATTTTTCCTCCAAGAATCTACTGCTTCTGCTGTGGCCTCTGGGTGAAAGGTACATCATCCATACATTCACCCAAGCCAGAGCCCCCAAGAGTCCTCCAGCATGCTTGTCTCTCCACAAATATCACAACCCATCCTTCCTCATGTCTGGTTGATCCTATCATCACCATCTAGAACCTCTCCTCAATTCCCATTGCTTCTGCCTTGTTTAGCATCTTGTGCAAATGAAAGCACTAAATTCTAATTTTGACCCCCTCTCCAACCCTCCCATTATGCTGCTGTCAAGGTGGCAGCATGTATGCCAGTCCCACCAGGCCTGCAAGAAACTCCATCTCAGTCATGAATTCTATCTTTCACCCTCCACGCTAAGGTCTGTAAGGTTTTTAAGAATAGCTTAACACTCTGGAATTGCCTCAGATTTCCCTCCCTCACAGGTTATTACTGCTTGTGATGCCCATTGTCCAAACAGCATGGTGCCTTGAGATCCTGGGGTGTCTACTTCCACAGGCAACAGACGATACCACCAGCACCTAGAATCTAATATTCATGCCACATTCTGTAGTCACTTCCCCAGGGGTGCTATCACCATCTGGGGATGGGAGCTGGAACAGGCTACCGGTTCCCATCCCAAAGGAAATCAGCTCGTCTCAGTTTTAGGGTGGGTACACAAAAGCCACCCACCTCCAACCTCTCCCATCCCAACCATAACCTCAGTTAGGGGCTCAGGCATTCACAGAGCAAAGGCCAGGACTGGAGGTATCTTCAGAGAACTTCTGCCTTCATCCTTACAACCCAAACCTCCTTCTTAGAACAGGCAGCCATACCCCTTCTGATAAACCTGTCCAGGGAAGCCCCAGACCTCCCAAAATAGATCCCAAACTCTCCAGCCTGGCGTAAAAGTCTACGATTTTGCCCATCTGGCCTTCTCTCCTGTCAGTGAACTTTCTAGAAATTTCCAAATAGTTAATGCTTTCATCTTTCAAGAACTTACTATGCACCAAGCACTATTCTGACTGCTTTATAGATATTAACTCATTCAGCCTTCCTGACCACCAAGTGAGATGTGCACTCTTATTATCCCCTTTACAGATGAGGAAACTGAGGCAAGGAAGGTTAAGCTACTTATCCAGTTTACCCAAGTAGTAAAACAGCAGAACTGGGATTTAAATCTAGAAAGTCTAGTTTCAGAGTCCCCCCTTTTATCCAGCCCTGGATGCAAAGTGGAGCCACTTGAGAGAGATTTAAAATAACACCAATGCCCAGAACCCATCCCAGAGATTTTGTTGTAATTGCTCAGGGACAGCACCTGGGAATCTATGTGAAGCTCTCCAGTATTTCTGGTGCCCAGCCAAGACTGAGAACCACTCCAGCAAACTCTACTGCTTCTGCCAACTAAGTGGTACTTCCAGGTGGGGGCTGTGCTCCTCTGTCTTTCACCCACCAGTCCTTTATTTTCTCTGTCAAAGCTCCCATTGCCACCTGTCTCCCAGGGTGGCTGTGAGCCCTTGGAGGGGGAAGTGCCCTGCTCACCTCTGTATGACTGTTGCCCAGCACTGTCCAAGGCCCAGAGCAAATGCTGAGTGTTGAGGGGGTGACTGGTGCTAGGGCGCTGCTGCCCACGCTGGCTGCAAATCCTGCAGGGCTCTGTGCCCATGTACCTTCTCCCGTCAGCACTGCTTCCTTCCTTTGGTCATGGGGAGGAGCTGCCCATCAGGCCTTTCCCTTTTAGTTATTTGACTATCTGCCCAAACCAACTTGCAGCATTTGCTCCGTAGTGGTTTAAAATACTCGCTTCCGCACATGCGTCAAGAGAACATTAACCACCTTGAAATGTATTAAACAGTCAGGCCGGCAGATACCAGTGGAATTCTCATTCAGAAAGGCTGTCGGTGTTTTTCTCATTGCTTCTGAGAATGCTTAATTGGCTAACATTTGACTTATTTCTATGGAATCACTGCATCAAATTGTCATGTGAAAATTGCCAGTTAAAAAAAAAGACATCATTTTTGTGACTTCAGCCACTTTGCATCTCTATGATGTCTGCTGTATTATATAGTTAGGTAAAACTTTGGAGTCTTAATCAAGTCTGACTAGAAAACCACTGTGGAGTATCAAAGAAAGGTCATGGTCTCGGACTCATGTGACCTAGATCCACTGATGAGTTGTGAGGTTCAGGGCAAATCACTCAGCCCCTCTGGGTGTGAGTCTCTATCACATGCAGAAAGGACACAATGGCACCTCCTCTACCCAAGAAAGTTCTAAGTATTCAAATGGAAGTGGCTCTGTATGCCTTTTGAAAGGATAAAGCGCTTACAAAAACAAGGTGATCATATTTAAGAAATCTTCGAGGCTTAAACCCCAAAACAAAACTCTACGTCTTTCTTTCTTTATACTGTCTTATTAATTTAGTTAATTATATTTTCAGGAGAAGTTTGAATTTAGTGTGAGTCTCTTCCCAGTTCTTTGATGTGTAGCCTGCATGTGTCACACAGCTGGTAGTCACCATGGTTACACAAAAAATGCAGCAGTTGCAGGCCCATAAATTTTCAGGAAGAACCAGTCAAAACTGTTAATATTATGTCAAGTTGATGTGTTGTTTTCCAATTTGCGTGGATAACTGCATTGCAGCAGATTAATTAAAACAGATAAATGTTAATCTAATGCATGTCTCCTTGTAATTAATGAAATATAACCATTACAGAGGTGTTTGATTTATTATTTTAATATATAAAATGCTGAATTCTCCTATAAAGTTAGTTATAGTAATAGGAAAAGCTGACCCATATATAGCATTAAGAAAAATAATCACATTTCTATAAATTAATCACTCTCTAAAAGCATATAGTTCATTAACACTATGAACTGAAAGTGTTGGATGTAAATTAGATTAACCTTTTTAGTGACACTTCCATTTATATTGCACATTCTCTTCAAACTAAAAGCACTTTACATATATTAATTCAATTAACCCTCCCTAGACCCTTGTTAAGTAAGTACATATATCAAAGTTGGAAGGGAGGAGAAATGAAACCCTTCAAAAATACTGAAATCCTGCCCTTAGGATGTATGATTTATGATTTCCTCTGCAGCAATACAGTTTATCCAGATTTATATGGCTTGAGAACATGGGTACATATCCATGCTTTCTCTCTCATGCTGCCAAGAAACCCTTAACATGTCACTTCATGCCTGAAGCTGGAGATGCTTCTGCCTGAAGCTTAGGCCAGATGCTGTAAGGAAATTTCTGTTTTATTTAATAAAAGGTACCCCAGCAACTCTGGGTTTGGTGGTAGACAGGGCATGTCCAAGTGGGTATGGGTGGCCAGACCTTAGTGCCCCATTCAACAACCAGAGGGCCATTGTCCCTTGGTCTTGCTGCTACTCCACCTCTACCCTTTTCACTTGATCATCTGGAGGCTCAGGTCAGACTGCAGCTCTTGAACAAGACCTTGGGATGCTACTGGGAGGAGAAACAAGGATCTGCAGGGAGGTAGGGATGGGCATCAATCTTCCTTAGCTGGGGTCCCTCCTCAGACCTGCCTTGGTGAGGGGCAGAGGCTGCTGCTCCCTCACCTGCTGAGATGGAGGGCAAGGATCAGCCAGAAGAAGACTTCATTCTCCATCCTGCCTAAAAGCCTGTTTCTCAAGGAAAGTTTCCTGAGTGAGGATCTGGGTCTTCTGCTGTAGTGTGTCACTAGGAGTGCCCCATCTTTTATGAGGCCATGCCTCTTTGGAGCACTTACCATTATTGCTCAGGCTTCCTGGAGATAACTATGCACCCAGAGAGAAGAAAAGGATGGAAGCAGTCTTGCATTATAAGAACTAGAAGACTCAAGGCAGAGACTACAAACATTTCCTTAGTTTCATTGAATATGTGTTTGGTGACTTGAGGTTCTGAATGTTCATTTTTCCAACTCTTTCTGCTCCTTAAAGTTCTGAAATGCACAAGCACTCTCCTAGGGGCAGTGTCACACTATATTCCACAAACCAGTCTTCTTTGAAATGGAGTGCATCTCAGATAACAGCCTACCTTTTAGCTGATGGTTCCAAACCTACCAAGGGCAATGGCTAACCCAAAGGAGTGAATCACTAATGATAAAGCATGAAATCTAGTGTAGAAAAAACATTTTGGAGTGTTTGGATTCTTCTCCCTGACTCTGCAGTTAGAAAATAACCTACTCTTGTCCTCCCAGCCAACATGCAAGGACAGTTTAAGCCCACAGTCCTAGAATCTCACCACATTGTACTCTGCCAATACTTATTGGTGCACATCTCTTTGCTGCAAATTGCCCTAGCTTCTCTCCTCTAAGTAGTGCCTCACAGGGATTAATAATCAGGACTTAAAGCCAAGAACTAAAATGTTATCATTCAGGAAACTCACAAAGATGCTGGAGAGTGAGAAAAAATATTCACTTTTCAGTTCATGATATTTTAAGAGTTTTCTTTTTTCTATGATGCTTTTATTTGTGGGAGAATGGACCATCATTTGGAGTAGGAAAGAAAGCTAAAATTACTCACAATGAGAGTAAAAAGAATGTCATAGCTAAGACCCCGATTTCACCTTCCTAGATTTATTTTTGTTGTTGTTTTTTCTCCCAAAGGAAAACCAATTATTTTGACTTTATTGTGCTATCATCAGAAATGTCAAGATGGCTGTATCTTGCTTAATTATTAATGTTAGAATTATATTTAAGACTTTTTAGTAATTTACTGTGATTTTAATTAGAAGTCATAAATAAAGCATTTTTATTGCACTTGCATTTTTTTTTTCCTTTTTTAACAACTCCTGCCTCCTTTCCATGCCAATCTTCCAGAAATTAAATTCCAGTCTTCCTAGGGAGAAGGAACTCAAGTCAGGGACCAGCCAAGAATCTTCTTAAAACCATAGCTTTTCCTTCAGTTTTGCTTTTTAAATATTCCACTACTACTTTGTCCCAATGGCCACAGCAACAGAAGAGGAGAACAAACAGAATCATCACATTAGCCTTTAGCACTCCTCTTGTCTCACTCTTCCCTTATCTTGCCCTCACCCCTCCAGGATCTTTCTCTGCTTGTCCTTGGTAGCATCAAGGACTGCTTTTGAAGGTAGGGTTTGGCTGCTCCCTGGAAGCCACTCCTTAAAATACTACCCATAATGGAGAGAATCATCATCACCCTAGCTTTACAATTTGTGTTTTCTCAATTCAATGGAAAATGTGAGCAAAAGCATCTTTAGAAAATATTGCTACTTTTTGGGCATGGTGGTGGGTGCCTGTAATCCCAGCTACTCAGGAGAGTGAGGCAGGAGAATCACTTGAATCTGGGAGGCAGAGGTTGCAGTGAGCCAAGATAGCGCCATTGCACTCCGGCTTGGGTGACAGAGCGACTCCATCTCAAGAAAAAAAAAAGCAAAGAAAAAAAAATTGTTACTTTTATTGATCAGAACCAGCCAACCTTGCTAAAGACCAAGGGCTTGCTATGAGCCACCATTTCAAAACAAGTCACCTGTTCTTATATAGGAGGCCATTTGATTGGAAGTGTGAATGAGGTGACTTGCTTTGAAGTGGTGGCTCATAGCAAGTCCTCTGTCTTTAGTACAGTGCTTTTACTCACATTTTCCACTAGCTTGTGGACTGATCTCTCTTTCATCCAGTTCTACACAGCCCTTGGTGGATCTTCCAGATACACACACACAGTCACTCCTGCTCAAAATTCCTCATGTGACTTCACCACTTTCATGATACAGTCCACATTCCTTGGCTTGTCTTAAAAGGCCCTTAGTTGGTGCCTACCTGTTCCTGGGCTAGAAATGAAGCTCTCTGTAAGCACAGCCCAGCACCTAGCCCAGTGTTGGAGTGAGCAAATGAGGGAACCCTCTCCACACTTGCCCCTCTCACTTCAGCCCCATCTGCAGGACGACCCAGTTTTCTGCCTGGAGGAGTTTTCCTGTGTTCTGTCTGCTGTGCACACTGCTCTGTCTCCTCCTATGCTTTGTCCTGCCTGGCAGCCTGGAAGGCCTCCCCCACGCTGTCAGCATTTCTGGGAATCCCCTGGGGCACTCCCCTCCCTTCATTATGTGGCTCCCATATAGAACTCCACAGTGACACTACTCAATTGCATTGTCATTGCTCACCTATCTGCGCCTCACTAGATTGCGTTCCTTCTTCCCAGGTTCTCAGACTCGGTCTAACGCTATGGATGAAGTAGGTGGATGAATGATGGATGGAGCTCCCTGGAACCCAGCTCTTTGCCTTGTGGGGGAATGTAAGGCTGGTGTGTGGAGTTTTCCTTGTCTAATCTTTCTCCTTCATTCCCTGGGATCCCCAGTGTTCATCTCCTCAGTACACACACATAAGGGCTGGCAGAGCAGGAGGATTAGGAGAGGTCAACATCCCAGGAAGGGCCCTACTGGTTATTGCTGGCATGAGCTGATACATTCAAGATGGGGAGATAGAGCCCAGCTGGGGTTAGGGACCTTTTGGGTATAAGTTATGGCTGGGGAGCGGAAGCTAGATAGCCCAGGGTCATGAGCCTCTGCAGCAATTTCCAGAGTGTGCACCCTTCCTGGATAATTAATGTAAATTACCTTTGCTATCAGTGAATTAGCATAGACATAAGGCCCCACTTTGCTCCATAGCATTGGATACCAAACACGTGGGAGAATATCTTCTGTCACGCACTGATGAGAATTTGGTTGTAACCATCAGCTGCTGCAGGTGGATCTGACACTTTCCTATGTCATTCCTTGGGTCCTCCTTGCTCCTATCAGCATTCCCTTAAACCCTAGACTGTACAAGTTTTAAGTGGATAAAGCATGCTCCATTTTCCAAACAGGTCATTAAAAACAATTTGCAATTTGTGATATCAGATGCATGTGTGTGTAGAGGCAAGAAGGAAGTTTTTAATTGGAAAAGCTTTGTCTTCAATTAAAGTGGGATGCTGAATGTGATGAGGCCTGTGGAGTTCTGAGCCTACAGCTAGGGAGGCAGGGCAGCAGGAAGAGGGGCCAACCTTTGGCTGTGCTGAGATTTCCAGGTTGTGTATGTAGTCCACAAAATGAACAAACGGGAGTCTCTCTGAAGACAGAAAATTTACTTTTTGCTGGGATTCCCTTATGGGAATCCATAAGGATAGGCTGGTTTGGTTCTGAGTGATAAAGCTTTGGCACTCTACATGGGGAAATACCATCTTCCTCAACCAAACCAAAATCCTGAGCTTTTGAGGCTGGTGTTGAGAGGGTCACCTTCTGAGGGACAGTCCCCAGGCACATGGATGAGAGCTAGGTTGCTAACAGCCCTGATTCTCTTCTTGAAATTCCCTTTCTTCTAGGGGTAGAGGTTTTTCTCCAAATAATGCTGCCACTCCCTACATGGGCTGAGGTTGAGCCAAGATAGAATAGACCATTTTTTCTGTAACTCTGGCTCTAGTGGAAATAACAATTCCCTTTAGATATCAAGGCTTGAACTTGGACCAAACAGGATTTTACTAAAGTTTCAGGATGGATAACGGAAATAAACATAAAGAATCATGAACTTTCAACCGTATCAGAACCAATGGTCCCTTTTAACAACACATATTTTGTAGTGCCCCCATTATTATTTCTGAAATGAAAGGTACTGATACTGTTATGCATTTATATAATTTAACAAATCAATATAATGTCTTCACTGAATACAAAGAAATTAGAAGTTAAATAATGTATAATAAAATGATATGTATTTCAACAAATGCTTGGGCCCAACCATACAAAAGGAAGTAGTGAATTAGATGCTTGTTGTCAGTTCGCAGCAACACCACGTGAATCACTGTGAATTCAACAGCTTACAGATGCAAACAGATCTGTGTGTGTTGTATTGGTGATTCAGATGTCATGGACATATTGTGGCGATGTGACTTTTTTAAATGCTGAAAGACTTCTGGCAATATTTTGAATAAGACAAAGCATTCTTTGGCCTCAATTCATAGGATGGTTGTATTCCTGGAAAGCTCAGGGTTTATCAAAGCTACACAGAGAATATCCAGCTGACTCACTTTAATGCCACTGGTACAGGGAAGAGAACTGTGGGGCTCTAGATGGTATGCTGGGGGCCATTCAAGCAGAGTGGTGCCTGGATCACCCCTCCACCACACATGCACTCACCATTTCCTGGTTCTAAGAGGTACCCAAGAAGTATCTCATATGTGCTTACAGGCCGAAATTGCCTTAAAGGGTAGACAATTTCTAGAACAGTAAATAGGTCTTTCTAAAGACATTTTTGGGGAAAAGAGGAAAATGTCACCAGCTGGTGGTCAACTGAAAGAGGCCAGGATTTCACAAGGAGATCTTCTGGAGAATAGGGTCTCCCTGGTGGGGGATGCTGGAAGACCACTTGGGGAGCCCATAGATCATGTGCGAGAACATCATTTAGACCAAGCAAAAGGAGAATCACTGCTTTGCCAGTTAAGCATGGGGACATCTTGTGGTCTTTCCCATTGCCTGCTTCTCTACCTGACACAGAAGCACTGTTAGGGGGTGTGCGGGGAGACCACACTGGGCCCAGAGACAATGACCTTTGGATCAGATATAAGATTGAAGTTTAAAAGTGAACTGGACTAAGTCTTCTTAACAAAAAAGAAATGAAAAGCTATGAATTGGGCTGGAATATCTTTAAGGCAGCTGCCACCCTTTGGGAAAGAGGAGCTTGACAAATCATGGTAGGGAGCAAAAATAACATCATTTGATGTTTATAGTCCAGTGGATTAGACTCCAGCAAACTGGCTAGAGTGTTTATTAAGGTCAATACTGATATTTCAGAGATAAAATGCTATTCTCTTGGATAAAAATTATTCCTTAATTTTCTCGTGGATAATTTATAGAGGTGAGGGTTTTTATTTTGTTTTTGTTTTAATCCCTACATGGCTCTTTCTTTTTCCCCCTCCTCACATAAGCTTGAAGTGTTTCTAAGAGAGAGGCTGGATTGCCTAAGAGAGTTTCAGCAACTTTGAGATGAAAATGCATTTTAATATTTTGATTTAATGGGGAATGGTATAGCCCCTTAATAAGTAGTTCAGTGACATTTGGTAGTTCTGTAATATTTGACTTGGACTTGAGTTTATAAAAATTTCAGCCCAACAGTAACTTCAGGGCACTAAGGGATGTATGTATTTCTGAAATGAGAAGACCTGGTTGACATTCTGATTCTAAAATCAACACCATTCCTTATGCGTCACCATATTTTCGATTATAATGGATGATGGGCTATGAATTTTAAAAACAGCTTCTCTGCAAGCTCCTGCACAGACCCAGCTTGTGCAATAAAAAGAAGAGCTTGGGAGAGAGAGGAGTGTCCTCATGCCCACTCTTCTGACTTGACTTACTAAAATGCTTCCTTCTCCGAGACTGCTTTGGTTTTTTGCCCCTACATTGGTTCCTTGGGAATTTTTTAGAACGTGGAATCTTTTCTAACTTTGTGGGGAATTTTTATCCTGATTTGCTGAAATGGTTGAGCTTAGGAAAGGTAAAGTCCTGTCAGTAAAAACCTGAGATTTTATGAAATACCTATGACAGCCAGACAAAAGTATTTCTAAAAAAAAATTGGGGGAGCAAAACGGATGCCTAGGGCATGGTGTTCTTGCATCTCTTTGCCATTTCAGGATAAATTCAGGCCTTTGCTACCTGTTCGTTTCCCATTTCACCGTCGTCTCACCTTCCAAGTAGAAAATACCCTAAATGGATTATATTAAGGTCCCAACATGTCATTCCTAGGCAGTGATTAAGGTCGGGGTTATTCTCAGGGAGCCCCAGGATGCAATGGTTTTGTGGGTACTGGGCTTACGTTTGTTTTTACCAGGAGGTTCAGAAACAGACCTCCCTTCACCAAGGGTGGTCACAAAATCAGGTCTGAAACGGCCCCATATTCTACCCATAGCCAGCTCAGAATGGGGAAGGGCCAGCCCTACCCGCTACCCCACTGTGCTGAACTGGAGGAGTAGAATGGTTGTTGAGTTAGGTGGGACCTGCTAATAGTGGCTTAGAATTTGGGGCTTCCTCCCCAGAGGGAATGTGAGCTTTGGGTTCAACCTCATAGCTGGCCTTGATACCTTCTAGGAAATGCCTTTCATCAGGCTCAATAAGGTACAGGTTGAATAGAGACTAGATAGTCTCTATCATATGGGCAGGGCATATCTGGTACAACCACCCTCTATGCCCACACAGATCCTCTCCCCTACAGGATTGAGAAACTACCTATTGGGTACTCTGTTTATTACCTGGGTGATAAAACAATCTGTACACCACACCCCTGTGACACGCAATTTACTCATGTAACAAACCCAACATGTTCCCCCTGAACCTCTAGGGAAGAGGGTATTTGCAGGCATAGAGGGTGGTTGTAGCTGTCAGTGCTGTGCCTGTATCCCCTCTGCTCATGCCTTTTTCGTGCAGGTAGGCCTGACTTCCAGCAGCACCTGTGGTCTCTCCCTGGCCCCTAGACCCCTCTGTGCTTGCCAAGTGTGGCAGGTCAGTAGTCAGAGGGAATTAATGCCTTTGGGAACTGTCCTTACCAATGACTCACAGGCATTGATGGAGCAGCATTCCAACTCCCCCTTCCCTCTCCCTCAGGTGGGAGGATGACTGAGGTATTTTACCCAGTGTCTGGGCATCTCCAAGAGGATTAAGCTCCAGTTTTGCCCACACTGGTAACTTGCTTCTAGCCTTTACTGGCTTTCTTCCCTTCCTGAGTCACTTCTCCACTCCCCTACTGGTATTTCCTGAGACCACCTCCTACACACACACCTTTGCTCAAATCCTTGCCTCAGGGCCTGCTTTTGATGGAGCTCAAACTAAGAGGGAACAAACAAGAGAAGGGCTCTGTGTGTGTGTGTTTGTGTGTGTGTGTGTGTGTGTGTTTGTGTTGGCTTTTTTCCCCTTCTAACTTTTATTTTGGGTTCAGGGGGAACATGTTGGGTTTGTTATATGGGTAAATTGCATGTCACAGGGGTTTGGTATATAAATTGTTTCGTCACCCAGGTAATAAGCAGAGTACCTGATAGGTAGTTTCTTGATCTTCATCCCCCTCCAACCCTCCATCCTCAAGTTGGTCCCTGTTGTTTCCTAAGAGAAAATATTTTGTAGTAGAGTACTTGACACTCTTCTGCATCTACCTATACAGTAAATCTATTTCAGGCTATCAATTCTGGGATTCCTTTGGGCATCCAGTCAGACTTGCTGGCCAGCTGTGAGGTTTGTGGGGCATTTGGAGAATACTGTGTAGTCATTGAACTCTCAGCGCTTGTGTGCAGCACTTAAACTTGTCTTCACATCCATCTGGGGCTAGGAGACTTTGCTAGAGTAAGCTGTGCTGTGTTCTGCAGCTGAGGCAGGCACTGAGCCTGGCAGTGGTGGTGATTTTTCCTCTGGGCTCAGGACTCTGAAGGCTCCTTGAGGGCAGGGTTGCCCTAGCTCTTTTCCCAAGATCTAGGGTATGGCAGTCACCTACCCTTTGGAGGTGAAATGACTTGAATTAAGTTGAGTGCCTGCAGCCTACATAACCCAAGTGTCTGGGGGAACATCTGGCACCTCTGATCACAGCCAGATTTCTCGAGTGTCTATTTTCAGTATTTTCCCAGAGCACCTATAAGTGGATTTGCAAAGCACTTACCTCTGTCTTCACCACTTCCTTTGATGGTGTGGAACAGCTGGCAGAACTAAAAATCCTTCCCCTGTATCCACCATAGCTTGTGCATAGGTCTAAATTACTACGGCATTTCAGGTATTTCAGGTAAGACAATGAAAAATCTGATTGATACAAATTCTGCGTTTCTCTAAGAGACTTAGTGCACCGAGCCATTGTCAGCTGAGCAGTTTGATGTGAATTAGTCCATTAGTTTAGACACATGGCCCAGCTTAAATGGATGGGATTTAGTATCTTTTACTTTTTTGACAGCCAAATAACTTTATTTCAGTGAGGAGAGTGTTAGCATATATAACATATATATTAAATATAGCATATATGTTGCTATATATACACACATATATACACATACATGTATATATGGCAATATTGCTATATATATATATATATATATATATATGGCAATTCCAGTCACTGAAATATAACATCTGATTTATTTGAAAAGTTCTCTTAATTCTGGGTGGCTGACCCGTGCATTGTGTGTGAATAGTGTATGAATCCTCACAATGCCACTGAGAAGCTACAGGATGTTGGATAAATTGCATAACTCCTCTGTGACTCAGATTTCTCATCTCTAAAATGGGTATATTAAACTCTGGCTCAAGAGGCTGTTGTAAAGATGCAGTAAGCCTGAGGATATAAAAACCTGGCATACAAGAGGCTGGTGTTTAGGTTATCCATTGCTGCCTAACAAACCCCTGCACAACTTAGCGAAACAGTGACCATTTGATTATGCTCACAGGTCCTGTGGCTCGGGCATTTAGACATGGGGTTATAGTTTATCCCTGCTCTACGATTTCTGTTGCCTTGAATAACTGGTGGTTGGGATCATCTGGAGGTGTCTTCGGGCCGGGCTCATGGGCTGCTATTGGCACTCCAGTGCACAGGGACTTCTGTGGATTCAGCTGAGTCCCTCTTCGAAGTCATCTAGAGCTAGGCCCTTCTCATCTCAGATGTGCCTCTCACTAGCTGATGGCTTGCATTTTCTCCTGGATTCCTTTTGTTCCTGACCTTGACATTAGCTACAGTGGTCTCTATGCTCTGAGAGAGAAAGGATGGATAGGGGACATTCGTTTCTTGGGGAATCACAGCCCCGGAGGTGGGCAGCATGCATGGAGGGAGCTCTGGAGCAAAGATGGAGTCCCTGGAGAGGGTTAGACCCAAAGGCTGGAGAGATGTGCAGTGACAGGGGGTGGTAGGACCCTGAGGATAGTTACATATCTTCGTTAAGTTGCATTCAGCCTGCCCTACAGCTAACACTTGATGAGCACTCACCAGGAGCCAGCCTCTTCTGGAGATTCCTCATGCATCAGACTACCTGAGATTTCCCTTGTCACGACTCTGTGAGTTGGGTCTCCTGACTTCCCTATTTTCCAGTTATGGAAACTGAGTCTCAGAGAGCTTCAGAAAGTCCATAAGTAGTGGTATTAGGACGTGAACCCAGAGTTCAGAGCCTATGCTGGTCATGTTGCTTCAGTATTCAGCCTCCCACTTGGTAACATGTTCTCATATTTTGTTCTGTATTTATTGTGTATTACTCATTTTCTCTAACTCTACTTTGTACTCATTGAAGGCGAGACTGTGCCTTCTCTTATATTCTCCTCCTCTGCAGATGTGAGTACCTCAGAAGAGAAGACTAGGGCTTGACAGAGAGGCCACCATCCCTCTCAGTGGCCCAGCATGGTGGTTGTCTTGTTAGTCACCCCCGCTGGGCTTGGGTCGATGGAGAACAGAGAAGGCGTTGTTGCTCACATCCTGTTCTCCAAAGGAAATTTTGTTCTAGTTTATTGTGAAAGTATTGGTTTTGAAATTGAAACACAGAGGTCTACTAAAGGGATGTTCTGTTTGGAACAGACTCTCTTTTTTCCTGTTTTCAGGTGAAAAGCAATAACCATGAAGAAAACAGAAAGAAAGCCCTCTAAAGAATATTGTCAATGGCTCTGACAGGTTAAAGCTATTGGATAAGTGCAGAATTTACATGACAAAAACTTTGAGTGCAATGCTGATTGTCATTCACCAGTAATAGGATTCCCTGAAAAGCAAAAATATCTTAATTAAAAAAATACATAATTTATTTTTTTCTGGTATGCATCCTTTTGCCTCACCCTCACAAACTAATTAGACTGGGATATCACTTTCCCCAAACTTAACTTTACCAAGGCTGTGTCTGCTTCATCCGTAATGCATCCTCCCCTCTTTCTGGGCTTAGCAGGCTGCTTAGAGCATAGAAAGCTGCAATGAGCGTTGCCAATTTGAAAGACAGGTTTTTTGCCCTCAGACAATTTAAGTTTTGATGCAGAAACTAGCAAGCTGACAGATTAAAATATTAAATGATGATGCTGTACAGGAGGGCAACACAGACATTGAATGAGGCTGGAGTCAGGATTGGCAGAGGTGATGACAGCAGGTGATGCCTGCTCTGAGGAGGGGCCATTCATCCCTCTGGGGCTGCCCAGAGATGAGCTCTCCAGCCTCATCTCTGCCACACCTGACACTTCGAGCTCAGGAAGAAATCAGGTGATTCACCCCTCCAGGCAGCACCACTTACTCTCCCAGCAGGATCTGGGATGCCCTCATCTTCTCCCTACCCACAGCCTACATCCAGATCCCAACTGGTGCAGAGAGATCAAGTATCCTCTCAACACTAACCTTCTCTATGTCATCTTAAAATGAAGTTTCATCTTTCTCCTTCTATAATTTTGCCTCAACTCTAACCTGTATATGCCTCAAATAGAGTTTATGTAATCTTTACTTTTTTTTTTTTTATCTGAGAAGCCTGATTGGTTTATTAGATAATGAGCTATGTGAAGGTGCAGGGCTCATGTCTTAATTCATACTGGCATCCCAGCATCTGGTAACTAATTATTGACTGGCTGAATAGACAAAGGAATGAATGAAGTGATTTAATGAGATGGTCTTAGAGCATGGGGGACTTTACAGGGGTAATGAGGGTTTGAGGTTTGAAAGGGTTTCAGAGAGGGGAAATGATGTCAGCTGATGGCCCTAAGTCAGCAGAGGACATGTGCTAGTTTGGGCACAAGCTAAGACCAGCCTGTTTGCCACAAGCTGCTCTTGGAAGGCCTGGGCAGAATAGGAATCCCATGATCTTGAGCTGGAGGGGCTGGGCTAGTGCAGGAAACTTTCTTGGGCACTCACAGTCTCAGAATCGCCGGGCGATCCCCTGTGTCAAACTCATCAAAGGCAAGCACTTGTCCTTGTTTTTCTGATTCTCTTTTCCTGCTGAGTTACTGCCTGTGTGAAAGCAGCTGTGAGGCCCCCGGTTTGATATTGATCCATCCTGCAGATGAAGTCAGAGCTCAACAACACAGGGCTTAGCCAGGGTGCCTGGCTGCTTGCTCTCCTTCAAAAGGAGAAACTAGGGGCCAACTCTCATACAGGAGGCCAGTCAGAGCAAATCCCTGCTCCTGCTTGATTTGTGGCCTGGATACATTGTTGCCCCTTGGCAGGGGTACAGCCACCAGAACATTTGCCCCATTGTGATGTCTCCTATGTCTCCACAGTCATCAAACACCAAGAATATTGCTGGCCACTCTTGGGAGGGCTTATCAGCCACAAGGTGTATGTGCCCACCACTAGCCCTTGTCAGGAGGTGTGAGGTGAGTTTTGTGTGCTCATTCATTTTTAGCTTTACCTTTCTGTTGTCTGTATTTCTCCTTCCTCTGCCTCAGTGATTACTTTTCTTTTGAGGCACACCATGCATTTCTGTACAAAAGACTGAAATCCATTATAGAATTTGGTAGGACATCAAGGAATAAAATAAATTTGATTTATGTCCAGGGTGGTATAATGAACATGAAAATGTGGCTGGCCATGATGTACCAGGTGGGCTGGGGGAAGGGAGATCAACTGGGAACCTGCAGAGAAGCACACCTGGCAGCTCTGTGCTCCTTCTAAGTGGTCGGTGTGTGATTCTGTAGACTCGGGATTTGACGACAGTCTTATGCAAAGAAAACCCCACATGTCTGGAACAATAGATAGGCCGTGAAGCATTGTACCATCTGATCCTGTCTCTGCAGGTATACCATATTTCATCAATTCTAAGATGGCTTTTGAAAAATAATAACATCTCTTAAATCAGGATGAGTCTTATAATTGATGGCATCCTAGATGTGATGAAATGTGTTAAATGATAGTGTCATTCATTTGCCTGTTTGGTGTCAGATCTATTTCTACCCTTCTGTTACTTAGCTCTGTAAGGTGGGAAACTACGTCCTCCAGATGTCTTGCCAACTTGCTTATGGTGAGGAAGGGGAGGCACTGGTGGAAGACAAGAGTGAGAGGAAGAGAGAAACCAAAGTATTCCCCTGTGTCTTTCTCTACCTTGGGCAATCTCACTGTCAGTGACCACTTCTCCTCTTCTGTAGCTCTAGCTTCTGGCACACGTCTTCTGTCTCTGCTGAGCCCCCCTTGCAGAGGATGGCTGCCAAAGTTCCAGGTCTACTATGTGGTCCCACTTCCTGGGCTGTGGAGACCGTGTCTCCTTCTTTTATCCCTCCAGCTGTGGGGTGGTAGTGGCCTCCTGCCTTGCCATTTGCTGCTTAGCTTCCCATTCTCCATCACTTGGGTAACTGATTTTTCATGTTACATTTCCTCTCTTTGAGGTACATAGTGTCGTTAGTTTCTTCTTAGTTAAATCTTGACTGTTACAATGATACATAATCACCAGATTAAACAGATATCGAGGGGGCATTGTTTCTCTTTTCCACATCCACACATTCTGCAGAATCTATTCTAGTTAGGGTGACCAGTGATACATTTGATGCCAAACTCAGAGGATTCTTTGGGGTCTCTAGTATTTGACAGTGACGCTATCCCCATTTGTTGAAGTTTCCTCTTTCATTGTCTCCTGGGTGATCACCCCTTCTTTCCTTTTGCTCCTTAAATTTTCCCCACTCTCCTTGCCAGTCATCTCTTCTGCAAGTCTCTAAACTATTGGGTTCTGTAGCGTTCTAAGCTCATTCTGTGCCCTCAGCCAACCCCGCCCCCCTTTTTTTACTCTACCTGCTCACACCCATGGCTTTAAATACAACTTCTCTCTGCAGCACAGAGCTCTTTCCCAAGCTTCAGACACAGAATGTCACTATCCACAAACCACATTCTTTGGATTATCTTATCCCACAAACCAAAATGTCTTTGACTGAGCTAACCTTCTCCTCTCCCACCCCCTACCAGCTTATTCTCCTGTGTTTTCTATCTCAAACGATGGAATTGTATCCATTCTAAAATCCAGACTAGAAACATCATGGGGTTATCCTGGACTCTTCTCTCTACTTTACCTCCCAAATCCACCTGGTTTTCAAATGCTTTATTCGTGGTGTGTGTAAATGCTTAAACACCAGCTTTTAGTGGGAGAGGGAAGGGAAAGCCCTCTGATTTGTAGCATTTGCCAATTTCTTTAGTGTAAATGCTCCCATCATGACTGATTTCAAGTTACCAATGCGATATCACTGAGCATGGGTTTGGAAAGTGATGCACAATTTGTTCCTGTGAGGTGAGCCAGCTCAGCATACTATGGTGCCGTATGCATCCTCTCATTCACATCTTCTCTTTCTCACCCTGGTTCAAGCCCCCCACATTTCCCTTTCAGAGTTTTGAGATGTCTCCTCACTATATTCTCTGTCTTGACCTCCTTTGAGGCATCCCACACTAGATGTGAACTTATCAGTCCTTAATAAAAAAAGCTTTGGTGGCTTCCTATTACCTAGAAGAGTATCAAAGATGGAATCTTCCAGGCATTTTTATTCTGGAGGACATGAGCCATGCTTATCTCTCCTCCAAGGCCTAGCACTGGGTTTGAGCCACTAGTACCCACTTACTATCTGTCTTGACATTTTGCCTTCCTTTCCTTCTCTGCCTTCCATCATTTTAGCTGTTTTAAGCATTCAATCATTTCATGAGCTTGATGCACTGCGTGCTGCACCATGGAGATAGGTTCAACCATGTTAGAATATTTGCCCAGTGGGCTGTGTGATGATGACCATGATAGAAGCCAGGGGCTGACTCAGCTTCATACTTGGGGGCTGGGAGACTCTTGAGATAAGGGGGCAGGATCTCCTCAGTGTGTCAATCATTTAGAACTGCTGCAAAGACTCTCGTGAAACACATTGTTTAGAGGGTTACATCTTTGAGAAATTATTAAATAGGTCTTGAAAAACTGAAGATTATCTTGGATGTATGTTATATTAGAGAAAATGGAATCAAATGAATAGCCATCCCTTTGCCAATTTGCTAACCCTTTCATCTAGAAATCACTCACAAAAATTTACCAAATACCCGCCTTGGGCACTAGAGATACAAAACTGAGTAGGATAGCATGGAAGCTCACAGGCAAGTGAGTGACTCCAGAGTACCAGTACTTTTGTCTATTGTTCACATAGGGAAGTCAGGGAAAGGCTCCTGAAATTAGACTCAGCCAAAGTTAGTCCTTTGATCTCATTTTCTTCTTTATAAAACGGGTCCGAAGTATCACATCCCCCCACCCCCAGGGCTATTGTTTTGTTGGAGTTTTGATTCAAAAAGGAAGGTGTTTTAAGAACATGATATAGCATTATTATGAATGTGTCATCATTGTGCACGTGTTTGTGTGTCCCCTTGTATCCTTAGCTTTTTCCTAGGTATTGTGGCAAGGTGGGATGGATGTGGCAGAGGAGGCATTAAGTGAAGAAAAAGACCTCACCTCTGTCTTCAGGAAGCTCACACTTAAGGTGTAGATAGAAGCAGAGTTTGAACAAAATATGCAACAAAGTTAGGTGAAAATGAGTGATGTTGATCTGCTGGTTCTCCAGGTTGTCTGAAAGTAGAAAAAGGAACATGGGTTCACATTATAGGGTGGCACTTTGCAGAGAAGACATTTCTACATTTTCACAGGGCAAGGATTGAAGAAATGCAATCTGTTTTTTTATAAGGGCTTGCCTTTTTAAGGGACAAGAAAGATTAGCGGATTTTCTTAAATATTGTTTATTTATTTTATAATAAAATATGTTCTTTAATGAAATACTTAAAAATAGTAACAACATTTTAAATTTTGCATTAAAAGATTAAAAATGAATGATAACCCCCATTACTCAGAGATAATCCTAAAGGTATTTCAGAGATTTTTCTATGCATATTTTTACATAATTTAGTTTATACCATATTTACAATTTATATCTTAGTTTTTTTCACTTAACACTAGCACATAAGTATTTTTCCAGGTTATTAAAAACTCCTCATAAATGTTACTTTTAATGGCTACATAATATTTCAATATGTGAGTGTACTACAATTTATTTGAGCAGGATTTTTTTGGTCAGATATATTAGTGGTTTCCAATTTTTTCATTATAAATAATTCTGCAGTAAAAATTTTGTAACTTATTTTATGTCCTTAGGATACAGTTCTAAAGGAAATATCAAAGAATAAAAACATTTTAAAGTTTCTGATACATATCACCAAACTGCTTTTCAAGAGGGATCCATCAATTTGTATTCCTATTTATATTGTTGCAAAACATTCTTTACTGTCATTTTTAACAGGTTTAATTAGCATATAATAAAGTGCACATATTGAAAGTATATGATCTGATAACTTTTGACGTATGTATATACCCATCAAGACATCATCACAACCAAGATAATGAACAAATATATGACCTCCAACAGTTTTCTAATTTCCTTTTGTAATCCCTCCCTGCTACTCCCTTCCAACCTCATTCTTCACTCCATAAGCAACTACTGTTCTGCTCTCTGTCACTATAGATAAGTTTCCCAGAATTTTATTTAAACAGAACTATATAGGAACAAGAAAGATTAGCAGATTTCCTTAAATATGATTTATTTATTTTGTAATTAAAAAAAGTTCTTCATGTAGAAATACTGAAAAAATAATGACAACATTTAAAAATTTGGATTAAGAATTTTCTTCTTTTCGTTTGGCTTCTTTTACTCAGTATAATCATTTTGAGATTCATCTGTTGTTGCATTAATAGTTCATTCTTTTCTATTGCTGAATAGTATTCCATCATCTGTATGTACCACAATTTGTTTCTCCATTCAGCTGATGGACATTTAGAGTGTCTTCAGTTTTTGGTTATTCCCAATAAAGCTGATATGAGCATTCATGTACAAGTCTCCTGTGAACATATGCTTTAATTTCCCATGGGTAAATACCTAGGAATGGAATGGATGAGTTGTATGGTACCTGTATGTTTAACTAACTAGCATATTTTGTGACTGGTGATTATCTCTTAGGATAACACATTGATTTAATATTATTATTATTATTATTACAACACATTAAATTATTTTAATTGACTCATTGAATATTATTCTGGTCCCCTCATAAAAGATGAGAATGAGGAGGAGGAGGGGGGCAGAGACCCCTTTCTTGCCATACTCTTCTAGGAACTCAGCTTGGAGTGACCAAAAGGGACACTCTGTGCACACAAGGACTTCTTCAGCCTCTGCTTCCCACACAGGGTTTGGAGCCTTACTTTTGCTCTACATACCTCCAGACCCCTCCCTGTTTTTCTTGGAAGAGCAGTCTCAGGTGCTCTGGTGTTTGGTTTGAATGTCCTGCTTGAATTCAGCTTTTTTCTCTCTCTCTCTCTTCAGTACTTTATAATGATATGATCTAGTCCTACTTTTCCAATCACATTACCTCCTTTTCCTCCTGTATGCCCAATAGACTTCCTAATATTAAGAGTGGGAGGTAGTGGTGATATGGGTAGGAAGAATTGAAAATAGCTCACACATGACCCACCTTGGAGGGCCTGCATTTCAGCATCTCTGGGGTTATTTTAGAGCTAGGAAGAGGGGCAGAGATTGGTATTGTCTCTGTACTAGTCTTTCCAAATTCTGCTGTGAGCTTTTTGCTTAGACTGTAAGCCTTAGAGTCACTCATCACAGTAATCCTAAAGACAGATGTTTCTGTTCTATTTGATAAGGCCTTTTTGTGGGTTGTGCCGACTGTCAGTTTCATGTTTGTTTGTTTGTTTTGGAACTGCAGTTACATCCAGGAGACCTGTGGTGAGCATAATGGGCTGTAGTTTGTGCAGTTGTCAGTATAGCTTGTTAGGGAGCTCTTCCTGGGCAGAGTCTTGCACAGCAGAGCCCAGTGCTGAGCTGAGTTCTTGGCACATAGTAGGAGCATAGCCTATGCTGTAGTGAAATTGGTGGGCAGGCACTGTCACATCACAGGTGGGCTTCAATGCTGTTGCCAGGGCAGCTCCAGGAGCTGTCTCCCCCACTCTCTCTATTAACTTCACCTTAGGGCAGATGTTCCCCAGCTGCCTTGGCTCACACCACCGTTTGTGTCTCAGTAATTTTTTTATATTTCCTCTAGGAAAAAAATCCAACATTTCATTTTATTGAATAGATTGCTTCCTAAAATGTAATTAGTATTTATATTCTAACAACATAGTGCTATAGAGCACTGCACCACATTTCAGATCACGATATCAGCAGCCGTACTCTCCTCCCTCAGCTCACCCCAGGGTTTATTGGGTTCTGGCAGTGTCCTCTGTTCCAGGGATACAGCCATGCAGGGAGTGCCCTTGGGACCTCCTAGTCTCATGGGCTAGAGGAATGTAGGAATGATCACAATGTAATCTAATTTGGGCCATGTTGGAGGTCGGTGCAAGTGTTAGGTGTGACAGGTGAAGAGCCCATTTCTAAGAGAGTACATGATGATATAAAGTAGGTGCAGGATATGGAGAGTCAGAGGAAGCTGCAGGGTAGAGGTGACACACAAACTTGGTTTCAAAGTGTCATCTGGAAGGGGGAAGAGGGCCTTAGTTAAGGGAGGAACCTGCCATTGTGCCTTGGCAGGGGGGTCAAGGGGCCAAGCTGCCCTGGAGGATCTCAGGGGAGGGCTGTGGAGCTGGACTGAAGATCTACATTTCCAGGGCTGAGATGCCTTCTGGAGGGAGTGAGGTGGGTACATGAACAATGAACATAAGGACTGACTCCTGTGTCTTCTCCCAGGAACCTGGACATTGTGCAACCTGAAACCATTTTTGCAATGATTTTTCCCTCTTCATTTTTATTTAAATGAGAAAGAAATGCATTTTGCTGGTTGCATGCAGTGCTATTTCCAGGAGGTTTGATTTTTACCTCCCGGCCACACATCTTTGTCCCATTACGGCTGCCTCACTTCTCTTCAATTGGGGAATGACCTGTTTTGTCCTTCAGAGCAGTAAGTTGACAAATACCATCTGATATTTCTCCCAGGCACCCCAATTCATCTTGATGGCAGGCTTCAGACAATGCCACTACGGTTGATATTTTATACTTTGGGAGTTTTCTTCAGTGATTTCATTTAATGTGCTTTTGATTTTCATGCCACCCTCTCTTGGCCCCACGAAGTTTGCATGGTGTTATTTGGTGAAGAAAATGCTGTTCTGAAATTCTGTTCAAAGCTGTTTAAAGTAATTAATCAAAGGTTCTATCATTAGCTCAAGACTGATTTTGGGCAGTGGTTCTGCATGGGAAGGATTGGAATTGATTGATCCATTGACAAGAGAGCTGAACCAACCTCCCTACTTTGGTATACCAGGCAGTCTCTCTCTTAACTTTTGCAGTGTCTCAGAGGAAGCAAGGAGCAGGGGCATTTGTACTTCTGAGAAAGTCATGGTTCCTGAGCAGCTCTGGAGGCAGAAGTCAAGCTGATGTGTCTCCGATGCCTCTCCAGGGGTAATGTGGGAGTGGTATTCTCCACTTCTGGGGCCTGGGCTCCTGGGCCATGGTCTCAGGGCCTCCCTTCTGGCGAGTACTGAGGGAAAAGGCAGAGAAGGGTAAATGGCAATGCTCTATCCAGATTCGAGAAAGAGTGTCTAGCTATGTCATATTGTATCAAAAGACCCACTTGCATTTTCTCAGAGGACGGGGGCAAACACAATCCTTTCTCAGGCTTCCAACCTCAAAGCTGGCTCAGCCCTTTTCAGAACCAGGTAAGATGGCAGAGCCTAGCTTTCTTGCATTCTGGGACCTGTCCCTCCTTCTTGCAGGGGCCCAGAGCCCTCATGTAGCCTCCTCCTTTCTCTAGAAGCCTCTAGCATCCTCCTGAAGCCCCAGGATGGCCCAGTGTTATTCGGAGGCATGCCCACTCATTTGTTTTCCCCAACAAACCAGTGACCTTCTCTCCCACTCTTCTTCAAAATCAACTTGCCCCGTCAACCCGTTAGATGGTGGTTTGATGTTAGCCTATTGAAATAGTGATCCTCTGGTTGCCCTAGAGTGTGCTAGCATTTTGACGCTAGCCAATGGAACACAGCCAGGTGCTAGAAGAACTGGGCCAGGGTCAAAAGAACAGACAAGCTAGTGGAAAAGGTG
Organism: Homo sapiens; assembly: GCF_000001405.40. Lineage (NCBI taxonomy): Eukaryota > Metazoa > Chordata > Mammalia > Primates > Hominidae > Homo > Homo sapiens. The sequence goes on from NC_000003.12 coordinate 139,966,070, forward strand.
CTCTGGGTTCTGACTTACTGTGACTAAATGACAGAGAAAGACCTGGGCTCCACAGGGCCAGTGTTGTTATCCAAGTAGGTCTTAGCTGTGGGTAGGGGTAACTGCAGAAACTTCCTACCCAGTCCACAGCTCCTGCTCTCTCTCCACAACCTTCAATGTGCTCTGCAGCCAGGGACATCATCCTCAAACCCAGTTTTCACTGGGCTACTGTCTCATTATTTCCTGTCAGTAATTCCAGTCATATTAAGGACATAATTAAAGCTCCTTAATATGCATCTATGATCCTTTATGATCTAGCCCCAGCCTAACTCCTGACTCCATGGTTGTCTGTACTTCCCCTATTATGCCTTGACGATGGTGGTTGTTCTCTCCTGCTCTTGCTGATGCGGTTTCCTCTGCCTGGGATAGTTGTTTGTTTCCTCCCTGCCTCCCACCCAATTTGCCTGCCAATCCTTATTCATCTTTTCAGACTCAGCTCAGGCCTCACCCCTTTTAGAAAGTCCTCCTTGTGTGCTGCTGGTTGGGTTTGGAGCCTCTTCTCTGAGCTTGCATAGCACCATGGTCTCCTTTGGAGCATGAATAATACTGCATTCTCATGACTTATTTATTTTTGTGTCTCCTTCCCTAGAACATGAAATAGTTGAAGTAAACTGTTGCAATCCTCAGAGGCTCATAAGTGTTTGTTGATGGACTGAGTGAAGGGAAGGTGCTGAGTCAGGCCTATGGCTGAATTATCTTTTGGGTCTGTTTGTGCGAAGTGGGCAGGACCCAAGGTAGAGACTGAGGTCCTATGCTGATGACCCAAGAATATGGCTGCAGTAACAGTATTGAGTGAGGCAGGGGATCATCACTCTATCGTGCTGCCAGGGTTCTAGTCTGTCCTCACGGGGACACTGGAGTGCAAATCAGAAGAGGAAAATGGCTAGGGGCATACACGTGAGTAAATGTGTTGGAGGTGGAGGAAACTTGCAACTTATTAAGGTTATGCCTGATAAATTGCTGCCATCCCTGCTATAGGGCCTAGGCAGGGCTGACCCCTGGGCCAGTGCTCCTAAACACCTGCCCCTGTCCATGGCAGAAGTCATGGACTGACTTGGAAGCTGAAGGGATGATGGATAAATGGGATAGATTTGGGGGTCAGGAGAATAAGGACTACTTTGAAAGGAGGTCTGTACATGGGTGGGAGGCCTCCTGCCATCCTCTGCTTTCTTCTATGACTGGTCAAACAGCAGTCTGCAAAGTAGTCTTGTTTTCTAAAGTTATACCCACTAAGGTGTGATTGATTGAACTGGCTGCGCTTCTATCATACTTCTGGGCATTGGGGTCTATAAGAAGCTGCCAACTAGTGGGCACTGTTGTCTGCCAGCTGCACCTCAGCAACACCCATGCCTTTGAGAAAGGACAGCCAGGGAATGGTCATGGCTGTCACCTATGTTCATCCTTCAGCAACAAGCCAAGGGAGTTTGGCATGTGGGACTCAAGGCAGCTATCAGGAAACGTCACATACATCTCTGGAAGCCTCACTGTGTTTTCTCTGTATTATTTTGTTTCCAAGACTATGATACCTTTCTGTTTCCCCTCCTGTTTTAGAAAAGGCTGTATTGTTATTAAAAGTGGTTGCCAATTTATTCTTTTCTTGAAAATGAGAGCTCCCAGCTTCCCAGGAGTAAAATATTCCAGTTGTTTGCTAGATGTTTTGAAGTCATACCAAATAGCTATTTAAAAATGATTAAACAGTTCCATGGTTTTACACATCTACACTAATATTTAAACATGATGTGCAGGCAGAAACTACCCATTTTTCAGGGGGCCAATTTGCCTAGTGGTCCTGCCAGTTCTGTTGGAATGAAGGGAACTACATGTGATGATTCACACCTCTGAGGTCCCATAGTCTCATACAGACACATATATGTGTGTCTGTGTGTGTGTGTGTGCATGTGTGTGTGTAGCAGCAAACAGTTAAATATTAGGTACAATCAAAATATCTAATAATTGGTTATTTGGTTTAGAATAGGTGAGAAGCCCAAATAAGACTCTCCTTTTGGACGGCCTATATACCCTGTTGAACACATAAAGTGTCCTTCTAGAATTTATCACTCACATTAGAGGCCACAGAATAAACTGGAAGCCAGAATTAACCAGAATTCCAGAGTTCCAAGGACTTTGTTCCCTTGGAACAGTGCAATACTTGTTAATAGAATTCTGGGGATAATTGAGGATTGGTCTTCAAACCTGTTCTCTTCTGCAAGTCCCTCTCCTGTGTCCTCAGTTTCAATAAATATAATTGATTGAAGACCCCTGTCATAAACATGATGATCCTCATGGCTACCACCTTCAGAGGTGAACCCCTCATGAGTTGATTAATGCCACTATCAAAAGGGCTTGTGGGAGTAGATTTACTCTCTTCTACTCTTTTGTCATGTGAGAATACAATGCTGCTCCCCGTTTTGCTCTTCCACCTTTCACCATATGAAGACAGAGTGAGAAGGCCCTCACCAGAAAGCAGATGTCAGCACCTTGATCTTGGACATCCTAGTCTCCACAGATATGAGAAATAAACTATTCTTTATACATTACCCAGTTTGTGGTATTCTGTTACAGAAGCACAAATGCAACGAGGCAATGACTTCGTGGTTTGGTTAGTTTGGATTCTGAAGTATTCCAGAAACTCAATAGGTAGAATATATTGCTGCATAAAATATGGAAAAACTATAAAAAAGAAATTAAATATATTTTAAGAAACTCAAATGAAAAGTTATTGACATTTTAATTCAAATTCATATTGCTAAGTCGGTTCGCCAGCAACAGTAGAAGACATAAACTCTTTTTATTTGTTCATAACTTTAAGCTATAAAAGACATCATTATTAACACTTTTTTCTCATATAGTAGTGCAGCCTTCAAGTTTAAGAGCTTGGAAAAGTAAAGAGAACATGCAGAGTATTAATAACATTATGGAGTTGTCTAGGACTTGGTATGTATATGCTTTTTTATTCCTCTGACTTGTTCACATGCATTATCTCATTTGAGACTCAGAGCCAGCCTGCGAGATGGATAGGAAGGGTCTTATTCCCATTCACCAGAGCTGTATACTAAGGCATGGAGGTTTAAGTGACTTGCCCAAGGTCACCTAACTAGTAAATGTCAGGGCTGCTACCAAAAGTAAAGCCTCCCACGTTGCCAGTCACTGCTACATTTTGTCCAATCTGCCATCCCAATTGCTCTTTGTCTTTTCAGTGTCACTGCCTACCCTGGGTGGGTACTTAATTCCTGGGGAGGTTGCATCCTTCCCCTAGTTATCTCCTATACCAGTTAATCTGACCTCTCAATCAGTTTCTTTCTACAGTAGACCTTGAGTGCCTCCCCTGTGCCACAGCTAGAAGACTCTTCCTAGAGTTTATGCACAATCTTGTCACTGCCAGTTGGAGAGTCTTCAGGGTCTTCTTGTTACCAACTACATACATCACTACCTCCTCCCTCTGACTCTCAGGCCCTGCCATCACTGCACCCACCTGTCTTTCTAGCCCTGCCTCCACATTCTCCCTGTTAGTCTGCAAAACACCAACCCAACTGCGTGAGTGTCTTCACTTAGACCCTGTCTGCTCTCCTGCCTGCTGCTTTGTGCATGTTGTGTGCTCCACCTATAACACCTCCCACCACCACTCTTGGAGGAGGACCTGTGCCTCCAGCCTCCTTTCAAATGAGACTCTCCAAAAGCAACCATCACCCACTGGCTCCAAATTCGGGGATCTCTCCTCTCTTAAACCCTGTACCCCTTTGGACCCACATCATGGCATTGATTCTCCCCTGTGACACCCTAGACTGTCCTGGTTCTTTTTATTAGAGTCTGTGGGTAACTTGAAGTTAGGTACCTACAGAGTGACATAAAAGGAGAGGGCACCTGCTTTGGAGTCATAAAACTGGGCTCAATTCACCCTGTTCCCCTACTTACCAGCCATGGGAACTTCAATTTGTCATTAGGCTATTTCTGGAATGACTGGAATGTGTGATGGAGGGTAATACAAAGTAGTGTCTGTGTTCCACTCCAAGAGATTTGGATGTAATTTGGGCTGGGGTGTGGCTTGGACATCAGAATTTTTAAAAGCTGCTCAGATGACTCTGAGGAGGAGCAAAGTTTGAGAGCCACTTGGCTAACCTGCCTGAGTAAGTAGGTTAAAACTTACTCTGAGACCACATCCCTGCCACACAGGGTTCCTGGCACCATGTGAGCTGGCATGTGTGAAGCATCTGGGGGGGGATGCTCTCCATACGCTGCCAATAGATGGTGGTCATTATAATTATGATTACATTTTGTAATCTCCACAGTACTTGGCATCATATCTTGGACAGAGGAGGTGCTCAAAGCCTAGTTCTAAAATACAAAACATAAGAAAGTATGTGACAGATATGTGATCTGTCTATGACCTCATGAGGGCTTGTGAGGCATGTGTGAAAGCCCTTAGTGGAAGATCATTTATTGCGTGCTCCTCTGTGCCAGGCATCTGGACCATTTCGGTGATGATGCTTGTCACAAATGACCTGTAAATGGCTTTGCGTGCCTCATCCTGAACACAGCGGCAGTGGACCATAGTGGGCCCTCTGCCCCTGCAGATGCATGCAGGATTTCCACCTGAGATTGCCTCCTGCCATCCATTGAGATGGAGCTGACCAGGTGCTGAAATTGTTGTTTCCAAGGGTAACTGTAGCCTCCTCAAGTCATAAGTCATGACAGGACAGTGGTCGGGAGAGGGTGAAAACTGTAGAAATAGTTCTTATATGTAATGATGGGATTCAGCTAAAGCTAAGGGAATGGTGACAAGATCCACTGTGAACCTGCCCTTTGCCCCATGTCAGTGCATTACAGAGTATTATGGAGGGCTGATGGTCTTTGTAAAAACTGGGGTAGGCAACATTGCTTTTAATGGTGACTTTTTGCCTTGAGGAAATCAATCAAAGGGAAGATTATGGTTTAGAATTATCAAACTTTCTTCTTTGCACTCATTTGCTCTTTACAGTCTGAATAGCTATTAGTAGTCCTTTTTGATGCCAGAGAAAAGAAGTGACCACTGAAGATCTGGGGTCTTAGTACTGTTAAATGAAATGCCTACAGAATAAATAGTACCTCTGATTATGAGGGATATTGAGGAGCTTCAGTGCTTTGCAGGGCTGGAGAGAAATTAGATGAGAGGCATCATAAAAGAGCAGTCAATTATATTAAAGATGAGTTGGCATCTTTTAATTTCTCACCAGATAATGAAATATCTATTTGAGCCTGAGGCTGTTGTTTCATTTCTGGTGTATTCAACAAAATTTATTCAACAATCATTTATTGAGTGTTCCTCGGTGCCAGGCCCTGGGCTTGAGGCTGGAGATACACAAAGGAGTGGGCTACAGTTGCTGTCCTTGGGAAGATCCCTGTCTGCAAGGGAAAAGCTGTAGAATGCAGAGCATTGCAGACTTCCTGGAGGAGGTATGGCCTGAGACAGGCTTGAAGAAAGGGGAGCGGTTCCCCAAGCAGGAACAGTTGTTAAGCATGGAATGAGTCTATATCCAAGTGAGCCAAGGCTTACCCAGAAATTTAGCATTTCATTCATGAGCAGGAAGGTACCTTGAATTCTGAACCCACACATGGTTGCAGAGTACAAACCAGACCCACATTCCAGTCACAGAGAATGGGACAAGACAGATCTTCCTTAATCAGCAGGTAGGGAAATGGAGACTGAAGGATGGGAGACATGGATTCTAGTCCAGCTGTGCCTCATGCCCATGTATGACATCAGCCTTCCTGGTCCCCTGGGCTCCAGTGTCACCATCTGCAAAATGAAACCTCTGGTAGTCTCTGAATCCCTGACCATAGGTGTTGAGGAGGGTCAGGGAGACTGTCTGCAGAGGCTCCTTAAAAGAACAAGTTTGAGCCAGGCGTGGTGGCTCATGCCTGTAATCCCAGTACTTTGGGAGGCTGAGGTGGGTGAACCACCTGAGGTCAGGAGTTCAAGACCAGCATGGCTAACACGGTGAGACCCCACCTCTACTAAAAATACAAAAATTAGCTGGGTGTGGTGGCAGGCGCCTGTAGTCCCAGCTACTTGGGAGGCTGAGGCAGGAGAATCGCTTGAACCTGGGAGGCGGAGGTTGCAGTGAGCCAAGATCGCACCACTGCACTCCAGCCTGGGCGACAGAGTGGGACTCTGCCTCAAAAAAAAAAAAGTTTGATAGGACCCTGGGGGGTGTGGGTTTTACAATTTAGTGGGTCCTCCTTTACTCTTTCAGGCATCCTAAAAGTATTTCAGTCCTCTGTCCTACCTCCAGACTGCAGGCAGAGGCTGAGTGAAGGAAATAATGATGTTATTGTTAGCATCTCTCTGGGGATGTGAATACTAAGCTGAGTGGAGAGGAAAGAGTAGGCCACGGAGCCAGACAGTGGACTAAACACTCTGCTCCATCACTTGCTGACAACATCACCCCTATTCTCAGAGTTTTGCTCTCCTTGTCAGTAAAATGACTGCAACCCCAGTTATTCAATGGCTTATAAGGATTCCATGAGCTCATCCGTGGAAGCCCATAGCAGAAGGCCTAGTCCATTGCTAGCACTCAGTAAATTGTAGTCAAGGACATGCATTAATGCTGTGACGGCTCCCACAGTGAAGGGGATTCATGATGAAGAATGCAGGGAGCAATGCTGGAGGTACCTCCTGCTGCCTTCCGCCAGGAAGAAGAGTGTGAGGACTGTAGAACCACTGTTTCCTCCTGCCTGGCCCACAGGTGGCTCTCAGTAGTAGTATTACATGACTGGATGGATGAACGAATGAATGAATGAATAGACAGAAATGGCCCTCCAGCATTTTTGGCTCAGAATTTTTTCTGCATATGTGCCTCTATTACACATTAATTGCTCCTTTAGTCTACCTTAAAAAATTAAAAAGGACTTCTACAGTTTCATTTATGGATGAAATGTTGGATAATCAGGTTCTTGATCAGACTGGTGGGAAAGGAAACTGCTCCTTATTTGGTGCTCACTGTGAGCAGGGCTCTGAGGGCTTTCGTGGCAGATGTCTGAGGTGAGGCCTTGTAGCCAGGGACCCTTGATCCTATAGCCCTAGGTGGGCTCTGGCAGGAGCGTGATCTGCCATGAACCATCCCCACATTTCTGTGAGGTTTCCTTCATGACTGAGAAGCCACATCTCCATGGCTGCCTTGGATTCAAGGGAAGCATAATGTGGCTGAGAAGCAAGGCAGGGTGTCTGGTCTTCCCAAGCATCAAGTTCCAGCCACAGGCTTGTTAGTGACTGGCTCAGGTCAGTAGCCAGAACATAGAAACCCAGCTAAAAATTGGAGGGCTCATCTCAGTAGAGCTTTCATAAGTGAATTTGTCTGATCTAAAGATAAGATGTTAGGAACTTGGGGGTTGGGGGGAAGGACTTGTCCTCAAGAACAAGGGCCATCAGCTGGTCTGCAACACTGGAGACAGGGGTGTGTGGGGTAGAGGGAGAATAGGAACTTGGGGCTCTGACCCTGCCTGGCTGGGAAAAAATGGTACTCTTTCTCTCTCTCTTTGTCCTCTTTCTTTTCTTTCTTTCTTTTTTAAATTGAGACAGGGTCTCTTTCTGTCACCCAGGCCAGAGTACAGTGGTACAATCACGGCTCATTGCAGCCTTGACTACCTGAGTTCAAGCAATCCTCCTGCCCCAGCCTCCCGAGTAGCTGCAACTACAGATGTGTGCCACCATGCCCAGCTAAATTTTTAATATATTTGTAGAGATGGGGTCTCTCTTTGTTGCCTAGGCTGGTCCCAAACTCTTGGGATTCAATTTTCCCGCCTCGGCCTCCCAAAGTATTGGGATTACAGGCATGAGCCACCACTCCTGGCCAGAAATGGTACTTTCAAGAAGCTGATATTGCCCACCCTGGCACAGTTCTAGGGAAGGATGGGCAGGGTCTGTGGTTTTATCAGGAAGAAGAATTTAGTTTAGCATTGTGAAGCCTGGCCCTGGAACTTAGGGTGGAAACTGCTGAATTATTTAGAACAACTCAATCTTTATTGTTCTTTTTCCAAGTTGTGAATTTTGCAGTTCGACCCAAGCCCAAAGTGCTTGTAAGCCTGAGAGAAAGTGATTTTGATGTAAACATTTGTGGGAAACTGCAATGACAGGGTGAAGACGCAGGCTTTGGGGCCTCAAAATGACACTGCCTGTCCTTTGAGAACCAGTTTGGAAACTGGAGCCATAGGGCAAGGACTAAAATCTCTGGTTTCCTGGACTCAACCAAGACATGTTCACACCTTCCTCCATAAGAATCTCTCTCTGTACTCCTGCCCACATCTAGAAGTGGTCCAAGATATGCTGTCAGTTGTCCTGCTCCAGGGGAGTGATATACCAGGGCTAATTTGGACCACCTTTCCCTGCTTCCCCAGAGGGCATCATGTGATCTCCCCAGGGCCCAGCAAAGGGGAGATGGGGTGTCTGGAAGAAAAGCAACGTTTCCAGGGAGCTGCATTGACTGAATTTACACTCTTGCTAAATGTTTTACAGCATATGTTGCACTGAGTAAATTGAAATTGGGCAGGAAGGTTTTTAACTAATTCATCAGTCCAAGTAAATCCCTGTTAAGAGGTAGAAATGAGCTTTTATGGGGATAATAGCCATAGGAAAACAAAGTACAATAATATTCTTCTCTTTCTAAATTGTATATAAAATCCATTGCTGGTTCCCTACTAAAGAGCCTAATGCCTTGCATGGTAATTTATTCTGGGTAATCAGGCCTGAGGGTTGTTGGCAGACTGGCAGCCCCCTGGCCCTGTACAGAGGTCTAGGATATTCATCTTAGAGAGGAGAGCGGAGGAGGAGAGTCAGGTGGGATGGTAGTGGTGTGGCCAAGATTACAGGGCTCTAAGGGGCAGGTGGGGTGAGGGTGCTATCTCACTCTGAGTGCCTCACTCTCATGCTTCAGCTCACATAGTCCCAGGATATCTCTATGGAGGAGGAGCTGTGTGTGCAGACAGGAGGCTGAGACTCTGAGTGAGAAAGTGCATTCTAAAATGCCTCCTGGCTGGTTAGAGACAAAGCTGGGAGTGGTAACCTCCACCCTGGGCCTTGATATAAGAGCTGTAGCTTCCTAGAGCCCTAAGGAGGGGGAGTAGCAGGCACAGCCTCAAGAACTGGGGTGGGAGGTAGGGCTGAGGAAGTCTGCCAAGATAGCACCTTGGGCAAAGTGGGGGGCACTAGGAAGAACTGAATGAGTTCTTCAGGCCCTGGCATGGGAAGAGGAGGCTGCAGGACCTGGGCTTGATTGTGTACTCCCTGCAGTCAGAGGCCACACCTCTCACAGACCCACTGTCTCCGTAGTGCCTGGCATGGAGTGAGTGCTTGTTGAGTGTTAATGAATGAATACCATTATGTCTGATATTAATTGCAAATGTGACATAGGATTATGAGAAGTCATTCAACTTAATCAGGACCGAGAGGCTGATGGAGGCATCACAAAATAGCATTCAGGAGCTCTTGGTTATAAGAAAGAAGCTGTGATGTCTTGCCCTCAGACACATGTGAAGATAGGAATGAAACAACTTGGGCTTCTTGAAACACAACTTCATGAAGACAGGGACTGTGTTCTGGTCGTATGTATGTCCCAGCATCCAGGCCAGGCTGACACATAGTGGGACGCAGGGGGTGCTTGTCCAGTGAATGAGTGAATGGACAATTTCCCCACCACCTCTCTGCAGTGAATGGATGCTCTCTGTCATGCCACAGCCATGGCAACAGCTGCCACAACACAGGAGCTGCCACAACAACAGGCTGCATTGGGTTCTTGCAGCCTGTGAGGCAGTGTGCTAAGGGCTTTTGACACCGTACTACATGTAATTCTTATGACACAGTTATGAGGCAGGTACTAGTACAGAGAGACTCAGGTTTGTGGGTAGCATTAAGTTGACTTTTCCATGAAGTGATTTCAAATCAAAAGACTGAAAAATACAACTAATCAAGCTACCATAACCCCCATGGGCAGATCGTGGTTGTATGCAGAACATTGACATTTCAGAATCTGTCCAACACTCTGTCACCAAATGTTTTTGCAGAGTAGTCATAGCTGGCAGACTAGCCTGTAGATTATAGGAAGAGCCTGCTCTACTACCCTGGGGATCGGGAGCCTCCTGGTGGGATAGTGCCCTTATCTCCTTTGCTGATGTACCCTGATCCCTTTCTCTGGGTCCATCCAGGAATTAAAGGCCTTCCAGGATGGGCAGAGCCATCTAAATTTGCCACAAATCTGAATATAAAGAAGAGAATTACTAACATCTGCCACTTAAGGAAGCAGCATCTGTGTGCAAGGCACTGAGCCAGGTGCTCTGCATATGGGATTTCAGAGAATTCATCAAACAAAGTGGGAAGTAGGTACTGTTCTCCTCAGTGCACGGATGAGGGAAACTGAGGCTCAGGGACTTTAAACAACTTGCCCCAAGCCACTCAGCTAGTAAGTGGTAGAGCCAGGATTCAAATGGAATCTGCCTGAGGTCAAAGTCCCTCCCTTTCCCACTGTGCCCAGAGTGCCAAGTCCTGGGATGAATTCACTCAGCAGGGATAGCTGGGGCAGAGGAAAGAACAGTGCCCACTGTCCTGGCTCAGCATACAGTTGCTACTGTGGCCTCGGACTGGTCATCTCACCTCTCCAAGCCTCCTCTCCCACACCTGTAATATGAGGGTGTGAAACACGCTGAGGGGTTGATTCCCTAGGGTTATTTGTGCACTTCTGTGTGTGCATTGATGTGTGTGTGCATGCATGTGCACACATGTGTGTTGGCAAGAGACCTACAACCGTCCCAAGCAATTATACTGCCTAGAAGGCAAATATTCAGTTTACTCCTTTAGAGACCTCCAATAATGAAGCACCCGCCCGCTCCATCTGCCTCCTCTTCCTGCTCCAGCCAGTTGCCACCTGGACCTGGGGCCTGGGGAGGACAAGCAGACACTCCATTTGCAAACAGGAATCAGTGGGGGAGAAAAGACAAAACCTCAAACTCTCTATCCTGCCTGCCAGTGCTAGCATTTGATTTGCAGGTGAGAATATGAGTCAGTGTTATTCCCGCTGTTTCCTCAAGTGTTCCTGGGTCCTTAGATGATCTCTCATCCCCACCACATCTCTTCTACCAAGGAGCTGGCTGGGAAATGCTTTGGAGACACACAGGCAAGCAGGCTGCAGGTTCGTACAGGGATGGAACAAGGGATAAAGGAAGAATGGACAGAAGGAGGGAAGGAGAGGCCCCAGAGAAAAGCACCTCATGGTGGGAGAACACCATGAGCAGGAACCCTCTTTGGCTGGCATCCCTGGGCTCAGGCCTCCATGGTCTCCTGAGTCTTACTACACTGACCTCTGTTCTTCTCTTGTTCTTCCAGAAACCTAGATTGATCTTGAGTAAAATAAGGGCATTAGCCATAAACAGTATCAACTGTGCTGTTTTTACCCCCTTACTCATGAATGTCTCAGGAACCTGCTAGATTAAGTATTTTGGCATCAGGGTGGCTGAGTCTGTGCCAGCACCATTCCAATTCACATGCTTTGGACCATTTCTGGGACGCTCCTTTGTTCATACTGACTTTTTTGTTAACCAGGTCTGTGTGGCCTGGAGGCTGGTGGGGCTGGGGAGGGGGTGGGGGGCAGTGGGCAAAGCCCTGAACAGGCAGCCTGGGCATTGCAGAAGAGCCACTGCTTAGCATAGAACAGACCTGCAGGTGCTTCTGTATACTGGCCAGGGCAGAGGTCAAACACATTGTTTTTTATTCTTCACCTGCTGAGAAAAATATAGCTTTGGAATTGAGATTATTTTTCCATGGTCTCTGCTCAGCGTGTTCTTAATGCTTCCTTTGCTGGCCTGTTTCTGTGATGCATGATGACATGAGACAGAACTGACATTTCCCATTTCGACACTGGGAGGGGCTGGCTCTGAGGAAGGCCCCCAAGCAGGAACATTCACATCTGGGGAACCCTGTGCCAAACACAAGCACCAGAGAAAGGGCTTGTGCAGAGCTGAGAGAGAAACAAAAGAGACATTTTACCTTAATGGAACCAGGAGCAGAAAAAAGCAAGGGATCCTGAGCTCCTCTCTGCAATAGTTCAAAAAATTTGAGTCTAACAAAACCAAGTATCTGTTATTGCCAGGCACCCTGTTAGACCTTTCCCAACCCTGTTGGTGTTAGAACTGTTTTCTCATGGGATATCTATACACTTGTTTTTGAACTGTTGCTCTGGGGATAATGTCTTCTTCCTCATTAAAAACTCTCTGATATGTGAGAGCGTGGGACAGAGACTGAGAGAATGAGCGTGTAAACTTCAAGTTTGGACGTTTAGGTTTTGCTTAGTCTTATTATTGTTGCATAGAAAGTACCCAGAGCATAAGAATGATAGAATCAAGATGATTATTAAGTTTGGAAAACACAAAATCTTGTGCAAAAAAAGGAAAAGTTAACTATGGCATCTCTGTGACTTAGCTGGGAATAGCATCTATAGTCATCATTGTGTAAACACTGAATATTGAGCTAACCAAAGTACAATATAACTAACTCTGCTGGGAGGATGGGGGATGGGGGATTGTGTGTGTGTGTGTGTGTGTGTGTGTGTGTGTGTGTGTGTGTGTGTGTGTGTGTTGTGTGGAAGGGAGAGGGAACCAGAACTAAATCCTCATCTTCCAAAGTAGAAAGTCAATACCTAATGCCAAGAGGTGAAAAATTAGGTAGCAATATAAGCATGTTGTTTAGTGATGTGGAGGCAAATAATGAAAGAGTTGGCTAAAATAGTTCAAAGCAGTTGCCTCAGACAAGTGGAACATGGGGCAGAGGGAAGATTCAGGATAAATGCTATGTTTTGGCAACAAGCCCTGTAGAGTGATTTGACTCTTTTAAAACTATGTGCCTATAGAACTTTGATGACAAATAATTATTCATTTTTTTAAGTGAAATATTCAAAAATAGTTCTATAATACCCAGGGGATCCCCTTGTACATGCCCCAGAATGTGCGCCCCGCTTTGGAGGTGGAAGGCCTAGAGAACTGTGAGAGCTTGACCCTGGTTTCTGAGACTTACACACTGGTGCCTCTGATCTGCAATACGTGACCAGGATTCCAGGCCAGTCTTGGTGACTGTGGGCCTCCGTGCCTTTCCACACTGGCACCCCTGCATCTTTTGTGAGGGCTTCATTAGCAATGACCATTGCCCCAGATAGCAGAGCCCTTAAGGTTTCTCACCTGTTCACAGAGGGAATCCAGGGTGAATGTGAGGCAGTTCTGTGGTCATTCATTATTTAAATATTTCCTTGCTCATGGAGCTCAAAATAACTTTGGTCCATTTCTCACCAGGCAAGTAGCTAAAGTCCAGGTTCTGTGGACATGCCTGGATCTGTGGAAGTTAGGGCTCTCACACACCACAGCCCGCACATCCCTGCGAGATTGCTCGCCTACATGTCTCAGGCACAGAGGCACATTTCTAAAAAAATAATTTAAAAAATTAAGTCCAGGTTCCTATAGAGAGCTGCAAGAGGGGAGCTTTTACTATTATGTCTCAGTGGCCTCATCTCTTTTCTCACAACTTTTTGGAAAATGTCATTCTCTCAACTGACTTTTTGAGAAGATTTAGCTGTGTGCATGGGGAATAGTATCCCTGAGGAATACTATTTAATTTTTGAAAATCAAGATGAACTCTTTACTCTGCTTTCTGCTGTATCACCATTGGTGTCATTATCATCATCATTAGCCAGGATTTATGTGCCAAAACTGAACTCTTGGCTCCTCCCTCTCAAACCCACGACCCTTCTTCCCCCTCGCCTAGTGTTCCCTATTTCAGCAAATGGCATTTCCATTCATCTGCTTGTTCAGGTCATCTTGCAGTCACCTTTGACTCTTGTCTGTTTCTCTCACTTCACATCACATCCACTAGGAAATCCTGTGAATTCAACTTTCAAAATGCATTTATAATCTATTAACTTCTACACCTGTTTAGTGAACACAACAAAGACCTGGTTGGTCCAGGCCACCATCATCTCTCACCTGAATGACTGCAGTAGTCTCCTGATAGTCTCTTTGTTCCCACCCTAGGCCCCCAGTCTGAAAATGCAAACCTTAAAACTCTATTGCCTTCCCAGGCATCTATGTTTCACATGAACTGGCCACCTCCCCAGCTTCATTTTCTATCATTCTGTCCCCACCTTTCTCAGCTTCATCCACACTGTTCTTCTTGCACTTTCTTCACCACTTCAAGCTTACTCCTGCCTCAGGGCCTTTGCACTTGCCGTTCCCTGATGGACTTTTACTCCAGATGTCCATGTCCCTTGCTCTTTCACTTCATTTAAGTCTCTGCTGAAACACAGGCTCATCAGAAAGTCCATCTATGACTATATTATGGAAAATGGTTCCATAGAACTAATTTCTTGTCTCTTTGTGTGTTTGTCTCTTTCTTGTTCATCAAGAAAATGGTTCCAAGAACTAATTTCTTGTCCTTTATGTGTTTGTCTCTTTCTTGTTCATCACTCTCTCTTTCCTTCTCTTGCTTTACATTTCTTCATAGTACTTACCGATTCTACACTATATTATCTATTAGTTTATTTATCTTCTCCTCCAGACCATAATCTGTATGAGAGTATCTCACATTTTGATCCCCTGATTTATCCACAGCCCCAGAACAGTGCCACCACAAGTAGGCACTTGGTAGATATGTGCTGAATGTCTCAATGAAAGGATTGTGCACCCACTGTGGGCAGAGCACTTCCAGGCACTACAGGATATAAGAGACTTCAGACCTATGCCTACACCAAGTTTGTCATACATATGGAGAGCTATGTGACCACAAAAGTGGTCCACACTGACTTCCAGCAGCCATTGGGGAGGTCATTTACTGCCTTCTTCTTTCTTTCTTGTAACTTGTGCCTAGATAACTGAAATTAATGGTGTGTGCTATGATGTGGGGAGGGGCAGAGAATTCCCTGCAGTTGGAATTTTATGTGTGGGTTTGATTGGGCAATCAAAGCTATCTTGCCTGTGGGTCATCTGCACATATTTGGGTTTTACTATTATGTCTCAGTGGCCTCATCTCTTTTCTCACAACTTTTTGGAAAATGTCATTCTCTCAACTGACTTTTTGAGAAGATTTAGCTGTGTGCATGGGGAATAGTGCAGCCACCCACCCCCGAATTGCCCTCTTTGTGAAAACGCAGTGATATTTTAAAATCCTTTTGAGCATCTGCTGTATTCTTAGCTCTGTTCTAGGCAGTAGGGACACAGGTAGAACATCAGCCCTAAAGTTTAAGCTTCTTCACAGGGACAAGAATGAACCACATAAAATAGTATAAGTATTCTTGTGTTATTAATGGCCTTTGAAAGCACAGACCTCATGTAATTTTTATCATTGCCTATTCTTCAAGATGGCTATGCCAAGTTTCCATTACTTCAACTTTCTTCTTCAACAAATGGAATGCCAGACATTAATTAAATGTCAATGACTATTCCTGCCAGTTCAATTTTCTGGCTCTATCTGATTAGAATTAAATGGTGAGAGAGGTTAGGCAGACTAAATCAAAGGAACAAAAAGAGTTCAGGCGTCCAAACTGTGTCCCTGCATTTGCTAAATCAATTTCAATTAGCTGCCTAAAGCTATGTAGCTGCTTTGTGAGGCAAGGTGGTTGGTTGCCTTTTTGGAGAGAATCTTTGCTCTTCTCAGTTATCCACTTTGACTTTGGGCCACCCCAATGCCCTGAGAGCCTCTATCTCCTTTGGGTTCGTGCTACAATGTAAGCAAATGAAAAAGTGGATTTCCACACTGGGAATCACAGGTAGAGAAGGAAATTCTGTCTGTTTCCAAGGCTGCCCCACCCTGACCCCTCCCTCTCTTGCTGATCAATATCTGTCTTCAGTATTCCAGCGCAGCTGGGTTGGAGAGTTGCCATGATTTGAGCATTCCCTTTCCTCTATTGGCAGAGCAAGGAAGAGTAGACCTGAGAGATGAGGAGCTTGCTAATTCAGCCAATAATAATTTATTTGCTACTCAGGAGAAGCCAAATTTACTGTGGGCAGGTTTTCCTAACTGAATTAAGTGTTCATCAGCAAATTAAAATACACAACTAATTTCTTGTCTCTGTGTGGTTTGTTTTTGGTTGAATTTTTATATTTTCAGGTATTATTATTAATATAATTTTATATTACAGTCCGCCAAATGAACTTACCATCTGCTCCAATTATACTTTAGGGGGGCTTTTTGGTACAAAATTTAAATATATTTATACTTGTGAATGATAGTATATTATATTAATATTAAAACATCTTAAATTTTTTTTTAGTTACAAAATGCTCAGAGGTTTCTTAGTGGATATAATACCCTTGGTATTCAGATGCTTCTGTGGGGGCTTAATTTCTGCTGTATGAGAATATTTAATAGCTGCAAATGCTAGAAAGTTTTCAAACAAGGCTCAGAGAGGCTTCTTTATTTGGCATCTGCAATTTATAAACTTTCATAGATCTGAGAAAGCGATGTATGGCAACTCTGACCCACCACTGGGTGGTAGTGTTCAGAACCAATCTGTCTGTGAGTAAAGGTTCATCTGTAGTTTCACTGTGTTGCTGCTAAAAATCCTCCTGTGGAGTAATGCATCATGGCTAAAGTCTCAAATCAGCCCTTGTTGCAGCCTATGAGGAAGTAATGTGCATGTAACCTGAATAGAATAGAGAAAAATCATTATAGACTCAATAAAACTAGACATGTCTAGATAATATTGAGATAAGTTGGAAATGTTGATAGTGGACCAATTCTAGACATTAGTTCAGACTATATATAGAGAGAGACCATATGTATATTATAGATTACAAAGGGTATTACATAGACTATACACATATGACTATATATATGAACTATATTATATATACACTATATATACTTTATATATATAGTGTATATATATAATCTGGCTGTGCATGAGAGTTTTGTAATGATCAGTACTTCAAAGCAGTCACTGATATTTTAGAAACAAAAGCAACAAATAAAAACGTCAGAGATCAGCTCTTTCCTATGCAAGGTCTTCCTCTAATCTGGTATTTTTTGTCTACTATTACTGGAAGGATTTGGGGCTAGTTTTGGCATGTTATATTCATATATTTCGATTGGCGAAATTTGATTATACATGTGTTGCTCACCTTTAA
Source organism: Homo sapiens (assembly GCF_000001405.40). Taxonomy (NCBI): domain Eukaryota; kingdom Metazoa; phylum Chordata; class Mammalia; order Primates; family Hominidae; genus Homo; species Homo sapiens. The sequence continues at coordinate 139,983,236 of NC_000003.12, forward strand.
TAATTTCCACTCTTGTGGAAATCTGTTTATAAAAAGAGTGGACTGAAAGAAAAAAAGATGGGAAGGATGGTTTTCATCTGATTTAGTATAATCTAACCACATTAAAATCTTAATTAGAAAAGAAGTTTGAAGTTGTGGGTCTCATCTGGAGAAATATGCCTGAAAGCACTCCAAAGAGAGAAAAGAGCTTTTTCCTTAATTCACTATCATAAGGTTTACATATTCACTCCAAGGCCTTGAAATCATCTTCTGTTTTAACCTTAAAGCCATGAGAATCCAAATGCTGTTATGTTATGAACTTTGGAGATAGGAGGGATTATTTCATAGTAATAACACTGCTGTCTACTGGATTTCTAAAAGTATAAAATTGTATGTAAAGTCCATTTTTAATTAAATATTTAAATACCATTTAATTTAAATTTCTTGGGGAATCAAAATGCCTCTTTCTTTCAATATTATAGTTAATTAAACTATGTAATAATTTACTATGTAGTTTTAGCATTTAAAAAAATCAACCTCCAAATTATTTAGGAGATATTGTATATCTTGTTTTGTTTTGTATAAAGTGCTATACATGTTAAATGAAGCTTACCCAATCAATAGTATATTATTAACTTTGCATATTTGTAATAATATGAAATTAAAACCCAGTAGTCTAATGCTTCTAAAAATAAATATATAAGGCTATATTATTTCTTAATCATTTGTAATTTGATTCAACCTCCCCAAATGTTCTTCATTCCTTACATTTCTTTCTTTCATTCTTCATTCTCTCTTGGAACTGAAGGTAAAACTTATTGGCATCAGTCCACAAATTGATCTGCCTCTTTAATCAGCTAAGCAATGGGTTATTTGCAATAATGGCATGTTCAAAAATACTCATCATGGGACTTGAGAAGGAGAGTAAGAGGGACCTTGTGTTTGAGACAGCAGTGGAGACACCCACTGCGTGGTAACTGAGGGAACAGGTACATTCCAATTTTAGCCAAAAGCCTAGGTTGTTACTCCAGAAACTATTCTCCAGGATGATCCATAGTCATGGAGGCTGCAGGTGGTCAGTATCCCTCATAAACAAAGAATGTTATCAAAGATGCTGCTTCAGGAGATGAGAGCACTACCAGAAAGAGGTACATCTAGTCACTCTCTCTGCTCTTATTCTCCCTTCACCCTGTTCCTATTTGGTTTTGGTGGCCATGAGACATTGACAGGGTCCTGTTCTCACTGCCTGCTCCAAGGATTCTTCTTCATTCTTATATGACTGGATCTCTCAGCAGCCTTTAACATTGTTGACCACCTCTTCTCCCAAAAACACTGCCTTCTCTTAGATGCTGTGACACCAGAGTCTCTGTTCCTCTTACCTCCCACACCACTCTGTCCTGATTGTCTCTCTTCTTTCCAACTCCTCTGACCCTTGTATTGGCCTTTTCTTGGGCTATCTCCAAGGTGCTCTTCTGAGCTCTGCTTACATGACTCCCTAGGTAATCCTATCCAGTGCTGTGATGAGATGTTTTAAATATCATCTATAAGATGAAAGTTTCCAAAAGTTATACCTCTAACTCCTGCCTTGTATCTCAGATTCCTTGCTTGATATTTCCACTTGGATCCTAACTGAATATCTCAAAGGTCAAAACAGAATGCTTCTTCCCCTACTCCCCACTGCCAATCCTCAGCAAATCTGTTCCTTTTTGTATCTATACCACAGCTGCTCCAGCCAAAAATGTTTTCTTTACTTATTACTTGCAATCCAGTAACAATGCCATCAGCTTCATCTCCAAAATGTGTTTCAGATCTGCCCATTTCTCTCCATCTCCACTGCCACAAGCAAGCGCACACCATTGCTGCCTGTCAGGATCTCCTGTCACCTGTTACATGGTCTCCTGCTCTGGTCTCCACAATTCACTCTCCGTAGGCAATTCTCCACTCAACACATTTTTTAAGGCAAATAAGATTAGCTCACATTCCTGCTTAAAACCTTCCAATGGCTGCACATTGTCCTCTATCTGAAATCTAAACTCAGCCATGATGTGCAAGTCTCCGAGTGGGGGTGGACCGAGTCTAGTACGAAGTGAAAAACTGGAGAGTTGGCCATTTCTGTATAAGTAAGGAAAGACAACCCAAATAAAGCGGTGTGAAACAGAATTTGGAGAGCTTTTTGAGCTTTGTTCCCTCGCAAAACCTCTTAGATGACCCTCTCAGCTTGATAAAAGTCAACTGTTTCATAAATGGTCCTTTGGGGTCTCTAGATTGCGTTTCCTAGCTGGGGTGTCTATGGGTGTGTATGTCCTGAAACTCTGACATTGTTTGCAGAATTCTGTGTGCGTGTATGATTGTGTATTTATGTTCCCACGTGCATTGTTTTTCCTAAAGATAGAATCCATTGCTCTCATCAGTTCTCAAAGAGAACTGTAGCTGTCACTAAAAAAGGCTTATTTGAAACAGAGACTTAGGCACAAAGCTGGGGAAACGAAAGCAATTGAATCTTGGTTGCTCTGCCATGCCTTTGGAGTGTGTATTCAAGGTCTGGTTGCCAGGAGGTTCAGTTTATGTTATCCAGAGTGAACAGTAGGGCTTCCTTGGATTATGGGAATGTTCTGTATCTGTGCCATTCAGTATGGTAGTTACTAGCAATATGTGCATTGGAAATGTAGCTCGTCTGACTAAGAAACAGAATTTTTAAACTTCATTTAATTTTGATGAATTTAAATTGAAATAGCCACATGTGGCTAGTGGCTGCTACACTCGACATGGCAGACTCAAGCCTTGTTGTCCAGGTGTTTAGCTGGATATCAATTAACTATTCCTGATTATCTAGCATTTCAGTTCTTTACAAGCTCTTTAGCATCTCTTTCTCAAGTCATGGTAACCTTGGGAGGCAGATTGGGCATGTTTTCATCTATGATATTAGCGAGGAAACAGTCATAGCTGCATGATTGGTCTGGGTTTTTGAGAATACAACTGAATTTTTATAAAGCAAGTTTCAGAGTGTATTGGATATTTTAAAGTAAATCATTACATGCACATAAAGACTTTTGCTGTGAGTCATTACCATAATTATTAATAATAACAGTTACCCTTTATTCCATGGCTTCTGAGGCACTAGATATTAGGCTTTGTTATCTCATCAATCTCCTCCCCAGCCCTTTGAGGGAATATGGTCTCTGAGCCAGAGAGGCTCAGTATCTTGCCCAATGTAAGTGGCAGGGCTAAGTTCTAACATTTGGGTGTCTGTGACCCTGCAGGGCCTGGAATACTATAGGGAGGGTGTTTGTTCAGTGCAACCCTTCTGCCCTCTTCTTGTGGAGAACATTAAGCTTTCTATCATGTCTAGTAGTAGGGTCTCTGGTTTCCGTTCTCCTTCCACCCAGATTATTCAGCGCCTAGATTAAATTTCTCTGTTGCTTTTGGTGAGGTCTCCTCCAGCCCTTTATGGACTTTTCATTGTGGCATTGCACATTCCTATATTGTTTGATCGTGCTCAGCAATGCCATTAGCTGGTAGTACAATGTACACTCTTCCCTGCCTGTAAGGACAGGGATGTCTCTCATGGACTAACTCTATGGCACCAGCACACAAAGTACCAGAGAGCTGGATTTGTCTTCACCATCCATTGTACACTTGGGGGCTGGCTATGGGCTGTATTTGAAAGGTGGTGGAGATGCCTGAGAAACAGCGTTGGTATGAAGGCTGGGTATCTATATGGAAAGATACTTCTTAATCATCCTCAGTTACTGTTCTTACGCACTCTCCTTGACTTAAAATTATATCATACATCCCTATTATGTAGCTTGATGCTGTTAAAAAAAAATTCCCCTGGGCCTATCAATCCTAAGAATACAAGTCACCCACAATGATTTAGTTCCTCTGTCTTTTGGAGAGTCAAGTATTTTTTAATAATCCAATTAATGCAAACTGAAAGTATAGCTGCTTTTTCCTTTCTGCTCATATAACTTAAAAAGATAGTAAGGAATGGCCATGTCCAATGCCAGGCCCTTACAAACTTCTGGTTGCATGATGCTTTTGCAGTATGTGTCAAATGGTCTTAAAATGTTTATACCCCTGCATTCAGTAATTAAAGTCATAGAAATTTCCCTAAGGAAGGAATATTAGAAATGGACAAGAGCTTATACATTTAAAAATGTTAATTGCAGCATTATCTATGGCAGGAAAAACTAGATGGCAAACAGAGCCACTGAAAATAGACGATAAAGTAATTGGCTGAGCTAATCAGTCCTCCGTCTTTCAGCCTGACCCTCAAGTAGTCCCACCTTTCTCACCAACAGGGTCTCTTTCCAAAAGCTGCCTGCCATTATGCCATCGGCTTAGAGCTTATATTGCATAGGTAAGAGAGATATTAAATAAAAAAGTAAGAGCACTTCCTTAGAACTATTTTTCTGTCAATCAACAAACAGTACAGGGACATCATTGTTGTCAGTGGAATTTAATCACCTCAGGTAGTAGGAGGTTGCCAGGTCTTCTGCCTCCCATGTCCTTGATCTTCCTAGAGAGATCTGCTGAGGTACCAGGCAAACAACAAATCAAATTGTACACCCAGAGGGTGATAGATTAGTTGCTGAACCCCTGGGGAATTCAGTCCCTGAGATACAGGAACTGGAATGATTTTAATTTTCCAGAAGAAGACCTGTACTTCTTGTATAACAGCTGCCACAGTTACGCCAAACCACAGTGACGAGACAAGACAAGTAAAGTGGTTTTCTCACAGGGAATAAGGATAGTGAATGTGAATTCTCAGAAACAGAGAATGGGCCAGATCCCTTATTTAGCATTGGAAGACCAGCACTAGATATCTTCCAGCTTTTAGCATTGTAAAACCTGCATGTTTCTAAAAGCATCTTAATGGGAATGCTGCTTTTGGGACCTGGGGGCATTTGCTGAGTGCGGCTGGAGCTGGTGCAGCGCTTGTCCTTATAGCCTTGTGTTTCCCCTTTCAGGGAAGCTCTGACTTGGTGCTACCAGCCAGAGTTTCAAACATTTTTCTTTACTTTGTTGGGCCCAATTAGACTTTCCCTTTAAATTTCATACATTAAAAACAAGAAACAAGGGGGAAAAACAGGCAAATTTTGCTACATTCACAAAGATAGGCAAACTTCACAGGTTAAAATTTTAAAATAGAGTATTGACAGCACAACACCAACATAATGAGGAGAACTTCCACATACGGTGACCACTTGGTCCATATCCCATGGTGTTTGTGGAGCATCAGTTACAAAGTCCGTTTATTGAGTTGTGTTCAGTATGTACTGGCTGCTCTGCTAGGTAATGACATAAAAGGAGGAATAAGATATAGTCCCTGCCCCAGAAACTTTCTTGTGATGGAGAGGATAAGAAGTAAACAGACATCTGGAGAATATGGGTGCACTGAGGAGAAGCACTTGCCATGGTCTGTGTGGTTTGGAAGGCTTTCTGGATAGGCAAGGTGGTACCGTGGTGGGGAGCAAGGGGTGGGAGGATGTCTAAGCAGAGAAAGTTGCAAGGATGCACCAGAGAGCTTGGTAGGACTTGAGTATTGGGGAGGTAAGTATTGCCTCCATGCAAGTAAAAGTCCACTGCTGGCTGATGGGATCCTGCCTGGTTTTAGAAATTTTTATTTGAACAAATTCCATTAGGAGTTTGTGGCTTATAATGCAGATGGATTTGCATGATTACTTAGTCACTCCCAGTAAGCCGAAGGACAGAGTGTGATAGAAATGTGTCATCTCATGTGTGTAATATGAACAGGAGTTCAGCCATACTCCCTCCTCAGCAAGGGCAGGGAAAGCCCGCTAACCTGAGACAGCTCCTTCAATCTGCTTTACAATTTGGGGAGCACTTGGACTTGTGTTATTCAGTCAGTCCTTACAGCAGTGACAGCCAGCCCAAGTCTCACAGGCAAAAAATGGTCAAGCTGGGTCTAGGATTCTGCTGGGGTTTCTCCTCTGATGTTGCAAACCCTATCAGAGCCTCCTTATCTTCCCATTTAGCCTCAGGCCTGGTGCAAAGCCTTGAGGACACTTTGCAGCCACCTAGGACCCCACCTTATTACTGCAGGGGCAGGGTACCCCTTTTCTGTAGCCATCACAGCTCTATACTTCCTCTTCCACTCACCTTCCTCCCATGCTTTCCAGCTGTGGTTGTTTCCCCACCCTGCATTTCTGAGGCCTTTCACTCCCTACTCCAGATTGTTTATCTTTTCTGTTGCAGAGAGTGCTGCCCTCCACACGGCTTGTGCCTCTTACTTCCACGTGGCCTGTTACCAGTCTCCGCCACTCTCCATCCTTCTGGGTGTTGCAGGGCCCTTTGCTCTGTCTGCCCTCACTCCCCAGTAGTCTGCCTTCTCCTGGACCCAGCAGAGGTCAGAAAATCCTGGAACCTCCCCATGCCTCTGGATTTCTGAGCTCTAAAATAGGATGTAAGAATCAATTGAGATAATGTACTCAACAATTCTGCACTGAGCCTTACTGTGTCTGTAGTGGTGTCAAATGGCAAGCACCTCTACCTGCCACCACCCTTGGCAAATCCCCTACCTTTAAATTCCACCAAGAGGCTTTTCCCACCACCCGGCCAGTCCATGGCACTTCCTAGTTCTTCCCTTCTGAAAGACTCTTCACAGCAACAATGCAATCTATGTGAAATTGAATTAGCAGATTTGAAAAGTGTAATGTGAAAGTTTTAATTGTCACTTTATGCACAAATTTGGAAACAATTTGATCCTCCCATTATTTTTTCTTACAAATTACAAGATTTCAAAGCCAGATGGCTGAACTATAAACTCTGCTCACCCTTGAACTGGTAAACCGAAATAGCCCATCCTTTGTCCACATCCTGTGAATCTTTTGTTGCTTGTAGGCATTGGAAGGCTGTGAGTCATTTTGGTAATGATTGTGCTGTTATTTTAACATACACTGTTATTATAATTGGAAATCCTTTTTTATACCCTATAACAGTGTCATCCAAGTGTTCATTAAGGAACATTACTAGTCCTGAAAATTGCACCTGAATGTCAATAAGTTTGGTCCAGAAGGCATAACTGCTAAAATACCATGAAGAAGGCCAGATGGCTGCCATGATATGCTGGATGGTGGCGTAGGTGGGAGCACTCTGTGGAATATTAGGCCCAGTGTTGAGAAAATGAAAAGCAGCCTTAAAATCAAATATGCAAGAGTGTGCTTGCAGATTTAGGTGTTTCTAGGACCCGCCCCCTTACTTCATATTTATCCCTAGGTCTTGAAATTTACTTATTTTAAATTGTCTGACACCTTCAGAAATGCATCCTTTGCTTAAAATGTAATAACCCTGCCAGATCAAAGAGGTCATTCACTATGTAAAAGATAATTTTAACTTTTTACTGAAAGTCCCTAGTTTATCAATAAATAAGTAAATGCTTAATAAAGAGAAGGCTCACTACGGGGAGGTCCAAGGTAGAGACCCCACCTGGGGGGTGAGAGCTGAACAGGTAGATGTCATGTGACACAGATAGGCTAGGAAGGTGCTAGACAAGATGCCCTTGGAGTTCATAGGCTCAGGAAGGTGCTAGACAAGATGCCCTTGTAGTTCTCACTGTAATGGTTTAATTCACTTGTTTTCCCCAAATGTACCATAATGCCATTGTTGGTATACAGAATGACTTCAGATTGGTGCAGAGATAAACCATTTTTATATTAATTGTTATGTCTTCATTTTAATATTGTCTTAAAGAATAGCTAGCATAGCCAGCTCATTATATAAAATTTTATTTTTAAAATAAAATTATTTAAATGAACAAAGTGAGTCTATTTAAAGAAATATTTAAAGTAAATAATAGTACAGGTGGCACATAGCTATAGCAGAAATCATGAAAGTATCATGCAAATGATGATGGAATTATGGAAAATGTTGGTTTTATCTTATTTGGGTAAATACAGGTGCTGTGTTGATGGAAATTGTGATGAGCACATATTGTTCTTTTGGGGCAATATATTGCATACTTGAATGCAGTGCTATTTTATACGTGGCTAATTTCAGAAGCTAAAACAACCGTATCTATTAAATGCTATTTGATTTGATTAATAAAAATGCTAGATTGTTTTAGGATTGAATAAATATAAAATGCTAATTGGATATAAAATGCTTATTTATGTGACCATGGGCATTGCCATAAAACTATAAGACAGTTATTACTGTTTAATATTGCTTTAATTAGAAGTGCTCTTCCAAAAGTTAGAAGACAATAAGCTTCTCCTTATAGCAGTTCCCGAGAAACCAAAGTGATATTGCAATGAGATCAGCAGTCAAAATAGAACAGGGAGATTTTCTTTGTCCCAAGAAGACATAGAGTGATGTTAAATTGCACTTTTAAAGGCCAGAGTTTCAATAGGCTGCTACCGAGTTGCTGAATTTAATTAAATATTTATTTAATGTGCAGTATGCACCATGCTCTGTTAGATCCCTCGGGATATGGTGATATTTATATTAGCCAAGGTTGTTTCAGATGCAAGGGATAGAAAACTTGACTCAAACTGGCTCGAACACACAAACAGAGAAAGAATTTGTAGGTTTACACAATGAAAAGTCTAAGTGTGAACTTCTGGCATGGCTGAATCCAGGTGCTTGGGCAACATGGTTGTTATATAGCCTCTGTCTCTCAGGTTTGCTTTCTTCCTTACCCTCCCATACAGCCCCTGACAACTTGAGGTCATCCTGTTGATTTTGGGTCTAATAAGGAGAGGGATTTACTCCACAGCAGCTTTGACATCAGTCTTATAATTGAGACCCATTGTCCAGGTCTGCTTGTTCTGTTATGTGGGGTGGGGATGCAATCACTTGTGTGGACTGAAGGTGGTTTCCAAAGAAAAATAGGATACCTGCTACTAGAGGAATGGAAATCGACAAGTATTCTGTCTTCAAGGGGCTCACTAGCAACTGGGAAGAAGGTATCCTTGTACAAGACTTTTAACAGATGGATGAGTGTGGAGAGGGCAATTTATGAGGGTGTCAGAATGCACAAAGGCATGGAAGTATGAATGAGGATGGGGCATTTGGTAAATGAAAAATTGAGGATCGCTCGTGCAATGACTCTTAGAGGGAGAAGAGTAAAATATAGTCATGCCAGAATCTTCTCAGAATTGAAAGAATGCCTCCTTCTCTTTGATAACCCTGTACTCTACTCTTACGTCCTGAGACATGGTAGGAGGAGGGAGTGGTGGGCCAGGAGACATGACAGGAAGCTCAGAATCTGCCTGTGCAAAGCTCAGAAGAGAGGGCTCACCAGAGTCAAAGCTCTCCTGCAGCAGTGCCAGCCTCTAGTGCTATTTTTCCTGTAGGCAAAACAGAGCCTCAGCCATTTGTTCAACAAGTATGTATTGAGCACCTATTATGTGTCAGGCACTGTGCCAGACTCATTAATCAAATCAAAGCTCCTGTGCCCCTTATCTGCTGCAATACCATTTACAAAGTGCATCCTGGTTACCAGGGATTCTAGGAGCGGACATGGGAGTGTGAAACAAGAGAAGCAGAATTTTCCCTCAAGGAGAAATAGAAGAATATGAAGCCAGGAGCTCTGGAGAGGAGGCTGGAAGGTACAGAAAATTGAGGAGTAGAAGGGCTAGACAGTTGAAGGCTGCTTTGCTCTAAACCTCCTTATCTCCTGTTGATCCTTTCCTCTCTTCCTCCACTTCCCTGGAGACCAGACTACACTTAAGAGTGTACTCATGCACACTTTGAGTTCCTTTCTTCTGCATCCTATTGGGACGAACAGGAAGTTAATTTTATTTTCCCTTTTTGCAGTTCTCTCTTTCTTCTAAAGTTCATTTTCAATTCCCCTATGAGGAAAGAGGGCTGATTGGTCAATGCGTGAGATCTTAATTGTGCCTCAATTTCTGTTGTGTGTGTGTATGGGAGGGGGCGGTCAGTCACTCTGGAATGCTGGACACAGGCCCTCTTTCTTCTCATTCCCTCATAGGGAGATCCAGCCTGGCCTTTCCTCCTTCCCTCCTATTCCAAGAGTACCTCTTGGTGGGTAATTTAGGCTAAACCCTTCTTTGGGCTGATGGTCTCTCTCTTTCTCCTTCTACCTGCAGAGGTTCTAGCACTGGTTCCAAGATTTAGATTCATGTGGTTCTAGATCCATGTGGCCTGTACCTCATATCCTAACTCAGCTTGTACTGTCGACCCCTGTCCTGGGGATACTGGGTGGCCCTTCGTTTCCTAATACGTACTGCTTCCTCCCTGGAGTCTGCAAGGAAGAGGAGGGGTGAACAATGGCTAGTGTCCAGCTACTCTTGAGTCTGTGGCTAAAAGATGATCAAATGGATATCAGAGCCTCACCTTGATCCCCAGTGTGCACTCTCTTGAAGGGCCTTTGGCTCAAACAGTATATCTCACCCCCTGCACTCCATGCCCCACCCTGCCAAAAAAGAAACTCACAAACCGTGCCTGTACTTTCTGGATGTTGTTCTGATGACTTTATTAATGCTGAGGTCCCAAACAGTGGCTTTGTGGCCAAGAATGTATCAGTTTAAATCCTGACTTTGCCATAAACCACTTACATGACTTTGGGCCAGTTTGAGTCTTAGTTTCCTCATCTGACAAACGGGTATAAAAATACTGACAGATGTGATGGGATTGGGAGAACTTAAAGAAAGTATATGACAAGTGAATCACAAACGGCAGGAAACTGCACAAATGAGAGTTGTGACTGATACAATGAATCTGTGGAAGTAGGGCCAGTCCTTGGGAGCTATTTTCTGGGAGCTGCCTGGGGGTGGTTCCGTGGCTTGCTGTTGCCTAACCCCTAGGATGAGTGTGATGGGATCTTCACAGAGACTTAGGGAAGGTCTCCCAGTGGAGCGCTGAGTTAACCTCTCTCTCTCCCCAGGGATGATAGTTCTGCTCTTCACATGCACCTGCCACAGCAGGGGCTGCTGAGTAAATCTTATTCACAGGGGTCTTCAGGCAGACCCAGTGCTTTTCTGCTATGCCTAAACCAGTTCAGGTCTTGGGTTTGGGCACTGTATCTTCCTGCACTTTCTGCAGGCAAGAATTTGCAACTTGCCTATACCTAGCCACATTTTTGAGTAGCACTTGTCAGTGACCTTTCCTTGTGTTTCTACAGTGTTTCAAGCTTTTTGTCATAATTCCACATCCATGTCCATATCACTTAATCCTTACACAACCTTGGTAGTCATCATACCCACTTAACTGATGAGGAAACTGAGAAATGATGCCTTACTTTAGACTTCTGAATTTCTGATTTTGTGCTCACTCCACTGCCCTGGGCCACCACGTAAAGTATTCTGTCTTTATTATTCTTATATGGAGACAACTTTCTGTGAGGTGTTAATCCCCCTACTACTCTGCCCTCACTGAGATCCTGGGCTGCAAGCAAACCTTCCAGGATACACAGTTCCCTTGATAGGACTGCTCCCCTTTGTTTCTCCCTTGATACCCCTCCACTGCCAGCCTCTGATCCTGTTTAATGCTTGCATGACACGTCCTTCCCCTGAATATTTCCTGTTGCTTAAATGAGCCTCATGGATTGGAGGAACTGAGTAGGAAATAGACAGCACTTATTGAGAATATACTATGCCTCATATACTGCTAGGCAGTAAAGGTGCCGTAAAAAATTCACAGCTGTTTCCTTTGCCACTAAGGAGTTTACAAGAGAAAGATGGTCCCTTCCTTCTTATTTCTTTTCCTGCTTTCCTCTCTTAGATGTCCTTCCTAAATGACTCAAGTCCCAGGCCCAAAAGACTTTGGCTTTAAACCAAAAGAAAGAACCATGCATCACGGGTGCCTCAGACTTTATCTCTCTGACATTTGCTGGGGCACCTGTTCTGAGTTGTGGCTCTGGCTCGGAGTAGCTCTGGGGACAATTGGATCAAAAAGGCTGCTGATATCAGCCATGCCCACGGGTCTTCTTTGGAATCATCTGTCTTGGCTAAGGTCCTGATTGCTGTGAGCATCCAGGGAGGCATTGGAGGAATCACATTTCCTTCCTGAGCTCTCAATATCCAGTCTTCCCTCAGGGACCCCAAATGACCCCATCACCCATGAACAGAGATCTTTCTTCAGGAAATTGCTTTCTATTTCCAGCCTCCACACCTCACAGCATAGCATATTTTCCACATGTCAAGTTAAATACGCTATTGTCTATCCTGATTTTTCTCTTTCTCTCTGGGACCAAGGCAGGAAGTAGCTTGAGCTCAGGACTTTCTCAAGCTGGGAGCCACATGGCAGTTTCATGGACTTCTCATCCTTCTTCATTAGCAGTCTTTTCTCCTCTCCCCTTACCTTTGATCCCTTGAATTCTTCATCTCTGAATTGTCTGCAGTTCTGGACATCTTGATGTGGCTTCTGTGTACAGAACTTACCCACTGTTCCATACGTTTTGTCCCAGGTGACTATCTGGAGAGCTGTGTGGAAAAGGAATTTGAAGTCTTGGCAGGTCCATTGTTGAGGTCTGCCATGCCCATGACAAGGAAGAGTGGTTGCAGGATTAAGGGGCCGCAGATCTATCTGCCATCTGTGCTCAGGGGTAAAGGGGGAGTGCAGAGCCACATGGCCACAAGTCTCTAATCTGCAGCTACATGGATGGCAGACAGGAACTTTAATAGATGGAAGTTTTGGAAATTGCCGATCTTCAATTGCATCTATATCCTAGAATTTTAAAATTTGACCTCGGGTATATTGAATTGGATTAATCATAATTATTTTCATTATGTACTATTAGGATTGGCCCTCTTTTATTAAAAAATGTAATAAACACTTGTGAACCTATAGCTCAAACTAAGCATCATATATTACTAGTAACTTACATCTACCCATGTGCTCCTTCCATCTCCCATCTATCTTCCTCTTGTACACCACAGAGGTGACCATGATTCTAAAGGTTGTGATTATTATTATCTTGTTCATTTTTCAAAAGTTTTAATCATACATAATACCTTTACCCAAAATTGTTTGGTTTTACTTGTGCTGAACATTATAAAAACTGTCTTACTGGATATTGTCTTCTGGGACTTTTTTTTCACAGTATGCTTTAATATGTTACTTTGTGTATCTGTATAATATTCCAGTGTGTGAAATATCCTCATTTTATTTGTTCATTCTGCTGTTGGGTCTTTGGGTAGGTGGCTGTCCACATTTACAAGATAATGCCAAATTATCTTTCAAAGCATTTGTTGTTTTTTGTTTTTTTTGAGACGGAGTCTCGCTCTGTCGCCCAGGCTGGAGTACAGTGGCGCGATCTCGGCTCACTGCAAGCTCTGCCTCCCGGGTTCATGCCATTCTGCCTCAGCCTCCCAAGTAGCCGGGACTACAGGTGCCTGCCACCATCAAAGCATTTGTATCATTTTACACTCCTCCTGGTAATGTATAAAATATCTACATTAAACCATATTCTCTTGAACACTGAGTATTGTCAGACTTCTTATTTTTCCAACTGAATGAATTCTCATGGTCTTTATTTTTCATTTTCCTGTTTGCTATCAAGGCTTAGCATTTCTTCATATGTTACTAGCTATAAGTGTTTAATTATCTGTGAAAATACCTGACTGTGGCCGGGTGTGGCGGCTCATGACTGTGATCCCAGCTCTTTGGGAGGCCGAGGTGGGTGGATCACCTGAGGTCAGGAGTTCAAGATCAGCCTGACCAACATGAAGAAACCCTGTCTCTACTAAAAATACAAAATTAGCCGGGCGTGGTGGCGGGCACCTGTAATCCCAGCTACTTGGGAGGCTGAGGCAGGAGAATTGCTTGAACCCAGGAGGCGGAAGTTGCAGTCAGCCAAGATCGCGCCATTGCACTCCAGCCTGGGCAACAAGAGCAAGACTCTGTCTCAAAAAAAAAAAAAAAAAAAGAAAAGGAAATACCTGATCGTGACTGCTGCTGATTTTTCTATTGCATTGTTTGCATTTTAAAAAATAGTTTTCATAGGTGCTGTTTATAGATTCTCGATATTAATATATTAATGTTTTGTTAGTCATTTATTTCTCAGATCTCTTATCTGGGTTTTACCTTGTCCTTTTTCTTTGAGACGTCTTTTGATGAATAAAAGTTTTTAATTTTAGTGAAGTCAAATGTATCAATCTTTTATTTTATTGCAGTAATTTTCTGCTCATTCTGCTTCATTTGTCAGAAAGACGCAAACACACACAGAAGGTTGATTTTGTGAAAAATATGAGATAAAGATGCAATTGCAATTCAATTTTTACACATGGAGAACCAAATTTTGCAGCTCCATGGAGTGAATTGTCCCTCCTTTCTCTTGTGCTGTTTCTTTTATACATTAAAGTTCCATGTATATGAAGATCTCTTTATGTGCTATTTTGGTTCATTGTTAATTTTTTCTAGTCCTGTTAGTAAGACAGAATGGCATTCTAGTTAACGCCATTCTGCCTTAATCATTACACATCTGTACTTAGTCTTTGTATCTGGTAGGGCAAATTCCTCCACTTCATTCTTCTTCAGAAGTGATGTGGTCTATTTTCTTTCAAATACACATTTCAAATGTACATTTTCAAATATACATTTCAAATATACATTTTCAAATATACATTTCAAATGTACATTTAGAGTCAATTTGTAGAGCCTCTTGAAAAAAAATTTTTTTTGAATGGAGTTGCATCAGATTTATAGGCCACTTTTAGAAAACATCAGCGTATTTCTAAGTATTAAAACTTCCTTTCTATAAATGTGTTATGTCTCTCCATGAAAGAGAGACTTGGAATTTGTAGTTTTCTGGGGACCCTGGAGTTATAGGGCACATGTTTAGACTAGTGCCAACTTCTCTCTTCTTCCCAGTCAGAGGTATATCCAGTATTAGAAAAAAACCTTGATGGACATTTAGTATGGTCAAAAAGTTTTCTTTTCTACTTGCAAGTGGGTTGTGAGAATTAAGAGAAAGTCATGTTTGTACAGGGTCTTCTAGTGCAGTGTTGGTCCAGGACAATGGGTCAATAATCAGAACAGAACTTTGTGTGGAGAAACAAGCCTTCCTGAGCTCAGGAATCAGACAGACCTGACTCTACATTCTTGCACCTGCCAATAGGAGAACTGGAGCAGAGACTTCACATCTCCCAACCTCAGTTTTAAATTGGGATAATGGGATAATAGTTCCCCCACATGCCTTTTTTTTTTTTTTTTTTTTGTGACGGAGTCTCTCTTTGTCGCCCAGGCTGGAGTGCAGTGGCGCGAGGCTCACTGCAAGCTCCGCCTCCCGGGTTCACGCCATTCTCCTATTCTCCTGCCTCAGCCTCCCGAGTAGCTGGGACCACAGGCGCCCGCCACCACGCCTGGCTAATTTTTTTTGTATTTTTAGTAGAGACGGGGTTTCACCGTGTTTGCCAGGATGGTCTCTATCTCCTGACCTCGTGATCCGCCCGCCTCGGCCTCCCAAAGTGCTGGGATTACAGGCGTGAGCCACCGTGCCTGGCCACTTTTAGGAGAGTTCCCTAAAGTCTGCAGTCAGTGTTTGATGCTTGGCACAAGCTCAATAAAGAGTGGTTACCTTTCATAAATCAAGACCAGGGCAGGACATTGAAGATCTTCCTTCCAGCTTCAGAACTGCAGAGTCTCACCACCTGCTCTGGCCCAGAGCAGAACTTAGAAGCTGACATCCTCATTTTCTCAGCGGATTTTCTGGCTTATATTCTAGTCACACACACAGGCTACATAAGATCTAAGTAGGTTTCTGGAAACCTTGAGGCCAAATTTAAAATGAGATTACCTCTGATGGGAAGAGCAGGAGCTTCAGACTCAGCTTTCCTCTTCTGCCCGGACCTTGTGTTTTTTTTTTCTGAATCCTTTAATGACCCCATTATGTTTGCCTGTCCCCGTGACCTACCCGGCCTGGGAGCAGACACATTGCTGGTGCCAGCCCTTTGGAGAGGGGCTGCCTTCAGGCATCAGCCACTTGAGGCGGTCTGTGGTGATGGCCCCAAGGACCCTGAAGTTTCCTTTCATTTTTAAAATTTCAACTTTTATTTTAGATACAGGGGGTACATGAGCAAGTTTGTTACATGGGAATATTGTGTGATGTTGCTCCCTCCCTCCCTCCCTTTCCAGTAGTCTGCAGTGTCTGTTGTTTCCATGTTTATGTCCATGTGTGCTCAGTGTTTGGCTCCCACTTATAAGCAAGAACATGCAGTATTTGGTTTTTAGTTTGAGTGTAAATTTGTCCAGGGTGAAGTTTTCTAATCCTGACTTCTGGGGAACCTGGGAATGGGGAACTGATCCAGCATCCCATACCTGCCTGCCTCATACCTCAACGCTCTTCCTTTACCTGTGCAGCTCTTTAAAGGTGAATCTGAGTCCTGAATGGGGACCCTGTGGGTTATCTGCTTGGTCAGAGAGGGGCAGCTCTTCTGAGGGCCTCAGAGGGATCTCAGGTTTTCCTGATAGACATGGGACCAATTAAAATAATGTTTCTGCTACACTCCAGTAAGCTCTGATATTTGAACTTGCAACTCTAAACCAAATTGGAGACAGACAATTTGGTCTGACATATCTGTTATTTATTTAACTTTCATCAAGTACATTAAAAAGTACAATAAAAGTAGGTGTTCCTAGGTTTCATTTGCTGTGTGAATTATATGTATGGTCTAGGCATGGTGGCATGTACCTCTAGTCCCAGCTACTCAGGATGCTGAGGTGGGAGGATCACTTGGGCCTGGGAGTTTGAGGCTGCAGAGAGCTATGATCACGCCACTGCATTCTAACCTGGGCAATGGCGTGAAACCTTGTCTCAAAAAAAAAAAAAAATTACATGTATAGAACAGTTTTAAGTTAAAGATCCTCCCTCCCTCCCTCCCTCCCTCCGTCTTTTCCTTCCTTCCTTCTCATGTGAGGATCACTGTGATGGGCATTTCATATAGTCATCCCCTTTAAGATTTACAGCAGCAGTGTGGGGCTAGCAATGGTTAACAACATAACTACATTTGTAGATGAGGGAACTGAATCTCAGAGGCTACAGTTTGAATTCAATCAGACAAGTGTAAAAGGTTCCTGACATATAGCGGGCACTCAGCAGGTATTACCCATTCCTGGGGTAGTACTTTAGAATTGACAGAGAACCTTGTTAGCTGGGCGGCCCTGAGGAAGATATTTAGTTAGCACTTATTAATATTTTGGAAGGTTGTTATGATAAATAGTTAATATACATGTGAAATGTGAAGACCAGTGCCTGGCACATAGTTTGTGCCCATTAAAGATTAGCTACAGTTGAAATAAGATGTAATAAATCATAATAGTAATTAATACAATTGTGATAATATAATGAACATTGGAATTATCAGTTCATTTTATTCATGTCTTGATCCATAAAACAGGGGTTACCCAAATGGAGAAGGTTAGATGAGGACTTAACAAAGTGTCAGGACCCAGATGAGTATTAACTCCTACTGCATTCTGTAGATTGTCCCATTTCTGTGGTCACTATTGGATAATGGCCGTGGGAAGCCTCCCTAAGAGCTGAGCTGTTTAAAGGTGATCCCTGGGTGCTGCCAGGGGATGTTGCTTGCGCTGGTAGAGCTGCTAGATTTCTCATCTTGCTCTTCTCTGGCCTATATTATCTTTCCTTTCTCTAGTTTTCTATCCTATGTCATCTCTACTGTTGTCCAGGAGACAGGAAAAGCCATTCCATGAGACTTCATCCCTATACCAAAGGCCTGTAAGCCTGACAGTCCAGTATTAGGGGCCTTTATTTTAGGGTTCTGTGGTTATTGGCATGTGTCTTGATTCTGAGGCTCGTAAAATGAAGGCGCTTGTTGGACTGCAAGGATGGCTGTGAGAAGCACTCAGATACTACTTCAAAATAACTTACCTCACTTTTAAAAAGCCTACAGTGTTGACTTATTTGTTCCCATATTGTACATGCGGAAATTGAAGCTTGGAAGAGTTAGATCACTTACCAAGAATACTACTTACTCATCCTATAAGTAAGGAGGCTGAAGTTTGACTCAGGTCTTTCTGAAGTCAAAACACAGTACAACTCTTACTACGTGTAAGTTAGATTATTTGGCTGTTTCCCACAGAGCTCTTGTGCTCTTCTCTTCTCCTCCCATCCTTTTTTCTCTCTCCACTTTAGCATTGCTATCTACTAATCTCATCTTCTGCTTTATCTAGTTTGCTATCAAATACACCTGATGAGTTCTTAATTTAATACAGCACATATTTGAGTTCCAAATGCCTTTTAAAACTTTTTTTGTAAGTTCTAGTTTCTGTGCCAGTTCTCCATTTTTTTTTTATCTTTTATTTTCTTCAACTTTTTAAAAAACTTTTGTGAGTACATAGTAGGTGTATGTATTTATGGGGTTCATGAGATGTTTTGATACAGGCATGCAATATATAATAATAGCATCTCATAAAGTGGGGTATCTATCCCCTCAGCCATTTATCCTTTGTGTTACAAACGATCCAAAATACTTTTTTTAAGCTATTTTTAAATGTACAATTAAATTATTGACTGTAGTCACCCTGCTATCAAATACTAAGTCTCATTCATGATTTCTGTTTTTTTTTTTTCTGTACCCATTAACCATCCGTACCTCCTTCCCCACCCTCTTACTACCCATCCCAACCTCTGGTAAACATCCTTCTACTCTCTATCTTCATGAGTTCAATTGTTTTAATTTCTAGATCCCATAAATAAGTGGGAACGTGTGATGTTTGCCCTTTCTGTGCCTGGCTTATTTCACTTACATAATGACCTCCAGTTCCATCCATTTTGTTGCAAATGACAGGATCTCATTCTTTTTTATGGCAGAATAGTGCTCCATTGTGCATAAGTACCACATTTTCTTGATCCATTTATCTGCTAATGGACACTTAGGTTGCTTCCAAATTTTGGCTATTGCAAACAGTGCTGCAATAAACTTGGGAGTGCAGTGGGATTGCTGGATCATATGGTAGCTTTTAGTTTTCTGAGGAACCATCAAACCGTTCTCTGTAGTGGGATGTACTCATTTACATTCCCACCAACAGTGTACAAGCATTTTCTCCACGTCCTCACCAGCATTTGTTATTGCGTGTCTTTTGGATATAAGTTATTTTAACTGGAGTGAGATGATATCTCATAGTTTTGATTTGCATTTCTCTGATGATCAGTGATGTTAAGCACCTTTTCATATGCCTGTTTATCATTTGTATGTCTTCTTTTGAGAAATATCTGTTCAAATCTTTTGCCCATTTTAATTGGATTATTAGACTTTTACCTATAGAGTTGTTTGAGTTCCTTATATATTATGGTTATTAATCCCTTGTCAGATGAGTAATTTGCAAATATTTTCTGCCATTATGTGGGTTGTCTCTTCATTTTGTTTATTGTTTCCTTTGCTGTGCAGAAGCTTTTTAATTTGATGTGATCTCATTGCTTCATTTTTGCTTTGGTTGCCTGTGCTTGCGGGGTATTACTCAGTGAATTTTTGCTCAGACCAAAGTCCTGGAGAGTTTCCCCAACGTTTTCTTGTAGTAGTTTCATAATTTGAGGTCATAGATTTTTAAGTCTTTAATCCATTTTGATTTGATTTTTGTATATAGCAAGAGATAGGAGTCAAGTTTCATTCTTCTGCATATGGATATCCCGCTTTCCTAGCACCATTTTGAAGAGACTGTATTTTCCCCCCAATGTATGTTCTTGTCACTTTTATTGAAAATGAGTTCATTGTAGGTGTGTGGATTTGTTTCTGGGTTCTCTATTCTGTTCCATTGGTCTGTGTGTCTGTTTTTATGCCAGTACCATGCTGTTTTGGTTACTATAGCTGTGTAGTATAATTTGAAGTCAAATAATGTGATTCCTCCAGTTTTATTCATTTTGCTTAGGATAGCTTTGGCTACTCTGGGTCTTTTGTGGTTCCATATAAATTTTAGCATTTCTTTTTCTATTTCTGTGAAGAATGTAATTGGTATTTTGATAGGAATTGCATTGAATTTGTACATTGCTTTGGGTAGTATAGCCATTTTAACAATATTGATTCTTCCAATCTACGAACATGGAAAGTCTTTCAATTTTTTGTCTTCTTCAATTTCTGTGTTTTACAGTTTTTCTTATATAAACCTTTTACTTCTTAAGTTAATTCCTAGGTATTTAAATTTATGTGTGGCTATTATAAATGGGATTACTTTTTAAATTTATTTTTCGTATTGTTCACTATTGACCTATAGAAACACTACTGATTTTTGTATGTTGATTTTGTATCCTGAAACTTTACTGAATTTGTTTATCAGTTTTAATAGCTTTTTGTGGAATCTTAAGGTTTATCATTAGCAAACAAAGATAATTTCACTTCTTCCTTTCCAATTTGGATGCCCTTTATACCTTTCTCTTTTCTGATTGCTCCAGCTAGGACTTCCAGTACTATGTTGAATAACAGTGGTAAAAGTGGGCATCCTTGTCATGTTCCAGATCTTAGAGGAAAGGCTGTTTTTTTTTCCATTCAGTATGATACTAGCTGTGGGTCTGTCATATATGCCTTTTATTATGTTGAGGTATGTTTCCTCTATACCAAGTTTTTTGAGAATTTTTTGATGAAGGGATGTTGAATTTTATCAAATACTTTTTTAGCATCAATTGAAATAATCATGTGGTTTTTGTTATTCATTCTGTTGATGTGATGTAACACATTAATTGATTTGATTCTTTAACATGTTAATGACAATTACTTTAAAGTCCTTGTTGCCACTCCAATGTATGGATTATCCATGAGTCCATTTCTACGATCTTTATTTCTTTGATTATTGATCAAATTTTCTCGCCTCTTCATATGTCTGATAATTTTTTTGTATGCTCGTCATTGCATATAAAATGTTATGGAGGTGCTAATATTATTTTCCACAAGAGAAGGCTCTCCATTTCCTCTATTAGGCAGATAGAATGAGGAAATAATTACCTCAATTCAATAAAAAATATGCACTCATATTTTATACATCAAGCAATGCCCACTGTCTCTTTGAAGTTTCCATAGCCAGGTAGCCTTCACTGCAATTTCTCTTATACTAATTAATTAAATAAGTACCTTCATTAGTATGCAGTTCTCTTGTTTACTTATAGAATTAAAACAAAGAGAGATAGCTAATAAATTGGAAAGTGACTTTCTTATGTAAACAGAGGACTAATCTGACCTTGGTTTCCATTTATGACAGGTGCCATCTGGAGAGCCCTCTAGGTGAGGTGCAGGCATTGATTAGGTGAGATGTGGGAGAAGTTAGTGCAAATCCACCTCTGGCCATCTGGATCCCCACAGGGAAACCCCATACAGCAATCAGCACCAAGAGCCATTCACAGGAGCAGCAGGGAGGATGAACCTCTAAAAATATTTAAGCAGTCCTTCTTTAGAGAGCCTCTCTGATGCTGGGGCCCTCTTAGAAAGCTAGCTCCCTGCTGTTCATGGACTTTCAGTAATTTACTAACATAGTGGAGATTTTCATCAGGGAGCCAAGACTTGGAAAAGATATCTGAATTGGAAAAAAGAGACGTATTTCCAGTCAAGAAGGTTTGATTTCTGGCTCCTTTAATCAATACAAGTAAAATCCAGTGGGAGAGGCTGCTTGTGCTAATTTGATTGTTATCTTTGGCCAGTTCACAATAAAACCCAATGGAATTGTTTGTGGGGGCTCCATGGTATTTTATACCTTGTTAAGCAAGGTATAAAAATTGCAGATGAGTTTCTCTCTATCCTGTAGCTGATACTGTTGTGCTGTTCTCCACATATTGTCCATATAATATGCCCCTTCTATTGGTCCACTGGGACCACAGTTTATGATTCAAAAACAAGTGCTGTTGCATTAGGTGGTCTCTGTCTCCTATGGCCATTGTAGAAGGATAGGGAAGAAAGAGTGGTGGTCTGTGGCTAGCCCTGGATCTTACACCCACTAGAGAATGTGGAGCTGAAGCTGAGCTCCAAGAACCCAAGGGTAAAGGAGACAAGCACTAGAGACCTTGGCCCAGGAATGGAGGAAGGTCATGGCAGGGCAGCTCTGAGGAGGACAGTGTCCATGAACCCTTGGCCACTAGTATTCTCTAACACTCTGATGTCAGGCATGGCCTCAGTCCTGAGCCACATCCGTGGGTGGATTTTTGCCCCTCTCCTCACTCCAGATCTTCCACGCTTGTGTTGTAATTATTGGTTCCCTTGTTCTCATTCTCTCTCCATTTGTACTTGTTTGTTGATGACCTTGGCTTTATTCCCTGCATTTGGTGTTGATCCAGCCTCTTGTTAAATTTCCTTAGAGTACCAATGTAGTCCCATCAGGGCCCTAGATCTTCGTTCACCCCCTGCCCACCAGGACTCACACACAGAGCCTCTCCTGCTTTTCTTTGTGTCTCCTTTCGGCCTCAGTAAGCCTTTTACCTGAAGCTTGATATGTGCTCATCCCTAAACTGAATGCATGGGAGTAAGTAAAACAAAATTCCCACCGTTGAACAGCTAGTTAGACCTGAGGAGACAAAAGTTTCTCAATTTTTAACAAGATAGGACTGTATTTTAATTAAATACAGTGCTAAAGGGTGTGGGGCTAGAGAAGTCTGATGTGAAAAAAATTAATGCAATTTGAAGTGGGAAAAGCAGCAGATCTTGACTTGGGATATGTTTTCTGGTCCACTTTTGGACTTGGGCCAATGCCATCATCAGCTGGTAAGGTATGTGGCAAACAGCAATGGCAAAAGGCAAAATGATAACAAAATTGTAGAAAGGTGCCAACCCACACATGCCAGAATGGTGATAGCCAACACTCTCTAATGTAGGCAGCTTAGTCTGAACAATATTGTATACTTGATCTCATCTAAGAGTTAATATCTAAGTTCATTCGTACTACTGCTAATATTAGCACAATTATGATTCAGAAACCAGAGTTGACATTGATATTCAATATAATATACATGTTCTTGGAAAAAGAGCTTCCAGTTTAATCCACATTGAGGTTTTGTGGTTTCTCAGTGGAGTTTCCATGGGTCCCACGGTGTTAATAAGAATATGATATTTATGAGCAGATGAATAAACTGACCTATGGCTTTAAATCAAATTAGACATTTTTGCATGTGCAAGATACTTTGTTTAATTCTGAAAAAGAAATTGCAAGAAAAGTACTTGTGGCCACAGATTTTATAATAATCTTCCTCCCACAAATCTAAAATAATCTTATGAAAAATTCAAAGCCTGGGTTCTAAAACACCTACCAGGCTTTCTTTAGGATGTGACTCCTCTAGCAGGGAAGCCTTTCCTTAGTCCATATGCAAATGTTCATGGAGGCAGTTGGTCTCCACAGCCTCCTTCAAATCCCTTGGAACCTCTCCAGGCACCTTGGAATCCACGCTTAATCTCTCTGGCTGGCTGCATAGTGCTTTATCATGCTTTCCCCATGTCACTGCTCCCTAAATAAGATCCACAGCACGCTGGTATTTCCTAGTCAAGCATGGCTGTCTTTCCTGTCTCCTGAGTTTCTGTTCCACACCTGTTACCAGCTGTGTGATATTTGCTATGACATTTACTTTTGGTGCCTCAGTTTTCCCATTTGTCAAATTAAAACATTCCTCACTACGATTGAGAGTATTGCAAGGGTTATATATAAGTGTTTTTATAAGTGCAGTGTCTGGTTTATTATTGGTACTCAGTAAATAGTAGCTCTATCAATAGTAGCTCTAATGATTAGGATGAAATGAGGGAGGCGCTTAGCTGCAAAATTTAAGGAGGCACCAAAAGAAACCACTCTAATATCAGAATAAATATTTAATGCAATATTTTAGAAAATAAAGATTAATGCAAAAATCCATGATAAACAAATGTCAAGATTTCAAATAAATACAAGATTAGCGTTACTGATTTTTCCTTTTGCCTCAGGCTGTAATAGACAGTAGCATGTCACTGAGGGTGATGAATAACTACACATTCATGCCTATTTCTGACCCACCGAGAAGTTCCTTTTCCCTCTGTCACTTACTAGGGATATGAAAATGAGATGGAATGGGGTGGGAGACTGTCCATCTTGCAGAGATGGTTTCACTAAGCTGTTGGGCTTGCTGAGGAAATAGCACTCAGAAAGCCCTGCATGTGTCCAGAAGCAGACAGATCTGAGTTGAGACTGAATAACTAACTGGTGTGAGCCCAGGCCAAGGCCTGATTAGATGGTGTGGAAACAGGGCCTGGGGGTCAGGAGAGGCAGGTGTGCTGGCAGCTGGTGTGGTTAGCACAGGCATGAGGGGTGCCAATGGGAGCTGCTGGCCAGGGCTGCATTTCGACGGGGCAGCCTTTCCCCTTCCCCCATCCTGTCCCCTTTTCGTTTTGGGTTTATGGTAATCCAATTACAGGAATGGATTTGAGTCCCATGAAATATGAATTTAATTCATTCATCTGTGCTTCCAGCAGTTTTGAAAAGGAGAAAAGGAAGATGGTTTAAATAATGCTGGGGATTCCATCCACCATCCCACTCAGAGTGAGCTTGCAAGGCGGCGGTGGGAGGCTCGGTCTGGCTCTCCTCTCCGTGGGTCTCAGTTCCCACATACCTACTACAGTGTGAGAACCTTGCAAAGCTAAGTACGCTCCTTGTGTTTGTTACTTGTGTGTGCATACTGAGACTGTACATCATGTTAACTTTATGTGAGCCCCTTCCTCTGGCATTCAGCAGAGAACCACTGACCTTGTCCGGTGGTGGAGGAGAGATGTTGGCTGATTCTGTATGTACCTTCTGGGCAATCTAAGGGATTTCCTGGAGGTAACTTGAACTATCCATGATTTTCACAGCACGTGCTGATCTAGAACTAGCCTTTAGATTTGCTGTTTTATGCATCCATCTACTCATCTAACTGCCAACAGTTATTGAGTGAAGAGTCTTGGTTCAATACTGTGCCAGCTGCAGTGATGCCAAGTCTAGTAAGATGTAGCACCAGCTGCAGGAGTTCATATTCCAGGGGGAATAACCACACATGAATGCCTGATTTCAGAGTGAGTAGTGTTGGGAGCATGGTTCTGGGAGGTGATGACATCTCTTCTTTCCTAAGTCTTTGAATGTGTCCCATGAGTGTCCTGTGCTTCCTCAAGGGAATAGCTGTGAGCTGCCTGATTGCCCTAGGCCATTGCATGGCCTGTGTGACCATGCTTCTGGCATCATTGCCCCTGGTATCATTGCCCCTGGCATCCTTTTCTCTTTGCCCAGTATTCCAAGGCTCAGGTCGCCTCTGCTCCTGCAGCCTGCCTTACTTCTTCAGCCTGCTGTGAACACCTTCCATACTGGGCTGAGTAAGGAGGCTGTAGCCTGGTAGGTGAGACAAGCCCAAGAAAGCAGGAGCCATGCTGCTTGTGCAGGGCCTGGGACGCTATGTGGGAGACAGGCAGCTGTTCTTGCAATGTGTGGGGGTCCTCCGGGGCCCAGTTCCCGCCATTTGGCCAGCTCTCCACAGCACCTGCTGTCTGCTTTATTCTACTCTGCCTGGATCAGAGCCAATGCTTTGCCTCCATCAGGGCTTCCAGAGTTTCAAAGTTAACAGAATTTTCCTAATACGAACAATCAGAGTATTACAATTTGACTCCAGAAGGCCATCAAAGAGTCAGTTATGTTACTTGCCCAGCACATGTTTCCAGTGATGGCAAAGACGGAGCTGGCTGTGTTTGTGCCCAGTTACTGGCTTGATTGTTGGAAGCTGCATTCTCTATTATGCTAACACATCAGAGAAACATGGATGATACCATCAGTCCCCCTAGAAGTTGATCCAAATAGCATTTGTTTTGCAGACTTTCTCAAATATTTAGATGTTTGGAATACAAAGACTTTTTAAATGTAATTTTTTGGCCTCATGCACACAGAAGCCTTGTTGACTTTATTTTTGCATCAATGTAAATGTTTTCCTTTTACTAATATTTAACTAATGTGCAGTGTTACAGATAGCTAAATAAATAATAAACATGGAATGGACTTGTCTTGGACAAATTTTGGCTGTGACATTGAAGAAAGATTTCTTTCTCCTTAATGTTCATAGGAGGAATATTTCCTATCTATTGTACTTATCCAGCCATGCTATTTTCTGTTCTTTCCTGAAGCCCCATTTTCTGATTCCAAGTGTCGATCTTTAAAACTGACCTTGGTAAGTCATTGCCTGCTTTGAATAGATTTCCTTCTTTATTCCTGTTTATTGTGCAAGTAATTCATGGGCATTTTACAAAAAAAATTAGATAGTTCAGATAAACAAATTCAGAAAAGAATTTAAAATCACCAATAATCTCTTCACCCAGAAATAATGAATGTGAGTGTTTTATTTGGTATTAATCTGTTCAGATATATTTATTTGCTATTTATTCAATAAATATTTATTGAATTCCTATTTTGTACTCAATACATGGAATCATCCTATCCATATTCTCTGAGACCTGCTCATTTCTTCTAGATGTGTGTATTTTTCCAAGTCAATAAATTTATGTTTACATTGTCTTTTAAAGTGTTTTTCAGTTGTAAGTTTATATTGGCATGTCTTATTTTTAAGTTTCTGTTGTTATAAATTTTTGTTGTTATAAAAATTGCTGCAACAAAAAAGTTCTTGTAAATATTTCTTTGCATGCTTATCTGATCAGTTTGGAAAGATTTTCATATGTATTTATTTCCAAACTACAAAAGAAGCTGTAGCATCCACTTGTATTGCTCCCACAAAAGTGCATCAGCACTCATGAGTCACTAATAATGAAATTGCTGTCTCGGCAATGGGTCTTCACCCACGCTGTTGCCCTTGTCCAGACGTTGCTTCATGAGGCTCACATTTGATTGTCCTTCAGTTTCAATTTAAATGTGACATTCTGAGAATGTCTTTCCTGGCCTTCCCTCAGACTAGGTGTGTATTATTACTGTTGCCACCCACAGTCATCCATAACACCTACACTTCTGTTCTATTAAGATTACTGAACACAAGGATCCTGTATCTTTGGCTTATTACCGTCTTTCCAGCCTATTTGCATGGTATTTGGCCCGTAAATATTTGTTGAATGAATAAAAGTAACTGTTTGCGGTAGGAAACTTATGCTTGTCTTTTATTTTCATTTCTATCTTTTGGGAGATTTCTGTACCCTGCCATGAACTAGGAGGTGTTGGTTTTATTCTTTGTGTTGGTGTGAAGACTCTTTCTGTCATAAATAAGATGAGAAAATATTGACTCATGTAACTGAAAATTCCAGAGGTAGAGCTGGCTTTAGACATGGCTGCATTTGTGTGTTCCATGTTCCCAGAAATTCGTCTTTCCATTTCTAGGGCTGGCCTGCCTTGTTGTCTGGCAGGCGCTCCTCTCTGATCAGAGGAATGGCCCATATTTACATCTTGCTCTTTCCTGATAATTTCCAGGTTTACATCTTGCTCTTTCCTGATAATTCCATCAAACATCCTAGGAAGGACTCTGAATGGCCTGACTAGGGTCACAGGCTCCTCCATGAACCTCCTGCTGTGTCCAGGGTTATGATGTCCTCTGGACACTGCATCCCACAGGAGACCAGAAGGAAAGAGAGGAAGACTAAATTGATTACTCCCACCATCCACTGCACTCCCCAACTGTTGTGAGGTCTTCAGCATGCTAGACTTCCTGGAGCTTTGCTTTGTTGTTGATGATGATGTTCATGTAGAAAATTTGAAAAGCAACACTGGCTTCATTGTTGTGAGGACCCAGTGGAATAATGGATATGAAATTACTTTGTCAATTATAAAACAACTTTAAACAAGAAGGGCCCTTTTATATTCTAGATCTGGTAGTCCCTTTGTCTTTGTGCTTCAGATGCACCTGAATGGCCTGTGTGTTCTGGGGGTTACAGTGAGCATCAGTAGAGGGGTGGAATCTGAGCTGGGGCAGACGGCGGTCCTCCCAACCACCTGCAAAGGGGCATGTCACCATGGTCAGAGGATAAACAGGTTGCTGGCCTCAGCAGGCAGGTTGCTTCCACAGGCCCTCCTGGAAAGACCCAGGGACCCACCCCAGAGGGCTCTGAGCTTGAGCCATGGTGCTGTTAACCTAGAAGCCTGGTTAGGGAGCAATGTTTTCAGGAGTCTATAATCCTTGACTGGCATTTTGTCTACATAATGACAAGTATTGTGGTATCAGAGTTAGGCCTGTCACACCTCCTCTGCTGGAGTTTTGGTGGATGTCTTGCTTTAGGAAGTGGTCTCAGCAGAGCCGAGGAGCCAGCAGCAAAGGGTAGGGGGAGGTGGCTATTCTCTTCCAGGACATGAAACCTTGAACTGCAGACCACCAGCTCTTCCAACTTCATTTTTCTCTACCGCAGATGACCATCCTGCCCACTATGTGCTATGTGACCAGACCAACTGCTGAATCTCTCTGAACCTCAGAATCCATTCTCTGTAAAACTATCCCAAATGTGCATTTTAAAATGAGAGAATACACAGATGCTACCTGGCCTAGTGCTTAGTAGTACATAGCATATACTTAATAAGGGGTTATCTCTCCCTGGCCTCATCCTTCTCACAACTCACCTCAGGGCTCTTTGGTTCTTGTGTCCTAACATAAGCCTGGTTCTTCCTACATGCTTTGACTGCTGGGCCCTTTTTCCTGGCTGCTGTGACCTTGCATGAGAGTTTTGTTGAGTTCTGGCAGGATGGGTAAGTGTCTGGCAGGGGTCGGGGGGGATTGAATTGCTGACACCAGGGTCCCAGTGACAGGCAGTGGGTGTGGGGTGAGAGTGGGGCTGTGAGGGAAAGGACCCCAGATCTGGGGTGCCGAATGGTCCTAGTCAGGAAATTGAGACCAGGGAACCCTCTGGGAGACCTGAAGGCCATTGCAATACTTCACTGGAGAAAACCTGAGATTCTAATTGTGCTGGAGGTGTGCAGGAAACCCTGAAGAAGGCAAAGCTGACTGTGGCTGGAGGCTGACAAGGCTGGGCACTGCCTGAGTAAGGTGCACAAGGAAGATGGACGGGAGGGTGCTCTCTATGGTCCAGTGCGTGGTTGGCTCCTGCTTTCTCTCTGTGAGGCAGTACAGAGCGGGTCCAGAGTGAGTGCTCAAAAAGCACTTGCAAGGAGAATGCCAAGAGAAGGGAGGAAGGAAGGGAGAGGGAAACAGGTGATAGCAATTGAGTAAGAAGCTGTGTGTATGAAAGAAAGGGGAGGGAGCAGGGAGAGAAGAAATAAAGAATATTACTATGTGTATCAGTAAGGATGCTTTCACTGCAAGCAACAGAAAATTCAATAAAAACATGTATTTATCTTCCAGGACAGGCTGTCCAGAGCTTGGTGGCGATGCCGTCAAGGTCCCCAGCATTCTCTTCCTGCCTTCGACTCTTAGCCTGTGTATTTGCTGTGCCCCAGGGAGTCAGGACTGTTGTAGCAGCTCCAGATAATGCATCGATGTTGCAGGGAAGAAGGGGCAAAGGGGACCCAAGGAAGAGGGATGACCAGCAAAATCTTTCCCAGACTCCCCAGTGGACTTCTCTTTCTAACTCATGGGCAGAACTGCATCTCATCGACTCTCCCAGCTGCAAGGAAGGAGAGTCATTAGGTTTTGCAGCCTCCACAGTGAGGCAGGCAAATAGGAAGGGTTGGAAATGTGTAGAAGGTGAGCTAGAGCAAGTTCCATAGATCCTGCTGGGTAAGCCTGGGTGCCTGAGGCATGGAAGGTTGAATTAACACAGTGAGGAAGGTCAGAAAGCAGGAGGGACTTTAGAGGGAAACTGATGAGCCTGAAATTTCAAGGTGTATCTGAATAGAAACAGCAGTGGTGCTGGAAATGCAGCTTGGAGGTATGGCTGGACACAGAGACATGAGTGGCTGTTACAACTATGGATGATAGCAGCTTTAGGGGGAAGAGGGCTGTCTTGGCCCAGGCAGCAGGAGGGAGCCAGAGGAAGTGTCAGCATCATGGAGGCCAAGGGAGGAGGGCCTGCTCAATGGATGGATGAGCCAAGGAGCAGCTATAGGGAGAGACAGCCAGGAGAGCATCATCCACCAAGGAGGATGTGGTGGGGTCACAGAACCAGTAGGAAAACCAGGTCTCTTCAGGCAAACAGTTATCATGTACTTTCTGTACACCAGGAATTAATCCCAGAAACATGCCAGAGAGCCTTGTTGGGAATCCATGAATCTAATTGTGAGTGAGAGAAAGCCCATATGGGCCTGAAGCTCTGGAGCCTAGGGCTGGGGGTGAAGTCTGCAGGCTGTGCTGCCCTGTCCCAGCCACATGTGGTGACAGCAGAGCTTGGCATGGAGAGAAGGCCTAGCTACTTGTTCCGGCTCTTTGTTTTGGCTCACAAGGATCCGGAGTTTGTCGCTGGAAGTGTGGGAATAGAAAGCAGTGCGTGGAGACAGGGACACATGTGGGTGATATGGAAATAAGGCCGTTTGGGTGCCAAATATTGAAATATCTCTTTTCTGAGGCTTTTTCAATCCAAATATATAAACTGCATATATGAACACACAATGCTACATCACAGAAAATCCAGTGCTTAGATCTCAAGTTTTAATTTAAGAAAATCAAATTGCAAAACCCTAAAAATAATCAGAAACATAAATAGCAAAGAAGGCCTGTCATAATCACCAAACTAAAAACCATAACTAAAAAAAAAATAAGATGCTGTAGAAATGTACTAGTTGAATATATAAGCTGACTCCTCCAGATGTCACTAGCCAGCGTTAGAGGTGGGGGCAGCCTCCACCTCTTGAATGCCCACATCACTGTAGTTTAAGCCTTCTTTTAACTGAAGGTCAGAGCTCAGCCCTGTGTCACATCTTCCTCCCCAGGTATTTCTGCAACTCCCCAGGGAATCTGGACATTACACCAACTATGTAAGTCATCCCTTGTTCCCTTTGTTCTGGCTTCTTTCTGAACAGAAAGCTACTTCCTTCTGACTACTATTGTATTCCTTGATGCCATTTTCCAATTCCATAGCCAAGAGGACCTCAGGTCTGTTGCTGACCTATTGGTCTGCCATTGTCAGGGGTGGCACTGAGACTAGGTCAGTGTTGCCCTTTGGGGAACCTTGAGTTAGAGAAGTAATGTCGAGAGCCTGTGATGGCAGGGAGGATGCAATTTTGTTTTATTTTATTTTATTTATCTATTTATTTTTCAGACAGAGCCTCACTCTGTCACCCAGGCTGCAGTGCAGTGGTACTATTTTGCCTCACAGCAACCTCTACCTCCCGGGTTCAAGTATGCCTCAGACTCTCCAGAAGCTGGAGAGTACAGGTGCATGCTACCATGCCTGGCAAATTTTTGTGTTTTTAGTAGAGACGGAGTTTCACTATGTTGGCCAGGCTGGTCTCAAACTCCTAGTCTTAAATAATCCACCCACCTTGGCCTCCAAAATTGTTGAGATTACAGGCATGGGACACTGTACCCAGCCAGGATGCAATTTTAAATAGGGGGTTCGAGCTCAGTAAGAAGGGCATGTTGAACAAAGACAGAAGAAGATGAGCAAGTGGGCCAAGGGTGTGAGGGAAGGAGAGTCCCACAAACAGAAGAGCAAGTATAAAGGTCCACAGTAGGGCCTGTGCCCAGCGTGTCTGAGGAACTGCAGGGAGGCCCATATGGCTGGAGAAGAGTGAGGAATAGGGAGAGGAGCAGGGATGGGGTCAGAGACAGGATGAGATGGCAGAGTGTGCAGGAGGATGGGAGTGATCAGTCAGAGTTTTGTGGCCATCGTAAGAACTTTGGATTTTTCTCTGAAATGGGAGTGATTGTAGGATTTTGAGTAAAGGAGGGACTTGATCTGACTTAGATATGAAATGAGATCTTTGGCTCCTCTGTGTCAAGAACTGTGAAAGTTCTGCTTACAAGCTAACAGCCTGCTGCAGTTTCACAGATGCTAGCAGAGACACGGGGCTCCTGGTCAGAGACAAAGGACTTTGTGACCACAACACAGCAGACAGCGTGAGCCTCTTATTCACATCCATCCCCCTTGCTCCGTGAGTCCCATAGGGGTGGTTTGGAGCAGCCCTGTGGGTCTGTGTCATAGCTGAGGAACTCTGATCTTAGGAAACCCCTACTCTTACAAGGGACTACTAGCAAATCTGCCCTAACTTTGCCCTGGAGTAAGTCAATATCTTTATTATCCTGCTCAGGAAACAATCAGATCTCTGTCCAGGAAGAGTACACAGAGTATACCCCTAGGCATTTGTGTGTAAACATCCTTGACAAGACAGTCCAGGACAAATGCCATGGAGAACTGTCCCCCAACACTATGATGATGATACAGTAGGAGAAGGAGGGAAGTAGGAGGTTGTTGCTGTCACCTGAGAGAGAGAGATGACAGTGCTTGGATGAGGGTCACAGGAGTAGGAGTATTGCAAAACAAAAGCCAGAATCTGGGTGTACACTGGAGGTTGGTCAACAGGATTTCCTGACAGATTGGATAAGGAGTGTGAGAGAAGAAAAAAGCAAGAAGGACTGCAAGGTTTGGGGCCTGAGAAACAGAAGAATGGGATTTCTGTCAACCTAGTTGGAGGAACATCATGGGAGGAACAGATTTGGGTGGAAAGATCAATAGTTCTGGACATGATGAGTTTGATTTACCTGTTTATTTGAATGGCTCAGAAGCAAGACTGTGGAAGCTGGGCCTAGGGCCCGATGATCAGGCCTGTCTGCCTAGAGCAGTTGCTCTTGTGATTATGGCAGACTGTTCTGGTCAGGGCGGGAAGGACTCCCGGAAAAAGCAGGCTGTCAGCCTCTGCTCCACCTTTCTGACCACTTTCCCTCCTATGCCATTGTAATTGACTTTCTCTTTAAGTTTCCCAGTTGGTACCTGCTCAGGAACATTGGCCAGTATCTGCCCTAGGCTAGGCCGTTCTGGGACACAAAGCTGAGAAAGCCATGTCACTGCCCTGAAGAGTGCAGCCTCAGCCCAGAAGGGCAGCCAGATAAGCAGTCTGTAGTCACTTTATAGGAGGACTTAGACTGTTACACAGGTGCAGAAATGGACAGGCCTCCCTAGACAGGGTAGTGGCATGTGCAGAGGCATGGCTGTGGGGTGGGTGGGAGATGAAAGCTTGGACCTTTTAAGAGCTCTAGGAGCTGAAGCTTACTGTGGCAAAGGAGGTTGGCAAGAAATGAGGAGAGCTGAGACTGGCTTGGAATCCCTCAGTCTGCCAGGCCAAGAAATCTGGCAAACCAGTGATTTTCAAACTGTGACTTAAGACCTATGGAGTGGTTATACATTCAATTTAATAGGATAGAAGCAAAATTTTAGAAAACATCTGACGTGCTAGGATAGGAATAGAATAGAATACGAATTGACCCTTGAATAACATGGATTTGAACAGTGAGCATCCATTCATATGAAATTTTTTTTCAATGAATATATTAGAATATTTTTTGAAGATTTGTGACAATTTGAAAAAACTCACAGGCTGGGCATGGTGGCTCACACCTGTAATCCCAGGACTTTGGGAGGCCGAGGCGGGCGGATCATGAGGTCAGGAGATGGAGACCATTCTGGCCAACATGGTGAAACCCCGTCTCTGCTAAAAATACAAAAATTAGCTGGGTGTGGTGGCATGTGCCTGTAGCCCCAGCTACTCAAGAGGCTGAGGCAGGAGAATCGCTTGAACCTCAGAGGCGCAGTTTGCAGTGAGCCGAGATCATACTACTGCACTCCAGCCTGGTGACAGAGTGAGACTCTGAAAAAAAAAAAAAAAAAAAAAGAAACAAACAAAAAAACCTCACAGGTGAACCATGATGGATGCATAAAGTATATACATTAATCAACTGTTTATGTTATCTGTAAGCTTCCAGTCAAAGTAGGCTATTAGTAGTTAAGTTTTAGGGGAGTCAAAAGTTACACACTGATTTTTAACTGCACAAGCGATGTCGGTGTCCCTAACTCTTGAGTTGTTCTAGAATCAACTGTAGGCTAGAATTGAATATCAGGGAGTACCACAGGCAGTTAGAGTGCTCTTTCATGAAAGCTGTCTTTCAGTTACATGCCTGTGGTGTGTCCTGGTCCCATGTAGTTGTGTGGCTCGCTGTGGATCTTGTTAAATGTCTGGAAGTCCTATTAGTGTGCTCTCAGCTGATGACATATGTGCTGGCTTGACCTCTCAGGTCTGGAGATGGCTTGAGCCTGGGCAGGTACTCTCCAGGCACAGCCTCCTGTTTCAGCTACTGTTCCATGCAGAGGTCGTTGTTTCCTATGCATGCTGTGATACAGGAAGGTTGGGAAGTGCTTGTCAGAAGGGTGGTCACTGAAGGGTTTTGAAAGCAAGGAGAATGGGTTGGATAGGCATAGCTACAGAGAGGGAAGCCTGGAAAAGGCTGGACCTGGATATAGGGATGCTGAGATAACACCTGCCACTGACCTTCCATGAGCATTGACTATGTGGTTTCAACATTGGTCCCACCAGCCCCATGCAAAGTTCCTTGGGGGCCTGAGCTGAGCCGAGTGCCCCTCCACCTCCAGGCACATGTGTAGGGCTGTGCATACAGTGGAACACAACTAGGCTCAAGGCACTGTGTGGGATTGAGTTGGGCAGCGGGGCCCATCAGCCTTTGGATGGTTGGGGTGGAGTGACTCCTTTCCAAGAGGAGGGGAGGGAGATGACATTCTAGAGGCAACAAAGTGGAAGGAGACCTGGAGTAAGATTGTCTTCATTTTAGAGCCTCCCGCACAAGCAAAAGCTGGCCACAGGCCTGACGCAGGCCTTTGCTTCTACCTGCAAATGTGTAGGCCAGTGTCCTGAGGTTGGGCCATGCCAGGACCTGGGAGCGGCTTTATTGTCTCATCCTGAAGTATTTATGAGCACTCGGCCTATGCCAGAGATTATTTTTCCTAAATAACTCTGACAGTGGAGGAAGATATCATCTTGGTGCCTCTGCAGACAGACCAGTACAGTCTATTTTTGTTTCTAAAGAAGGAAGGAAGGAAGGAATGGAGGGCTTTGTTCTTTTGAGTCTGAGAAATGGAACAAAAATTATAAGGTACAACTTCAGGGCACCCCTTTTCTCCACATTTTAAAAGAAAAATATCTTTCTATCCTTACGTCTCATTGTAGTGGCTGAGCAATTGGCTGTGGTCGCTGTGTTTCTGTGTCTGGAAGATGCTTTCAATGTGACATTACGCTTCTATTCATATTTACTTAATGGTCAGATGAAAACCCACTTGCAGTTGTAATGTGATGCTTCTTTATATGAGTGCTCAGGCCTGGAGGGGAGACATTTTGCCATAACTCCAGCAGCAGCAATATTATAGCAGTCTCTGCTGGTAGAAGTCCTGCTTGAGCACGGGGGTTGGCTGTCATAAGAAACTTGTGCAGAAGCTAGGAAGGCATTGGATCTGAATAAGCCCAAGGCATGCCCTCTTCTAGGACTGCAGCCTGCTGCATAGGGCAGGGTGTACAGTCCTGTCTCCCTTGAGGGTCTCTGTGGGTAGTGGACTCTTTGTGCTTTGGTGGCTCTCTGAGGAGGAACATGGCAGGAAAAGGGTGGAAGAAAGTAGGTAGTCTGTGGGTTAGCTCAGTTTCAAGGCTGAGCTCCTGCTTACTGCAGTGTGACCTCCAGTGGGTCATTTCCATGTGCCTCTGGTGTTCTTCCTCTGCAGAGTAAGACAGTTTGTGTGTAAACAGCTGCATTTCCAAACGAGGGAGGGATCTTAGGGAATCATCCTCATTCATCTGCCCCAAGTCACTCAAGATAAGGAGATAAGCTAAGTAAACATTAAGTACTCATTGGTAGATACTGCATTGTAGGGGATGTTCAACTTATGTGTTCTCTAATGTTACTCATATTTTAAATACTTACTGATTTGATCCGCAGCACATCTTGCCTTCCCAGTTAATGGATTATTACATGTGTATGGGACCTTGACTCTGGGCATCTCTTCCCATTGCTTCAAGAGAGGGTCTAATCAGATGATCCTGGGAGTCTCCTCGGCTCTGAAGGTCTGGCTTCCTCTGCTTCAAACCACTCAGAGGAGTCTGCACTGGTCATGCAGGAGGGAGATAAACCCTCCTTGCTCCCCAAAGCCCCAATCCCATTATTATAAAAAAAGATGGTGTGACGGTTAATTTTATGTGTCCTCTTAACTGGGCCAATTTGCTCACATATTGTGTCAAACATCATTTTGAATGTTTTTGTGAGGTGTTGTTTAGATGTTATTAACACTTAAATCAGTAGACTTTGAGTAAAGCAGATTACCTTTCATAATGTGGGTGTGCCTCATCCAATCATTTGAAGGCCTGAATAGAATCAAGACTGACCTCCCCTGGGTAAGAAGGACTCCTGCCAGCCAGTGGCCTGTGAACTTCAACTGCAACCTGGGCTCTTCCCTGGGTCACCATAATCACCTGTTTCCTAAAATTAAATCTCTGTCTCCCTTTCTCTCTCACTCTTTTTCTCTGCACACATTTTATTGGTTCTGTTTCTCTGGAAAACCCAGACTAATACAGATGGCATAGTTGGGTATTTTTAAGAAATGTTTGTCAGACATATTTC
The DNA here is from genome assembly GCF_000001405.40 of Homo sapiens. Classification (NCBI taxonomy): domain Eukaryota; kingdom Metazoa; phylum Chordata; class Mammalia; order Primates; family Hominidae; genus Homo; species Homo sapiens. The sequence goes on from NC_000003.12 coordinate 140,019,600, forward strand.
CAGGCAAAGCTGATTTTGGCAGGAGTCACTGAAGAGTTTAAAGCAGAGGAAGGATATGATTGGGTTTGCACTTTAGAAAGGTTCTCGGAGGGTCAGATTGTGAGTAGGGAGACTGGGTTGAGGGGACCAGTGTACTTATCTGGGTGGGATGTGGCACATTTGGTGGTTGCAGTGGGCATGGAAAGGAGAGGCCAGAGTGGAAAGATACTTAGGCAAAATAACCTTAAAGGAATCAGGACCCAGTTCATGAGAGTCAGAGTGGGCTCACTTTCTGGCTTGGGTACCCAGGGGATGCTGGTGCCTGAGGGTGCAGATGAAGGCAATAGGTCGGGGAAGGTGATGAATGTTCTGTGGGGCATGTCAAATTGGGTGGAACCTCTGGGGCCTTCTGTGGGAGATGCCCAGGGAGCACAGATTTAGGAGATGGGAGCAACTAGTGTGATGGTGGTGAGGGCTGGTTGAAACCCTGGGGAGTATGTGGAGCTCATCTGTGTTTCCACAGAGCTTATCTCCCAGGAGATAGCCATCGGGAGTGCCTTGCCTGGCATGTTCCCCTGCTGAGGTCTGTTACCCAGGAGCCTGCAGACACAAAGAGCAGGCTGGTAATGCTGAGAAGCGAACATTCAGTACCTGTCACCAGAACCCAGCATGGGTGTTCAACACTATCTGGTGACTCTGTGAGAAGACCCTATGCTCAGGGGATGAAGTGTGTTGCTTGTGCAAGAGGGATGGAGAGAGAGTGTTTTCCAAGTATATGTGTGTGTGCATGTGTGTGTACCCAGGTGGAACCCTCCTGCATGCTCACATATGCCTTTATGAATACTGGAATCTCTAAACCTACCATCATGCATCTCGTCTTAGCTTCCTACCTCTCTCTTTCTACCCCTGCAACAGCCATGTTATTGCCAGTAACACATGAGAAGAGTGAGGGAGACCTGTCTGTAGACAAGCTCAGTGTGCTGCTAAGGAGGCAGGCAGCAGTTCTGTCCTCATGCGTTCCCATTGTGCCCTGTCCTGGGATGGCAAATGCAAGGCCAGACAGGCTCTGGGCTCTCTGGTCTGACCACTAATAGCATCTTCTCCTCCCGCTAGGCTGACCAGCCTCCAAGGCAGGACTCTGACACCAGGGTTATAAATGCATCTGTCTGGGCACATTATCTAAATTGTTATGTATCACCCTGGGTAATGGCAAAAGTAAAAACCGCTGTTAGCTCAGTGAATAAATCCTTGGTGCTGATCAATCATTGCACGACATAGACTCTTTTAATAGGCACAATTTACACAGAGGCTTGGCAGACTGCTTCGTCTTCTAATTGCCGATGGAAAATGGATGCCGATCTCTGCTGTGCCGTAAAAATGTAAACTATAAATGACTTAAAAACTTGTGTGCTCCCTTCTCCACCCAGCACTCATTTTAACCTTTTATTTAGAAACAAAACAAAGAAAAAAACTACTCTCTTGTGAGATAATAACTTTTACGATGTGGGACTTGATGCTCCTCCCACCTGATGCTCCAAATGCTTCCTCGAGCCAGGGTTTCCCCAGGTCTCCGTCCATGGGGGAAGCATCATTGCTAGCTACATAGACCATCCCCATCCTCCTAAGTGCCGTGATGTTATTACACACTCTTAAGTACTCTGAGTTACTGCCCCTTGTGCTCATTAATGCTTCTGTGGGCTGAAGGGATCTGGAGCTTCAAGAAGGGCTTCACTCCAGCACAGAGCCCTGGGAGAAGTGGATTCTAATGGCAGTTATGTGCCAGTGATGGACTGAAAGCAGAGCAGGACTGTCAACGTAGTCAACCCAATGGCGTGGCGTACCGGCAGCATTGCAGTGAGCCAGGCATGCATCATCCTATGTTTAGCTCCCAGACACCAGCAAGCCCTGTCCTGTTAGAAACTTCCCCTGTCAGAGTTAGAACCACCGGTGTGTACCTGGTATTCTGTGGTCTGGGTGGGTTGTGTGTGTTTATGAATGTGTCTCTGTATGCTGGGGTTGGTTTGTAATTTATGCTCCAGGAGCACCAAGGAAGTACACGTGACCACTCTGGGATGATGAGGGGAGCATCTGGAAGTACTCTCTTCTCAGGTCCAGAACTTTTACTCACCCACATGCCACTGCACTTGATATTCTACCCATAAGAGATCAATTTCTTTGGGGTTTAAGGCAAAAATACCCCCATTAAAATCCAGATGACAGGACTACCCTATAAGGCATTCTCCATTGTTAATACATTGGTTCACACAATAGTGGAGCCATTGAATGTTAACAATAAGATGATGCCATCCAACACACTCATTTTAGGGGTAAGAAGGACAAAGGCCAGAGTGGGTATATGACTTGCCGAGTCAGGCGGCAGACAGAACTGGGACCTGGGCACAGCTTTTCTGACAGGAAGTCACCTGGAAAGATGCTGAAGGCCAGGCTGTTTTGATGAAAAAAAATGGAAGCTTATGCTACGAACTCTGGGTCCTCCAGTGTGGAGGACTCACTGGGCAGCAGTGGGAATGGGGAGTGGCCTTGGCTGGGGGCAGCCTGGTTGCCCCAGAGGGCTCTGAAGGAGATGAGAGAAGCACAGAAGTGCTGGGGGCCTCAGCTGCTCTCTGCATGGTCCCTCCCTTTCCTGTGACTCTAGCTGGAGCCTGGCAGCTGGCTGGGGTGAGGAGGGAAGAAATACAGGCCACAGAGGGCCTGAGCCATCCCTGCGTATAGATGAGAGTCACTGAGAGTGACTGAGAGAGAACACTCCTGCCACCAGGCAGGTGCTGGGACAAGTTCACATGCGATGTGCAAGTAAGGGTTTGCAGAAGAGCAATGAGCCTGGGTCTGGAGATGGAGGCAAGCTGCCCAGGAGAGGGGTCCACTGAACCAAGGAATAGGGAGAGCTGCGTGTGAGAGGCCCAGACAGCACAAATGCTGTGAGGCTGAACCAGGCCAGGAGACTGGGCGCTGCAGGAGGGACGGCTGCACAATGAGCCAGCAAGGGCTGTTTGGTAAGGCTCCAGCCAGCCCTGCTGGAGGCAATGGGGAGGGCCAGGAAGGAGAGTGACCTAATTTCACCCATGGTGCTGCTGTGTGGAGAATGGGATGGAGGTGGGGGTGGTGGGCAAGTTTTATGTAATAGTGATAGACCCCCTTGCACAAGGAGACAGGTGCTGGTGTGACTTGTAGAATCTTAGGTAGTTTTATCCTTAATTCCTGTTTGGTCCCATGGGAGCTAAGGCATGAGCCTCTCCAGACAGGCCCAGAATCAGATGTTCTGAACAGGACATATGGAAAGGAGCAGATCCCTGAGTCCCTGTGCGAGCCCCTCCCAGGGGTAATGTCCTCAAGGTCCCAACCCTGCATCTCTAATATAGCAAAGGTGCTGATTGGGAGAAGAAAGTGAGGCAAAATTGGGAGGAAAGGGCTTCAACGTTCCTCTGCTCTTCTTTGGGAGCTGTGTGTTTTGGGAGCCCCTTAGCTTCCTGGCTTCACTGGTTATCCTGCCTGGCTCCTGGACACTGCCACTCACCCAAAACCAGTGGGTTCGTTTCACTGATCTCACCCCCAGGGAAAGGGTAACCAGGCCCAGGACAGTGAGAGGAGAGGTTGTCTTGCAGGTGGAAGTCACCTTCAGGGTAAGAGGCCATGTAGAGGGTGGCTGCTGCTGCATCCTGCCCTGTGTCATTGGAGGCTTAGACATGGGAGGCTGAGATAAGGAGCGCGCAAACCTCACAAAAACAGCTTAACTCCCACCACGATGTGCACCTGGAAACCTTGTGAGGCTTGTTATGTTTCTGCCTAAGTTATGGCCAAAACAGGGAGTCAGGGGGTAGAGTAGACAGAGGAGAACTCGCTCAACAGTTCAGAGTGAGGAGGACTGACAGACACACACATTGAGAGCAGATGGGAACCTCTGAAACACAGGAACGCACTTTCCTTGAGTTTGGGCCTGGACTGACCCTTGCTGTTCTGAGCCTGGTTCCCTATTTGTAAAACAAGAAAGCAGACTCCATTTGATGACCCTCCAAGGGGGGAGCTGCTCTGTGTCCCCAGCACACTGGGGCACCTCTACTGCCCCAGGAGGTGCTCAAGCTGAGCACCAGCCCCCTTCGTGTTGGCTGCAGGCCCAGGGGAGCTCCGAGCAGACTCCTTGTTTACCAAGAGGCTCTCCCTAGACATTGTGCCTCGCATTTTCACCTCCCCGCTTCGCTCACCCAGGCGCTGCTGCTTCTTGGCAGGAGTCTGGCTCTCAGGAAAAGTGCCCAGGCTGGAAGCACTGAGCCTGGGTGTGTCCTCCGTCTGGCACCAGGCTACGGGGCCAAACCACTGCAGGCCTCACTGCCTCCCTCTGCCCTGTCTCACAGTAGCAGGGAGGGCTCTTTGGGGGACTACAGTTGCTTCTAAGCAGTCAACAAGGAGGTTAAAGTTTCAGCCTCTGAAGCCAAACTGCTTGGGTGTGAACCCCGGCTCTGCTAATTGCATAATGTAGCCAATCTGGGTCTCAGTTACTTCTTCTGCAAAATGGGGGTGGATCATGTCACCAACTTTGTAGAATGGTGAGGACTCAATGCAAGAGTGTATGTAAAGACCTTACCACACTTCCTGAGGCATCTTTAGCCCTGATTAAATGCCAGCTGCTTCATGGTTATGACTAAAAAGATGTTATGAGTCTGAGTATGGAGGTGGCAGTGTTCCGCAGTGTGGGTGTCCTGCGGCATGGGTGCCCACCTTCTGCCTTTTCTTGTATCTGTTCCTCACACATGTGGGCGGCCTGGGAAGTGTGCTGCCTTCCCCAGGGAGCCCTGGACTGAGTCACAGGCAGGACCCACATCAGCTGCATGGCTGTTTTTTTGTTTTTGTTTTTGTTTTCTCAAGGAAGCAAGGTTTTCTTTTCCCTGGAGAGAACTAAGGGTGTTAAATGGGTTTTCTGCAGCCCCCTAGGCAGTCTCGGCCTGGCCTTGGTGTCAGCTAGTCGCAAACAACACCCTGCAGCTCAGGCTGCAGGCAGGAGCTGGGTACTCCTGCACCACACGCAGCTGGCTCTGACTGGCAGCTGGTTGTCAGAACAGGACTGTTAGTGTTGAGTCTCACGGTGGTTTGACTGATGGAGAACTTAGGAGAACTTAGGACTTAGGTGAAGGTCCAAATCTTGGCTTATAGCCTCAAGACAGTCAGACCTTTCCAACCTCTGTCTTGTCATTTATAAAATGGAGTGGTAATTCTTGTGTTGTAGGATTGTTTTGAGACTCAAATTACTGCAGATAAAGTACATGGCACATATTTTATGCTCAATAAATGGTAGTTGTGGCTACTTTTGTTAAATGAATGTATATAATGCCAGGGATTTGACTTTTTAGTGATAAATCTTAATAGTTATATACAAAGGTATTTGAACTAGACCAAGAATTTTGAGCTGGAAGAAACCATAGTCAAGTCCTTCCATTTTGCAGATGAGAAATTAAGCCCCATGGAGGGTTGGTAACTTGTCTAGGGTCTCCCTGGCCAGGAACCTTGCCATTTTTCAAATCCTTTCCCTTCAGCTCCCCATTTTTTGTTTGTAAGAACTTCAAAAGTGACCCCAGCATTGTTACCCAAGCAATTTTGTTTCTGTTTACTCTCTTGGATACATCAGAAATGTGCTCAGAAAAATTTTATTCCTGGGTGTGCTGACCCCAACTAAAGATGTGTACATCTAGTGGCAGGCCTTAAGAATACCTACAGAAATGATGGAAGTTCAGAAAGCTGATTCACTTTGTTCCAGGTGCAGCTTTGCAAGAGCAGAGTTCTGGGGGCTCTGGGCTCAGATCCTGACTCTGCAGCTTGTCCAGCTTTGTGACCTTCCACAAGTTGCTCATCCTGCCTGACCCTCAGCTTTCCGTCTGTAGAAAGGAAATCAAACAAAAATTAGGCCAACCATATGAGATTTTGGTTGTTGTTATTGTGGAGGTTATTTCAAATCTCCCCCTGCCTCCCAACCAATGCTCTTGTTGATGGGGTTGACAGATGATGAGGAGGGAGTTAAAATGTTCTTCACGAGCAAAGCAGGAAGAAGAGGAGAGAGAGAGATGACAGCTGCAGCCAAAGAGTTGTCCAAAGAAGATTTAAAAGAAGATTTTGGCATAACATATGACGCAGTCCTCTCCAAAATCTTCAGTGATATCTGTTTTGCTGAGTGTACTGCTCTACTGCATGAGGTTGGATTTGCTTTATGGGATGAGGATAGACTTGAGTCCTGTTTCAAGATGAACATGCGATGGAGACAGAAGCAGCTCACTGGGGCCATGTAATGAAATGATGTGGGCACTGGGCTGCGTGATAGTGGGAACTGAGCAAGTACCGCGCATGTGGAGTCAAGGGCTCTGTGGTTGCTGCTGCTGATAGTGAAGGTGATCCCTTGTTCCCTTCCCTCCTGACAGCCCAGACCCTGCTAGTTTCTGGAGATGGAGTGATGGGGAGCATTGGCAGGTCCATCTGCTCTCCAGGATCTCTCCTGGAGATTAAGCTCCTAACCCTACTTTCAGCATATTGATGAGTTCTGTTTGATGAATTCAAACCTCTGCACTTTAGTATTCTTGACATGAGGATATGTGGCTATGGAAAACATTGGAGTTGGGGACTATTAAAGTGTTTTCTGAAGTCAGGCCATGGACTGTAGATTTATAGGGAAGGATTTTGTTGGGGGGAAAGTGCCGAGAGCATAAAAGCCAACCATACCCAATATCTTTCCCAGACAGAAATGATATTTCAGTAAGTAAAATAAATAGTATATGGAAGTGCTTGCACATACATCACCAAGCCCTTTCTGTGCTGTGTGGGGTGTGTATGTGCTAAATGTGTCCCAAGGCTCAGGAAGCAGGAAAAAAACTAAATGGACAAAAAAGTTTGCCCTCACATAAAGTGCCATCTTTTCTCTGCTTCCTGTCTCTGTCATGAAATGCTTTGGGGTTTGAGAAACTGGATTGCTACTTGTTTCTTATTGGATTGATCACAGGGATGGGAGAAGGAGGGACTGGAGTCTACTCTTCAGAAGTTCCCGCCCCTCAGGGATCTTGGCCTCAGATGGCAAGGTGACCTTCCAGGCTGAATGGCTGACTGAGTGTGATATCTTCTCTGTCTTTTCATGGTCAGGAATGTCTTAGTCAAAGAACTGGCTCCTCATTTTACAAACAGGTATAAGAGGCCCATAGAAGGGAGGTGAGACCCCCTACTTCCTATCTCAGGGAACCCCCTTCCCATCTCAGAGGACTCCCTGGTCAGATTGACATTGCTGTTCCTGGGGTGGTCACTTTTCCTCTTGGCTGGATCGCAGGTCCCTGAGCCAAGGTGGGAGAGTGACTGCAGGAGCTCTGGCATGCAGCCTCTGCAGATCCATAGCCTTACCCCATGGAATGGAGCTCTGGGAATTATCGCCAATGGGAGCATAGATTAGACTTGGGGCTGGTGGTGAGATTTCTCTTTAAGCTGTGAATTTTAATAGAACTTTGAAAGACCTTTGATCATATCAGCCCTTCTTCTGAAATTGTCAGCCCAGGGCGTTCATCAGAGCAAAACTGATCTGGCAGGCCAAGTGGAGGGGCAGGAGAAATGGCTTTGCTTTAGATACTGCAGTGGGTTGGATTGAGTCTTCCTCAAATTCATGTCCACCCAGAACCTCAGAATATAGCCTTGTTTGGAAAGAGAACCTTTGCAGATGCAAATAGTTAAGATGAAGTCATACTGGATTAAGGTGGGTCCCAAATTCAATAACTGATGTCTTTATAAGAAGAGATGGCACACAGAGACACAAGGGAGAGGACCGTGTGAAGATGGAGGCAGCCCCAAACCAATGAATGCCAAGCTCCACCAGAAGCTAGAAGGGTCATCCCTTGGAACCTTCAGAGGGATCATAGCCTTGCTGACATTTTGATTTTAGACTTTTGGCCTCCACAGCCATTGGAGAATACATTTCTTTTGTTTCAAGCCTCCCAGTTTGTGGTAATTTGTTACTGCAGCCCATAAAAACTAATATAGACTCCATGATTCTCATTCCCCATCCTCAATCAGTGTGAAGGCATCATCCTGAGAACTGGAGTTCAGGTCTGCTGTCTGCTCATGAGTGAGCTTTGTGACCATTTAAGCCTTCAGACCCCAGTGTCATCCACAGTAAAGGAAGCCGCCACAGCTGATGCTTCTACTGACAAATCCCTGGGCTATAAAAATTTTGTTTCCGCAAAGATCTTTTAACCCAGAGGGGACAAAAGAGAAGGGATAGAGCAGGTAGCAGCTCACTCCGTGGTTGAGAGCAGAAGCTGTGGCATCATACCTGATTGGGGATACTGGTTTGCCACTGACTCGCTTGGTAACATTGGGGCCACTTACTTGCCCTCTCTGAGCAGTGGCTTCTTCATGTGTAAAGTGAAGCAATCCTATCACCCTCCCATGCATGCTGTGCAGAAGGTAATGATGTGTTCAGGAAGCTGGGGCTGTGCTTGGGTCAGAGCAGGTCAGGGAAAAGGTAGTTGCTGTTGTTCAGGAGGACTTTCCACATCCATGGGCTCTGCTGTCAACTAGGATGATGATCTCTAGGACTTCCTGGATCCCTAGCACATTGGGGGAATAGCAGCAACCTGGAGGGAAGGTCGTGTTTCTTAAGTAGAAGCTTGTCCTGGTCTCAAGGTTGTGCTGTCCATTCCCAGCAAGTGGCAGGCATGCACAGGGGAAGAGGGGCACTCAGACACTCAGCCAGGCCCCAGAACACTAGCTACTTCTCTTATCATTGTGCTGGAGCCTTTTGCACATGAGAGAAGTTGCCTGTCCCTTCACAGATACTCCCAAACACCAGGGCACCTCCCTTATGGTTCAGTGTGAACTCTTGACACCAGGGACTCCAGATGGAGGGTGAAAGATGCTGTGAGAGGAAAGGAAGGGCTCCCATGTTAGGATACAGATACCGTATTTCATCCCAAGATTATCTTACATTTCAAATACAACGATCGGAAAAGGAATTTGGGGCAGAGAATGCATGTGACTACAAGTGTGGGTGAAAGAATTGCAAGAATGGGCTGAGTGCCAGCCACAACAAATGAATGGGCAACTGCCTATGGAGCATGAACTGTGGGGTGAGAATCCCCGGCGCCAAGGCCATAAATGGTCCCTGAATGTCTTCTGTTAGTGTATTTTCCAGGTTCCCTTAATACAGAGCAGACAATATTGGGAGAAATAAGCAAGGATTGGTATTCTGTTAACACATAGGTCAGAAGGACAGGGCCAGGGAAAGCCAGATTGGTGTGTGACCGCTTCACTTTGACTGAAAATGGACCCTCTGGTCCCACACCTCCACTGCTGGTGCCCTAGTGTCGCTAAGCAGAAGACCCATTATGTGGTAGAAAAAGGCTGGATGACTCCTGCAAAGTGAATGGTGAAGGTTTCATGTTCCATTTGGAAGCAGCACTGACTAGCATGGAGTAGGTTATGCAGAACACTGAGGCCTTCGTCTTGTCATTGCACGATGAGTTTGGTGGGTGCACTTCCACATTCATGCTGATGTGCCTTCTTAAAATTGAGTCTACTTCCTTTTTTTTCTTGCCTTCTCCAAAACCTATCAAATGATCCAGAACATTTTCATTCTGAGAATCTGATACATACTTCTAAGTTTCTCTTAGGTTGTCTGGAGTGAAAGTGTGGGTTGGCTTGAATAAATGGAGGTTTTATGAAAAGAAGTGAATTCTATTCTTTGCCAATTCTTTTCCTACATTTTTACATCTTAAAGATAGCAAAAATAATGAGTTTTGTGACTAAAAGTATATAGTATACATATGGTATGTATATGTTCTTAAATTAATTTTTAAATTTAGGTCTGTAAAGGAGGCTGGGAGAAAATAGAACAGCTGATACGGATGTCTGCCCAATGCCTGCAAGACCTGAGTCCCACATGCTGATTTTTAATGTTATTGTTTGAGATCTGAAGTCATTTCTTACAAAACCATAATGTAGCCTTCAGAGCAATCTTCCCCAAACAGTTTGACTCAATGAATTAAGGACTTCACAGGGGATTTGGGCCTGGGGAATATCTGTATATAAGAAATGCACAGAAACCAAACACATAGAGATGAGAAATGCTTATACAGCAGGTGTCTAAAATTTTGTAAATTTTAAATTAAATTTTTCCCAATATTTTAAAGTTTGGGGTATTTTCACCTCTTGTCTTGGGAGCATTATCTTCCCCTGCGATTCCTCTAGGATTACTTCTTATTTTCACTCTCCAACTGCTGATACCTCTGTATCACTTGGTTCATCAAACACTGAGATCTCCAAGACCCAAATTGGAGGCAACCGAATTTCAAAGTTGCCAGAATGCAGAAGATGCCCTATAGAGGCCCCAGAGTTTTACTTCAGAGAAGGTAAAGCTATTTTCAAGAGGTCATGGTTTCAGCTGATTCTCTTCGCATCTCATCTTGGTCCTTTGCTTTTGTTCAGTGATAAAGCACGTTGCCAAATACTGCATTTGGCAGCACCAAGATTTGTCAGGAGCTGTGTGCTGGTAAGAGCAACAGACCGAGGGGACAGCAACAGGACCACAGAGAAAAAATTACTGTTTCCTGTCTGGAGGGCTTGCAATGTGCCAGGTGCTGTCCTGGGGACTTCACATATTCAACATGACAACATCCTTTGCAATCCTGTTGAGAGACAGATGATATTATTCCCCTTATGAACATGGATGTGAAGAGTTGGGTAGCTTCCCCAATGTTATACCTCTGGTGTGAGTAGAATATACTTCCTAGGATGGCTGACCTCAAAGCCCCAGCTCTTTCTTCTTTCCTGGATCCTGACTCTGATCAGCTGTGTCATTGGAAGGCTAAGAAGTAGACAGAAGGAGAGTGGGTAGGGGTGGGGGTGGTTCATTCCTGCAGCCTCCATTTCCCTTTTTTAAAAATTAGTCCAGGAGGTCTATTCTAGGTCACTCACTAGGCAGGTGGTAGACTCAGAGAACACTGGGTGGGAAGAGAGTGTGGATAATTTGACATTCCCTGCTTTTTACCACTGAGGAAACAGCACCAGGGTGGAGAGGACACAGGGCTACTCAGGTACCCTGACTCTCAGCTCTCTTTCACACCCCTCTGTGGTCCCTTATCGAGAAAGATAGTTCTAATACTTCGTAGGAGATAATTTAGCTGAAATGAAAATTCCTTCATATAGTTTTGGAATTGTTAATTAAAAAACGCATGCCCAACAACATCTTCACTAAGTACCCAAAATGGCAGATAAATTGCAGCTTCCGCCTTGAATTCCCTTTGGTGGGACGCATTATTAAAATCAGAGAAATTGTGTAATGACTCTGTGGCATAAATTAGACTGAGGGAAAGATGCACCCCAGATGAATGGGCACATTTCCTTCCCTTGTTTATGTCAGCCCTTCTGTTGGGGAGGTGCGTTTGCTTTGACACTGCCTCTTCTTGCTTTTATTCCTCTTGGGAAATCTTGACAAAGCCATGGCCAAAGGCTAGGATGCCCTTCTGCTAAAGACATCAACATACACTTTTAATTTTTCTTAAAAGCTTTAAATAAATCCAATTAGAAAACTGGCAGCAGTTTTCCTAGGAAAGCAATGTAGGGTCATGCTTTGCTTCTCTTTGGTTATGTTATAAATCAAACTGGACTTCACATGCAGAATGTGGAGGGAAGACATCCTTGGACTATGAAGAGCATTGTTTGGTCATTTTTGGTTCTTTGTTAGTGACGCGCAGCATGAAATTCTGAATTAGTGAGGAGAAAATAATCACTACATTCCTGGGATGGTTGAGGCATTGGCTGCCTAAACCCTGGTAGCCGCTTGGAAGTGTCCCAGGGAGGCATCCTCCACTATCTGAAGCTCTTGCCTTCCAAATTTAGGAGATTAATAGGTTTGGATAAATGTTTTGAAATAGGGCTGGTATCCTTAGCTAGCCAAATTCTCGCTGTTTTGCTATCCAACTTTCAGGAACTAAATAGGTTCAGATAATTAGGTATCCTTCTGTATTTTGGAGATACATCCTAGTTTTCTCCTTTCAACTGTATTGGTTTGAATATGGAGGGATATTTGTAGTTTCCTGATTCCAGGTATTTCTTGAAAACAAGGATAGTGTATGTGAGTTTCAATCTGATGCGATGGAGAAGACACAGACTCAGAAGCTGTTTGTTAGAGCTGGGTCCCCAACTGCTATAAATAGATGGGGTGATGCTATCCAAAGTCTTTAAGTAATCTGTCAAAGTCATATGGTTATTAAGAGGCAAAGCTGGATTCAAACCAGCCAGTCTGGCTCCAGTGTCCTTCAGCCACTGCACAATTGATGGTGTGATCTTGGGGAAGTCATTTGTCTTTCGGACCTCACAACCCTTCCGTAAAATGAAGAGGTTAGACTCCAGGGTTTCCAAACTGCTCACTAGTCCTAATACTCTGTAGCGATGGGAACACTGTTACATGGTGCTCTATACCCAGAACAAGCACAAGTAGAGGTGGGAAGGACCCTTGACCTCCTTCCCCCACAGACCAAAGGAAAGCGCTGCCCATGAACATATTGCATAGACTTGTCATGAAAGTTATAACTGCAAAATGAACAGACTTATTGGGGAGAAAAGACCCATACATTTACTCACAATGAAAAATTAATTTGTTAAAAATGTATTTCACATGTAACCTTTTTTTTTTTTTGAGTCTGCTTAAAATGTATTCTTATTCTCCTGCTTTCTCTGTGTGCTCCCACCAAGCCTAAGATCAAGGGCTAACAAGTACTTTTTTTTTTTTTTTTTTTTGAGACGGAGTCTCACTCTTGTTGCCTAGGCTGGAGTGCAGTGGCGTGATCTTGGCTCACTGCAACCTCCACCCCCGGGTTCAAGCGCGATTCTCCTGCCTCAGCCTCCTCAGTAGCTGGGATTACAGGTGCCAGCCACCACATCTGGCTAATTTTTGTATTTTTAGTAGAGATGGGGTTTTGCCATATTGGCCAGGCTGGTCTCGAACTCCTGACCTCAGGTGATCTGCCCACCTCGGGCTCCCAAAGTGCTGGGATAATGGGCGTGTACCACCATGCCCAGCCACAAGTACTTTTTTCTGGGTGGTCCAAAGCTGGTACAGGGTTGCAGAGGTATGTGCATGCCTTCCTGCCATATGGGCATCAGGCATGGGGTAGGATCTACAGTGGCTTCCAGCCCTGCAGCCCTGTTGGTTAGTCATCTGTGTGACCTTGGGCAAATCCCTTGGTCTCATGTCCCTCAAGTTCTCCAATTACAAAATGGCAATTGAGGATAACAAAATGCTCCTCTGGGTTTGTCTGTGAGAAATGAGTTGGTCTGTGAGCAAACTGAAAAGTGCTATAGATGTGGGAGAGGCAGACTGACCCTTACAGTAGAGCAAGGACATTAAAGTGAGACAGTACCCATTGAATCTGACTATACCTATGGACAGCCAGAAAGCCAACATGAGCCCCTTCACCTTTCTGAGCTTACTTATTTCTGTGGTTTACTTATTTTTAAAACTGGAATAATGATACTCGCTTCATAGAGTTGTTGCAATATTTGAAAAGAAATAGGAGGACTGACACGTAGTAGATAACACATAAAAACTATAGTGTGCTCTGAGACATCTTAAGAGAACAGTAATACTGCACAGACCTTCTGTGTAGACGGAGGGGGACTAGTAGGATGGCAGGATCAACCCGCTTCATTAGGGAACCAGGCAGGAATTAGTTTCTGTGCCCCCCCAAACACAATAGCTTCACAGTGATAGTCAAATAATTTTTATTGAGTGCCTTTCTTATGCCAGGTGCTGGCTTTGGATAAGAAAGAGGCTTCCTCTTCTGCTATACCTTGCTTTGAGTGCCAGGCATGATTCTTTGTTTTTCTTTTCCATTCCAATGGTACCTTTAGCCAGATGTCCTCCCCAGAGGCCATTAGCACATATTAAGTGTGTGTGCAAAATACCTGATAATTGAGCTTAAGAGCAGAGAAATGAACACAAACACCACTATCACTGTGTACCTTCACTACTTCATTCTGCACTAATCCCACAAATGAAACAGGCAGCCATTAGTTTAGTGACCTATTCAATAGACTGAAAAAAGAAGAGACGCAGAATATTCTTCAGGGTTCCTGGCTCTCAGGGAGGCTAGGAAATATCTGAAATTGTGCTTTATGTAAGTGCAAAATTATCTTTTTTCTGTGCAGGTAGGCATAGGCGGGTGAAATTATACATTTTTCTGGGGAGAGGGTCTATATCACCTTTCATATCCTTAAAGGGATGAAGATCTAAAAATTGTAGCCCACTAATCTACTGAGTTGTTATTTCTTTTTAGACAGGAGGAGGTTGAAATAATTAGCTTTACCTTAATATGCGGGAGAGAAAATGTCTCTCATTAGCCTTTAACAGCCTGAAAGGGTACAAACTTTCAAGACTGCACCAATGTACATTTTCAATTAATGTTGAGTAAATTTGCATTTTGTAAATGTGATCAAATGTGTATGACTCTATATTAAAAACATTTCTATGCTCTGGTGGAAAGCACAAAGCCAGTGCATGGGGTTAACACTGACAATCCTGAGTCAACTCTCTATTTGTTTTAGAGGTAGCTCTGCAGTGCATAGAAATTAATAAGTAATTTTCTTGGTGACAGCCTGAGGCAACTGAATGAATGCTTATATCAAAGTCATATGCAGCATGGAAAAGAGCAAATGATTTTCAGAGAGGGAGTCTATGGTAGTGGAGGAGGGAGTAGTGCTATGGGGAAGCAACTAATGGGAATTCTCATATTTTAGTCATTAACCTAGAACTGGGATGTCATCATTTTGTCAGAAAGAGGGAATAAAAATCCCAGAGGCCACAGGAGTCTTGAATGCCAAATTGGAATCAAAGTTTGAAATGGGGCTTGTACTCCCCATAGAGGTACCCTGTGTTCTTTTCTTGGGAATAATCCGCACCCTGCCATTAAGCATTCCACATGGATGGCACACTTGCAAATGCTGAGCCTGGCCTTACATGGCTTGTAGGCTTAGGGGAGCCCACCCTGCCTTCCTCTCTTTTGCCAGAGCATCTTCTTCAGTTGGAATTCCAGCCTCCAAAGCTCTGGGAGAGTGAGAAGCAGGGAGGGCGGGGAGGAGAAATTATTTGAAGTTTGGTATCTGTTGATAGCAATCAACTCTTTTCCTCCAACCTCCTCACTCTGTAGTGTGAGATAGAGACTGTAAGTCAAATAGACCTAGATACAAATGCAAATTTCTCATCCATAAAGTGGGGCTAGTAATGACTACCTCACAGGGTGACTAAAAAGCATACTACTTATGCAAACCCCAGATTGCACAAGAGGTACACAACAGAAGTTAGGATCTAAGTATTGTCATCCTTGTGTGGGCAAGAAGCAGTCTATCCACACACAAATCTTTTCTTGGGCTTTGGAGTTCCATTCTTGATGGCTCTCTTATGCCCCTAGCAGCCTTTATAGAAATTCCCGGGAACCTACCTTTACCTAGTTTGGGGATTATTGACACACTGAGGACATTGTTTTCTGCCTAATTATACATATTGGAGCTTTTTTGAAGTAAACATTTACCTTTTGGAGTTTTAAATCCTGGCAAGCCAGATTTCCATCCTAATGACCATTAGCCAAGAAACTTTAATGGACTCTCAGCTGTAGGAATTCTGATCAGTCCCAAGACCAAAAGAGAGCTTGGAGATCCCAGTGGTACCTTGTCAAGGGAATCACTAAGTAAGTAGCAATGGTCTATGGATGGGAATGTCATGGTGCTGTAAACTTTCTGTAAAGCACATAGGGCAGTAGGAAGTGGATGACTGCAGCAGCCTGCCTGTGCTTTTCCTTCACATCCTGTCCCTTTGCAGCCCATTTTCTCCATAGCAGCCAATGTGAGCACAAAAGGCAAAAGAGCATCAGGGACTGTTAGAGGGTGAACTGTAGAGTCAGTTGGAATCCAAGTTCTAAATCTTACTAGCTGTGAGAACTTGTGTGTATGTTATTTAACTTCCTTCTGCCTCCATCATTCCATGTAGGATAATAATAGTACCTGCCTCATAGGGTTGTTTTGTGGATTAAGTGAGGGAACCTATGTAAGCCCCAGAATGGTACTTGATTCACAGAAAAGCTTGCTGATATTAGCAATTTTTATTATTTTGCCAGTCATTTGTTTAAGCTACTTCACTGACTGAACACCAAAAGTTTTAGTATGGCTGTTAAGTCCCTGCAAGACCTGCCCTCTGCCTGCCTCTCCAACTTCATCCTGAGCTCCTTGCCTGTGGTCTTATTGTATTTGTTTTCTTTTTGTCCTTGAAAAGTGCTACCTTTGGAGCTCTTTTCTCCCTGTGCATTTTCTTCCCAACTCACCTTCCCAGTTGCTCGGGTAACATATGCCACTTCTCAGCTTGGACTCCAGCAGGGAGCCAGGGCTCCCTGTCATGAGCTCACAAAGTAGCCTCTTCTTTCTCTGCATGGCATTTATCACCACTTGTAATTATACACTGTGTCTTTATCTGATTAGAACCTGTCTCTTCCAGAAATCTGTGAGCTCTGCAGGGGCAGGGGCAGCATTCATTTGCTTGCCCTTGTTTCCTGGTGCCTGGCCTAGGATTCAGTACTATCTGTAAGCTAGATAGTATTTGAGGAGTGAGTGGTTGAGCATTCACTTTCTGAAGCACTAACAATCACATACATTCTACTTACGTTCTGTATCATTTTTTAGAACTGTTTCCATGTCATTAATTAAAACAATTATAGTCCAGCCCCAAATCCATATAGTGATTTATGCTGCTTTTAATTAGGGACCAACACTGAGACAGCTTGGCTGAAGCCTAGAATAACCCCCTCGGCCTTGTGAAGTGTTTTCCCTGAAGAATCAGAGGGCATTGTTCATCTCTACCTTTTCTAGTTGATACTTTTGTTTGAAGTAAGTGGGAAATAATGATATCCAGGGGCATGGTCTCAAAATACAGATATGTAGGTAAAAAGCCCAAAATGTGCACAACTCAGGAAATCTAGAAACATTTGGATTTTCACTTTAAGATTCTGCTTTCCTTCACAATTGTGTATGAAGTGAACATATTGTTAATATCCAAATCACAGCATTATGTCAAATGTCCCACCCATCCCTGTTGTTCTGATCACATCAGTGGGCATGCTAGATCTATCTTTACAGGGGGCCCAACATCAGATAGAATGCAAGGCATCTGTTACTCATCAGCATATTTCCAGTATTTAGCATGTTGTCACTAATTTCTGTCCTACATTTTAGATTATATTTATTTAGGATGAGGACACATTTACTCTAACTCTTGTATATTGTATATACTAAATGCTAGATGTAAAAATGCTTTTTCAATTAAAACACATGCTATTAAGTATAAAAGAAATACATAAAAAAATTAAAACATAATTCCTGTACCCTGAGATAATTAAAGTCTGCATTTGGAGTATAATTTATAATTTTTGTCTTTTCTCTTGTGTTATATGTACAACTGCATTTATGCACCAAGTTGGAATTATATAGTACATATTTTCTTTGAAAATAAATACATCAAGGACACTTTTAAACCTTCTTAATTATTGTTTTCAAACTTGTAAAAAAACTTTTGAGCCCGGAAACTTTCAAACATGCATAAAAACACAGAACATGGTAACAACCCTTTATGTACCTATTACCCAGACCCAACACCTACCACAGAGCAATTTTGAAGCAACTTTCAGCTATCACATTACTTCCTCCATAAATATGTAGCCTGGATTGATAAAAGATAAGGACCTCTTTTTTCCCCTAATCAATTGGTAATTTTGAAATTAAATTGTAACATAATCAAGAGGCTGTATGACAAGAGTGATAAAATTGTTAATGGAGATTAAGCACAAACTAGATGGAATTTGTAAAATCTCGTATTTAAAAAAATAATCTGGATGATGTTATGTAGTTTTTTGTTTGTTTCTTTCTTTCTTTTTTCTTATGCATTCGTCTTTTTTTTTTTCATTCAACTTTTATTTTAAGTTCTGGTAGTGCAGGTTTGTTACATAGGTAAACACGTGCCATGGTGGTTTGCTGCACAGATCAACTCATCACCCAGGTATTAAGCACAGCATCCATTGGCTTTTCTTCCTGATGCTCTCCCTACCCCGACCCCACTGACTGGCCTCAATGTGTGTTGTTCCCCCCATGTGTTCATGAGTTCTCATCATTCAGCTCCCACTTGTAATTGAGAACATGTGGTGTTTGGTTTTTTGTTCATGTGTTAGTTTGCTGAGGATAGTGGCTTCCAAATCTATCCATGTGCCTCCAAAAAACATGATCTTGCTCCTTTATATGGCTGCATAGTATTCCATGGTGTATATGAACCACATTTTATTTATCCAGTCTATCATTGATGGGCATTTGGGTTGATTCCATGTCTTTGGAATTGTGAATAGTGCTGCAATGAACATACACGTGCAAGTATCTCTATAACAGAATGATTTATATTCCTTTGGGTATATACCCAGTAATGGGATTGCTGGGTCAAATGGTATTTCTGCCTCTAGGTCTTTGAGGAATCACCACACTGTCCTCCACAATGGTTGAACTAATTTACACTCCCACCAACAGTGTAAAAGCATTCCTTTTTCACTGCAACCTTGCCAGCATCTGTTGCTTCCTGACTTTTTAATAATCACCATTCTGACTGGCATGAGATGGTATCTCATTTCTGATTTTGATTTGCATTTCTCTAATGATCAGTGATGTTGAGCTTTTTTTTATATGTTTCTTGGCCACATGAGTGTCTTTTTTTGATAAGTGTCTGTTCATGTCTTTTCATACTTTTAATGGGGTGGTTTTTTTCTTGTAAATTTGTTTAAGTTCCTTGTAGACTCTGGATATTAGACTCTTGTCAGATGGACAGATTGTAAAAATGTTCTTCCATTCTGTAGGTTGTCTGTTCACTCTGATGATATTTTCTTTCGGTGTGCAGACGCTGTTTAGTTTAACTAGACCCCATTTATCAATTTTTGCTTTTGTTGCAATTGCTTTTGGCGTTTTTGTCATGAAATTTTTGAGATAAGGCTTCTTTTATTAAATACATACCCACAATGTCATTATCGCTCCTAAAAAAGTAATTCCTCACTATCATGAAATATTTAGTCATGGTTAAATTTTACAAAATTGACTTATCTTAGTTTCTTGTATTAGAAAATGTTTTCTAGATACTAAGGGTGTTCTTTGCTACTAAGATTTTTCATTGTTCCTAGTCTTCTCATTAGATAGAGCAAAGGACAATGTATTAGGTCAAACTATAAGAAATTGTCTTGTTATTAGTTAAAGTGATCTGATATTGGCAATTTCACTTGGTTTAACCTATTTTTAGGACAAAACATATTATGAGTTGCAACTGACACATCCCAGTGAGTTTACTTGACTTCATTGGTCTTGGCAGTCTGACACCACTTACCCCAGATATCTGGTAAGGTTAGTTTCTACTCATTGCCTTTCTTCTCTTAAGGGATGTCTTGGTTTGGAACCTCGTTCATTCATCCAGTGGTTGCATAATAGTCCATCACTTACCTGTACCATAATTTATTTAATCCATTTCTTTTACCTGGATATCTTTATGCCCATATTTCTCTATTGTAAATGTGGTAGTGGTGAACACACTCACATTTGAATCTCTGTTTTAAATCTGATTATTACTTTAAAATAAATTTTAAAATGTGAAATTTCTGGGTCCAGGGGGTAGAACCCCTTTGAAGGCTTTTAGCGTTACTTTTAATGGTAAAAAAAACAGCAATCACTTTAGTAGCAGTGTAATACATTTTGCCAAATTTCTTTCCCCCCTTACTCCCATTGCTGTCCCACTGTTAGCTTTTCCATTTAATTCTCTATTCCTAGCTAATTGGATATTTCTAGTTTGTACTTTTTACATTTGCATATTAATACTTGTGCTATTTATACTAACAATATTTAAAAGCATGAACTATTTGTAAATAAATTAGAGTTTATTTTCTTCCATAACCATGCATGACATTCCTACAACTGATTCAGATTAAGGGCCTGTCTTAAAAATACTATTGATTTTCTTCTCCACAACAATGCTCTGATGTCTCTCCACTGCCACCAAGTAATTTGTGGGGCTGAAAACAACTCGAAGGCTAGGATTCTAGGCTCTGGAGAATGTCTTGTTTTGTGTGTATAGATTTATGTATGTATCTATTTATGTGTGTTTGTGCATGCATATGTGTATAAATAGACATAGATATATTACAAAGTATTTAACTTATTAAATAAGTATAAACAAATGAATTAAACAATACCAACTAGATTAAAAGATGACAGTAACAACTTCTAAGTATCAAGTATGTTGAGCTATTTCTAAGTTATTTTGAGTTAAATAAATCTGAACTTTCCTTATTTTAAGACGTTTTAAGAAATCAAGGCTCTCATATTAATTACAATTCTGTACAGTAAAATTCATTGTCCATCTTCTATAAGCCAAGCATTTTACTAGGTGAGTTTACATAGTTTATGACATTGTTTACTAAGTTGCTAAAGCTATAGTGTTTTGAATTCACCCAGTCTGATTCTCCCATGTTTTACACATCAGCCATTTTCAGTAGCTGTACCTTTCTTTTCTCATCTTTTTTGGTGTCTTTCAATGACCCCCTACATATGGCTGAGGCAATTCTCACCCTGAAACAGATGGCACTGCGCTATCCGTGTGCTCTCTAGCTCCTCTTTGCCATTTATCATAGAAACACATCACTAAAGTTTTAGTCAACACTCCTGGGGTGCTAATGTGCAAAGAAAGGAATAGTCTGAATCTGTTCAGGCCAGACAATGCATTGCATAGGTTAGATATAGTCAAATTACTTAACAGAACAGTTACAAGGTGTGTTTATGGAGAGGAGCAGATTCCTCACCCCTGGCAAGCATTCTCATATGCCCTTTCTTTGCTTGGGAGGTGGAGAGAAGAAGGTCAGTGACTAATGTCCCACAGGTGCACATGTTAGTATTCCTCACCAGGTAACTTAATCCTACCTCATCTGAATTCTGCCCGGGGTCTGAATATTTTATTCAGTGCTGATGGCTTTTCCCATTGGTGAAAGGAAAGTCAAGTCTCCAAGCAATTTGAGGAGATTAAAGAAAATATAACACTTCTTTAGAAATGTGCCTTTACTTCTTATTTAGTTTGAACACAGTGGAAAGAGAAAAAGAATAAAGTCTTGGCTTGGAGGCTGTTGATAATGCAGCACGAGTGACAGCCCTATTGAAGGGGAGAGGGTATTTTTCATGATTACAAGGTGGAGTGTGTGGATCTGGCTGTTAGGAGGGCCTTGTGGTAAATCTGTCATTTCTGGCATGATGGGAGGATGAGGAAAGAAAATGGGTCTTTGACATCCAACTCATGCTGCCGATGGCAGTGATAAATGAAGGAAATAAGTGCTCTCCAAATCAGACGGCCCGAGTGGAGAAAAGGCACAGTAATAAAGATTGGAGATATCTTTCACCGGAGCTTCTGTGAGCTCTCCCTGCAGTATATTACCTCTTCCATTCATCACGTTAAATCCGGAGAGCAGTGGGAACACATAACTGTTCATTTTTATCATCTTGAGATATACAGGCTGTGATCTTGACTTTAATTAACTGACTCGAAGTAAGTTTATTTAGAGTTGCTTCTCAAGGCCAAATAAAGGAAGGTCACTTGGCCACGTACAGCCAGCTCATGGCTGAGATGGCCAACTGCTCTGCACCAGTGACCATTTGGTGCATGTGCGAAGGTTTTTATTTTATAGATAACAGAGGGGTCAGCAGAAAAGGCTTCTGGGCAGACCCTTGTCTCTCCATATCCAGGAAGTTGGGAGTAAGAGAACTCAGGTTCACCTTACCAAAGACCTTCACTGAGGACAGTCCCAGAGGAAGTGCAGATTCTTCCCTTTATAAATTATGGAGAGGGGTAGGTGGTGGAGGAGGAGAGATGCAGAGCTGGGCCTCTCCATGCCCCCACCTGTCATTTTGGACTTATCTCCTTCCAGCCTTTGTATTCTGTACAAACTCCTTGTAGCTTTGAAAGCCTCCATCTCTCTGGCTTCCATGCTTTGCACATGTTGCTCTTTCTGCCTGAAAGGTGTTGGTCTCCTTTCCGGGCCTCACCGACTCCTATGAAGCTTTAGAGGCATATCTGTGTCATTGTGGACCATGAGTGTCGTTGCTTCTCTCAACCCATCAGGCAAGAACCTGCACAGAGGAAGGAAATTGTCTGTCTGGGTCTCTGCTGTGTCTGCAGCAGCCCCTGCGATAGCTTATACAGACTGGGTGAGACAAACCTGTGTGAGGAGGGAAGAGGGGGCTGAGCTGTTATCAGCCATGATACCTCTCTTCTGCTCCATCTACATGCCAGCCCTAGTCTTCGTTTGTTTATTTTCATACATAATGGCTGTATAATATATATCTCAGCTTTCTTGACATAGAATTTATCTGCCATACAATTCACCTATTTAAAGAGCATGAGTCAATGGGTTTTAGTATATTCACAGAGCTGTGTAACCATCACCAAAATTTTAGAACATTTTCATCAATGAAACTCCAAACACATTAGCAGTTAATACACATTTAGGTTCATTTGGTTCAGTATTCAGTTTGAAACCAGTAAGAAATCCCTGTACCCATCAGCAACTTTCCTTTTTCTCCACCAGGCCCCAGCAGCCACTAATCTACTTTATGTTTCTGCTGCACAGTTATCCATATTGAGTATTGCGCATAAATGGAATTAGAAAAAATGTGGGCTTTTGTGTCTGACTTTTTTCACTCAGTACCGTGTTGTCAAGGTTTACCATATTGTGGTGTCTATTAGTACTTTATCCCTTTTTATTTCCAAGTAGTATTTCATTGTATGGATGTACCCCATTTTATTTTTCCATTCATCAGTTGATGGGCCCTAGCCCAGATGCTTAATGACAGCTGTAGTTTCTTTTATTATTATTATTATTATACTTTAAGTTCTAGGGTACATGTGCACAATGTGCAGGTTTGTTACATATGTGTACGTGCGCCATGTTGGTGTGCTGCACCCATTAACTCATCATTTACATTAGGTATATCTCCTAATGCTATCCCTCCCTCCTCCCGCTACACCATGACAGGCCCCGGTGTGTGATGTTCCCCACCCTGTGTCCAAGTGTTCTCATTGTTCAATTCCCACCTATGAGTGAGAACATGTGGTGTTTGGTTTTCTGTCCTTGTGATAGTTTGCTGAGAATGATGGTTTGCAGCTTCATCCATGTCCCTATAAAAGACATGAACTCATCCTTTTTTATGGCTGCATAGTATTCCATAGTGTATATGTGCCACATTTTCTTAATCCAGTCTATCACTGATGGACATTTGGGTTGGTTCCACGTCTTTGCTATTGTGAATAGTGCCACAATAAACATACGAGTGCATGTGTCTTTATAGCAGCATGATTTATAATCCTTTGGGTATATAGCCAGTAATGGGATGGCTGGGTCAAATGGTATGTCTAGTTCTAGATCCCTGAGGAATCGCCACACTGTCTTCCACAATGGTTGAACTAGTTTACAGTCCCACCAACAGTGTAAAAGTGTTCCTGTTTCTCCACATCCTCTCCAGCACCTGTTGTTTCCTGACTTTTTAATGATCGCCATTCTAACTGGTGTGAGATGGTATCTCATTGTGGTTTTGATTTGCATTTCTCTGATGGCCAGTGATGATGAGCATTTTTTCATGTGTCTGTTGGCTGCATAAATGTCTTCTTTTGAGAAGTGTCTGTTCATATCCTTTGCCCACATGTTGATGGGGTTGTTTATTTTTTTCTTGTAAATTTGTTTGAGTTCTTTGTAGATTCTGGATATTAGCCCTTTGCCAGATGGGTAGATTGTAAAAAGTTTCTCCCATTCTGTAGGTTGCCTGTTCATTCTGATGGTAGTTTCTTTTGCTAGGCAGAAGCTCTTTAGTTTAATTAGATCCCATTTGCCAATTTTGGCTTCTGTTGCCATTGCTTTTGGTGTTTTAGACATTAAGATCTTGCCCATGCCTATGTCCTGAATGGTATTGCCTAGGTTTTCTTCTAGGGTTTTTATGGTTTTAGGTCTAACATTTAAGTCTTTAATCCATCTTGAATTAATTTTTATATAAGGTGTAAGGAAGGGATCCAGTTTCAGCTTTCTACATATGGCTAGCCAGTTTTCCTAGCACCATTTATTAAATAGGGAATCCTTTCCCCATTTCTTGTTTTTGTCAGGTTTGTCAAAGATCAGATGTTTGTAGATGTGTGGTATTATTTCTGAGGGCTCTGTTCTGTTCCATTGGTCTATATCTCTGTTTTGGTACCAGTACCATGCTGTTTTGGTTACTATAGCCTTGTAGTGTAGTTTGAAGTCAGGTAGCGTGATGCCTCCAGCTTTATTCTTTTGGGTTAGGATTGTCATGGCAATGCAGGACCTTTTTTGGTTCCATATGAACTTTACTTAAAGTAGTTTTTTCCAATTCTGTGAAGAAAGTCATTGGTAGCTTGATGGGGATGGCATTGAATCTATAAATTACCTTGGGCAGTATGGCCATTTTCACGATATTGATTCTTCCTATCCATGAGCATGGAATGTTCTTCCATTTGTTTGTGTCCTCTTTTATTTCATTGAGCAGTGGTTTGTAGTTCTCCTTGAAGTGGTCCTTCACGTCCCTTGTAAGTTGGATTCCTAGGTATTTTATTCTCTTTGAAGCAATTGTGAATGGGAGTTCACTCATGATTTGGCTCTCTGTTTGTCTGTTATTGATGTATAAGAATGCTTGTGATTTTTGCACATTGATTTTGTATCCTGAGACTTTGCTGAAGTTGCTTATCAGCTTAAGGAGATTTTGGGCTGAGACGATGGCGTTTTCTAGATATACAATCATGTCATCTGCAAACAGGGACAATTTGACTTCCTCTTTTCCTAATTGAATACCCTTTATTTCTTTCTCCTGCCTGATTGCCCTGGCCAGAACTTCCAACACTATGTTGAATAGGAGTGGTGAGAGAGGGCATCCCTGTCTTGTGGCAGTTTTCAAAGGGAATTCTTCCAGTTTTTGCCCATTCAGTATGATATTGGCTGTGGGTTTGTCATAAATAGCTCTTATTATTTTGAGATACATCCCATCAATACCTAACTTATTGAGAGTTTTTAGCATGAATTGCTGTTGAATTTTGTCGAAGGCCTTTTCTGCATCTATTGAGATAATCATGTGGTTTTTGTCTTTGGTTCTGTTTATATGCTGGATTAAGTTTATTGATTTGCATATGTTGAACCAGCCTTGCATCCCAGGGAT
Organism: Homo sapiens; assembly: GCF_000001405.40. NCBI lineage: Eukaryota > Metazoa > Chordata > Mammalia > Primates > Hominidae > Homo > Homo sapiens. The sequence continues at coordinate 140,044,875 of NC_000003.12, forward strand.
GAAGCCCACTTGATCATGGTGGATAAGCTTTTTGATGTGCTGCTGGATTCGGTTTGCCAATATTTTATTGAGGATTTTTGCATCGATGTTCATCAGGGATATTGGTCTAAAATTATCTTTTTTGGTTGTGTCTCTGCCAGGCTTCGGTATCAGGATGATGCTGGCCTCATAAAATGAGTTAGAGAGGATTCTCTCTTTTTCTATTGATTGGAATAGTTTCAGAAGGAATGGTACCAGCTCCTCCTTGTACCTCTGGTAGAATTCGGCTGTGAATCCGTCTGGTCCTGGACTTTTTTTGGTTGGTAGGCTATTAGTTATTGCCTCAGTTTCAGAGCCTGTTATTGGTCTATTGAGGGATTCAAGTTCTTCCTGGTTTAGTCTTGGGAGGGTGTATGTGTCCAGGAATTTATCCATTCCTTCTAGATTTTCTAGTTTATTTGCATGGAGGTACCATTCTCTGATGGTAATCTGTATTTCTGTGGGATCGGTGGTGATATCCCCTTTATCATTTTTTGTTGCGTCTATTTGATTCTTCTCTCTTTTCTTTTTTATTAGTCTTGCTAGCAGTCTATCAATTTTGTTGATCTTTTCAAAAAAACCAGCTCCTGGATTCATTGATTTTTTGAAGGGTTTTTTGTGTCTCTATCTCCTTCAGTTCTGCTAGTTATTTCTTGTCTTCTGCTAGCTTTTGAATGCGTTTGCTCTTGCTTCTCTAGTTCTTTTGATTGCGATGTTAGGGTGTCAATTTTAGATCTTTCCTGCTTTCTCTTGTGGGCATTTAATGCTATAAATTTCCCTCTACACACTGCTTTAAATGTGTCCCAGAGATTCTGGTATGTTGTGTCTTTGTTCTCATTGGTTTCAAAGAACATCTTTATTTCTGCCTTCATTTCGTTATGTACCCAGTAGTCATTCAAGAGCAGGTTGTTCAGTTTCCATGCAGTGGAGCGGTTTTGAGTGAGTTTCTTAATCCTGAGTTCTAGTTTGATTGCACTGTGGTCTGAGAGACAGTTTGTTATAATTTCTGTTCTTTTACATTTGCTGATGAGTGCTTTACTTCCAACTACGTGGTCAGTTTTGGAATAAGTGCGATGTGGTGCTGAGAAGAATGTATATTCTGTTGATTAGGGTGGAGAGTTCTGTAAATGTCTATTAGGTCCGCTTGGTGCAGAGCTGCGTTCAATTCCTGTATATCCTTGTTAACTTTCTGTCTTGTTGATCTAATATTGATAGTGGGGTGTTAAAGTCTCCCATTATTATTGTGTGGGAGTCTAAGTCTCTTTGTAGGTCTCTAAGGACTTGCTTTATGAATCTGGGTGCTCCTGTATTGGGGGCATATATATTTAGGATAGTTACCTCTTCTTGTTGACTTGATCCCTTTACCATTATGTAATGGCCTTCTTTGTCTCTTTTGATCTTTGTTGGTTTAAAGTCTGTTTTATCAGAGACTAGGATTGCAACCCCTGCCTTTTTTTGTTTTCCATTTGCTTGGTGGATCTTCCTCCATCCCTTTATTTTGAGCCTGTGTGTGTCTCTGCACGTGAGATGGGTCTCCTGAATACAGTACACTGATAGGTCTTGACTCTTTATCCAATTTGCCAGTCTGTGTCTTTTAATTGGAGCATTTAGCCCATTTACATTTAAGGTTAATATTGTCATGTGTGAATTTGATCCTGTCATTATGTTGTTAGCTGGTTATTTTGCTCGTTAGTTGATGCAGTTCCTTCCTAGCATCGATGGTCTTTACAATTTGGCATGTTTTTGCAGTGGCTGGTACCGGTTGTTCCTTTCCATGTTTAGGGCTTCCTTCAGGAGCTCTTGTAGGGCAGGCCTGGTAGTGACAAAATCTCTCAGCATTTGCTTGTCTGTAAAGGATTTTATTTCTCCTTCACTTATGAAGCTTAGTTTGGACAGCTTTGGTTTCATCTTCTCTAGGAGGCATCCCTGGCTTACCTCTGTCAAAGAATTGTGGAAATTGTCTTTCTTTGTTCCACATTTGAGTGAAGTGCCTGACATTTCTGCATCCCTGCCACTTTGTAGCATCCTGGATTGGTGTTGCCTGCTTCCAACTGTCCCTCTAGGGGATTTTTGAACATTTGCCTACCACGTATATTATCATTGATATTGAGAGATTAATAAAATGAAGAAAAAGTCAAGAATATTTAGTAAATATCCATGTTGCTTCCACCAAGATTGCTAGCATTGTGTCACATATTCTTCAAGTTACTTCCTCTTCCTTTAAAAATAAAAAAGAAATTAAAACCTTTAGTAAACTTATGTGCCCTACAAAGGGGCCACACATCAATCTGAGCTATATTCCTTTCTCTTCTCTTTCTGCTTCACTTCCCATGGGAAACACCACCTTGTAGTCAATTTTGTGTATCTTTACAGAGTAAATACATATAGTAATAAGAAATCCTAATAGTAATATAGTGAGTACATTTTAGTTTCCCACAAATGATATACAACATATATATGGCCTTACAACTTTCTTTTTCATTCATCCATGTGTCTTAACTATCTGTGTTGGTATATAAAGTTTATTATTTCTAACTGCCATATAATATTCTATCTGTGCTTTTTATTTATATAATATTTTATTTTAACTTCTAATGTAAATTAATTTAGGAAGGAAACTCTATGTGTCTTAGTTCATTTTCTGTTGCTTGTAATAGAATTCCTGAAACTGGTTAATTTATAAAGAAGGGAATTTATTTCTTACAGTTATAGAAGCTGAGAAGCCCAAGGTTGAGGGGTCACATCTGGTAAGGATCTTCTCACTGGTGGGGACTCTCTGTGGAGTCCGCAGGTAGTGCAGGGCATCCCGTGGTGACGAGGCTGAGCATGCTAGCTCAGGTCTCTCTTCCTCTTCTTGTAAAGCCACCACTCCTGTTCCCACCATAACCCATTAGTTCGTTAACACATTAATCCATTACTCTATGAATTGGGCTCTGCCCTTATGACCCAATCACCTTTTAAAGGCCTCACCTCTCAATGCTGCCACAATAGAGATTAAGTTTCAACATGAGTTTTGAAGTGGCCAAGTAGTCAAACCATAGCAATACGTTAACGCTATAAATGGGAAATGATCATTACTTGCCTTAAATAATGACACAAGGAAATAAATGCATGGCTATTAAAGTTAAAATATGAAATATTAAAAAATGACCAGAAGAATATTGTTCCCATATGACTGAGGGGAGAAAGGAGGAGGAAGGAATATGGCTGAAAATTGTGATCAAAATGGGCATAAATTTATCTAAAATGTTGTCATTATTTAAATGGAAGCTGATATTTCTTGCCTTAAATATTGATATGAGAAAAACTTTTTAAATGCACGGCTATTAAAATTAAAACAATCTCTAGTGTAAACCCTACTGTCAAATTATATACCACAGTTGTGCATGGACCATATCTTGGGAAATACAGCCTAGGTCATAGTTGAATGAGTGGATGAATAAAGATCTCCAGTGAGATTTCTGGCACTAACCAACAACTGGTGGTGGGCTGTACTGAGATTCAGATTTCCTTAAGTCCTGCCTACATACTGAATGACTCTCAGAGTTGACCACCTTCTTGCTAACAGCAATGGTAGCTGACCCAAAGTAGTGCTTGCTCCTCGGGGGCCAGGCATTGTCCACATTCTTTATACACATTAATTTAGACCTCACAACAGCCCTATTGGGTAGATATTCTTACTATCATCACCATTTTACAAATAAAGAAACTGAGGCAAAGAGAGATTAGATAGATTGCCTAGGGTCATATAGCTAGAGAGTAGAAGAGCTGGGTGTGACCTGGGGCAGGTAATGTCGGCTTCCTTACTGGGGGGAGTGGGGGGCAGTGGGCCTGTGTTAAAAGCCTCAGGGCAAGCTGGAGAACGACCCTGTAAATTCCAGGTGCACTTGTACTGAGGCCACAGCCCTCCAGCTGCCACAGTTGATCCCACCAGGCCCACCACACCCAGAGGGAAAGACCAAACTCAAATCCTGCCCATGCCTCCAGCTCTCCCAGACTCTCACTTCCTGTTCTCCAGTCCCTGCTGCTTCACTACCTCCATTCCCTCCCGATTTGACCAGCGGCACTGCTCTAGGTGGCCCCAATGAGCACCTGTTTGTGCTGGTCTTTGCACACCCCCTCCCCCCATCTCTTGGAGGAGGCCCATGCAGGCAGCACTGGCTGGAACTTGAGTTTGAGCCAGAGAAACAATTGAAGGGACTGGGCAAGCATGGGGAGTTAATTCTATCTAAGGCACAGACGGCATCTCCATTGAGGATACACTGACCAGCATCCCTGAAGAGGGCCAGCTCTGGAGTGGAATAAATCACCTTCACGTCTTTCCCCTTTGGGTGGCCTCTGACTGACTTCTTCGTCTTCCTGAAAGCTGTTGCCAAGGAAATCCTGAAATTTAACAGTAAAATCAAGAAAACCATCTTTTAAGGAGAGTTTTTCTAACCCCAGTTGCAGAAAAATCAAAGTGTGATAAACAGTATTAGTCTCCCTTCTTAAATCACCAATTATAATCTTTAGATTAGAAATATTATTTCCGGAATGAGGGAACAGAACCAGCCATTTATTAAATGCTTATTAGGGACTACACATTTTACCCAGGCCATCTTTATTTTCTCTTCTCAGCCTCCCTGAGGGGGGACTATTACCTCCAGTACTGGGGCTGACACACATGAGCAATGAGGCCAGGTGGGGTTGTCCATAGACACCTTCTGCATAGAGAGTGCCTAAGCTGGGCCATGATCTGTCTGGCTCAAAAGTTTCCTTTTGACCACGTTGCTTCAAGAGACACACATCAGGATCCCAGTGGCTGAACATGAACTTAACAGGGTCATGGGAAGGAGAGGCGAGCTCTGCCCCAGCACAAGGCCTCAAGACAGTGGTGATCCCAGTGACCCCTCAAAAGGTGATCACAGTGTGGAGCCCTTAGCTAGCATATCTCCTTTTATTTTAATCAAAAGCATGGAAGCTTGTTTTATCCTGTCTTGTCCCTCCAGATCTCTTCTCTACTTTCTCTATTCTGTTTTGGGCCCCAGGATCCTGACCTCTACCGACTTGCTTCATCTGAGTTCACCTTCTCTCTTGCTTCTGGCTGGGTTTAACCAAAGGAAGGTACCTGGATTAGCTACCAGGGTCTTGATTTCTTCATTGATAAAATCTGTGTAACAGCAGTCCCTATCTCAGAGTATCAAGGATTACATGAGTTAATCTGTAGAAACTGCTTACACAGTGCCTGGCACACAGTATATTCTCAGCTTGTTATTGCTATTATTTTTTCAACCATACATTAGATAATCTTGAGCAAATCCACAAAGCTTTTTGAGTCTCTGTTTCTCACCTGGGAACAGGGGTCAACGCCATCTCTCCAAGCCTGCTGTGTGAGTTGAACAGGAAACAAAAGCTTGCTCAGAGCAGGTGATGAGAGACCATTGGAGAAAGGATGTTTACTATGTTGAGCCATATGAAATCACTACTATTTGACCTACACACACGGCAATTTCACATAGTTCAGAGATGTAGCAATGTTAAGGGATACCAGAAAGGGATAGTGAAATATTCAGGGCTAGCATCATGGAAGCCATGACCATCCCCAGGCTGAAGGAGAAGTGGAAAGAGAATTACCAGGAGCAGTTAGTGGGCCAGCCGAAGAGCTGCAGCTGTAGGAGTGAGGCCAGCCCATAGGAATTGTGACCCTCTGTTGAAGAACAGGAGACCAAACTGGGACCCAGCAGAGAGGAAGTCAGAGGAACAAATACTCTAACCTTTTGTTCCTCCTGCCCTTCAGTTTTTTGCTGTTTTGTCAAACCCAGCCAGACAAGGAGAGGGAGCTTGGATGAAGCAGTCCATAGAGGTCAGCCTCCCAGGGCACAGAAGAGAGAAGGGTAGTGGAGGATGGATATGAAGGGCAAGATGGGAAAATAGCAAGTTCACATGCTTTTGGTTTAGACAAAAGAAGATATTCTACAGGGTGCAATGCTGGGTCTGGTGCTGAGTGGGTGCCTCCTTGCTATTTTTATTGTTACTGTTGGGGTTTTGAAGGCTAAACAGGGGTAAACAAGGATGGAAGGTTTCAATACAAAGAAAGAAACACAGCTTTTGAACAACAAAAGAACACACAAAGGGCACATTTGGGGGCTGTCCTGGATTGAACACAGCGTCTAACATTCCCTGGCTGGGCCCGGGGGCTGGCCTGCCCACTCCCTCTCCCCTGCCCATCCTTGGGGCCTCCCTCAGCTCCAAGGGAACAGGAAACAGGGCTTCCAATGCCCATTCACAGCTCAGGCTTCGCTGATCGTGTGAACAGCTTCAAGGTCTTTGGTAGAACTGGGGTTTAAACAGCAAATTGCATCAGAGAGAGGCTGTCTGGAGAAGCCATCAATCTTGTGGGATGTGTAATTTGCACAAGTTTGCAGACCTTCAGGACTGTTTCTGATAAATGAGAAACAATCACACTTGGGTAAAATATTACAGACTTTTATGGAGCCCATTAAAATCATTGCTGAAACCCTTCCTGCCTTCAGTCCATTCCCGTTCCATCCTCAGCATGGTCGCTGCACATCTTCCTAAACATCTCTCTCCTTATTCTTACCCCGCCTGCACCCTTTTTGGGCTCTGCTGAACAGGCAAAAGGATAGGGAGGAGCAATAGTGCCGTCTGCTGGCTGCAAGGGGCCAGGAGGAGGGATTATTCACACGCGTGTTTCTCCATCTGTTGTCTCATTCTACTCCCTGTGAGGACTGTGTTGTTACTTCCAGAGAACAGTGGTTCTCAACCGGGCTACATCTGGAATCACCTGGGAAGCCTCAAAACACTATTGAGGCTGGGTTCCACATCATTCATATCAGAGATGGTGGTGTCATTGGTCTGGAATGTGGCTTGGATTCTGGGATTGTTGTAAAATCCCTCCAGGTGATTTCAATATGCAGCCACAAAGCACTACACCTTAGAGCAGGGACATGGAAACCACCTGGAGGGGCTGGCAAAACAGATCACGTGGCCCCCACCCCACAGTTGCTGATGCAGGTGATCTGGGGCAGAGCCTGAGAATCTTGCATTTTAAGAAGTTTGCAGGGCAGGCTGAGCTGCTGGTCTGGGAACCCCACTTTGAGAAGCATGGCCTTAGTGAAAGCGAAGACTCAGATAGTTTAAGTGACTTGTTTGAGATCAATTGGTCCAGAGTGGATGTAGAATTGAAATCTGTTTATCTTTCTCCAGGCCTGGCTGGCTGAGTCTGTGCAGTGGGCTCTTCTTTTTCTCAAAATATTTCTGTTATTATTTATTTATTTATATTTTGAGACAGAGTCTCGCTCTGTCGCCCAGGCTGGAGTGTAATGGCATGATCTCAGCTCACTGCAACCTCCACCTCCTGGGTTCAAGCGATTCTTCTGCCTCAGCCTCCCGAGTAGCTGGGACTACAGGCGCACGCCACCAAAACCAGCTAATTTTTGTATTTTTAGTAAGACAGGGTTTTACCGTATTGGCCAGGCTGGCCTCTAACTCCTGACCTAGTGATCCACCTGCCTCGGCCTCCCAAAGTGCTGAGATTACAGGCATAAGCCACCGCACCTGGCCAATATTTCTGTTATTAAATGATCCCAGGGTCCACACCTGCTCCCCACCCTGATTCTAGGTTTATTCTCATAGGCCTCTGTTTAGCAGCCTTGCTGGATCATAACCCTGGGGGAAGGCAGGAAAGGAGCACTTGCTTAAAATATTTATTTGTAACCAGCTGTGTCTCCCACCACCACAAAGTCGGATTGGAAATGCCCCCTGAGGTAAGAGTTGGCCTCTCTGAGCTTCTCTTTTGAAGCGTAGCCCTTTCATTCTTCTCCTCAGAAAACCAACTCTGCCCAGCTGATACGTGAAAAAACTCATTTTTGACATGGGCTCTGGAGCCCAACAAACCTGGGTTCCAAGCAAGCATGCCTATTCACAGGCTGTGTGGTCTTGGGCACATTACCTAACCTTCCTGAGCCTTCCTTCTCTGGCAGCCCCACATGTATATAGTGAGGATTTAATAGCAAACCTTGGGTGTGGTTGCAGCACATTGTTTCTCCCCCATGCAGGGCAGAAGCAGGCTGTTTGTAGGGACAGACACAGCTCTCATCAAGACAGCACAGCCAACCACGAGCCTGCAGGGGTGAGCACAGAGCCCTTCTCTGGATGGCGCTGGCAGTCAGGCCTCCCATGCATCCCTTTGGGCTCCCTGTCATTCTCGGGTGAGGGAGGACATGAAGCCTGAACACAAGCATCCTCCTGCCTGAGGGCCACTCCTCACAGTCAGCAGCCTCTGCTGAGCTCCTGCCATCCTCTGGACTCTGGATGGGAGGTAATTTCACGCTTCTGGCTCTTCACACCCTGGTGATGAATGTGTGTAAGTGACCTTGGCCCCTTCAGCCACCACCAGCACACAGGATGATGTAATTGAATTTGTATACACCGTAAATTTTATTAGAGGAAAGCAATCTAGTTCCAATTCTGGTTCTCCGGAGTTACTGGATTGTGTCTGAGGATAAACTCGCTGGTCAGCTGGGTGGGGACAGAGGTCAGAGTCACAGCTACTGTCTCACTAGCTTTCATTGGGCACGATTAACAAAAGTGTACAGCAGCTGCAAAGGCACCAGATGCAGCGTGGTGGTGAGTGTTAAGAGAAGGGATGTGTGTGGAGGACTGCCCAGGAGCCAGCTCGCAACAGGAGCTCAACTGACAAGAATTTACTTTTGCTTTTCACGTTTGACTGTCTGCTCTCTGTCTTCCCCATTCCCTCATCTCCCTCCTCTCTCTCTTATTTCTGTCTTCTCTTCCTTCTCCAAAGATCTGCCTTCATTCCTGCCCCCTGAGCTGTGAGGCTTTGGTGAAGCTACTAGCTCACCTTCATAAGCCTGTTTCATTATGTGTGAAATGGAATCAATAACACCTATCTCAGGGGGTTATTGTGGAGATGGAGTGAGATGGGTGATGTGAAGTGATTGGCACATAGTCAGGTATCAACACATGTAAGGAACCTTTTTCACTGAAGCCCCTTTTGGTGTTTGAATGACTTGTCTGTAGGCACATGTTTGCCAGTTGCCATCTCTGAGTTAGACTCGGGCCCAATACAAGAGGGTCATCACAGCTGGTCCTCGGGCAGCTACCATCTGGCTGGGAAATCCTGGCATGCACAGATGTTTAACTCTCACAGGGCAAGCAGTGAGTGACCAAAGACAAGGGGCTGGTGGTGACCAAAGGTACTATGGAGCTCGTGGGAGGGGGAGGTTCTTGGTCAGGGAAGGCTTTCTGGAGGAGGTGAGCTTGAACTAGGACTTCAAGAATGGGTCACATTTGGGGAGGGTGGAGAATAGCAAGGAGGCTGGGCATTTATCAAGTACCTTCCTGAAGCCCAGAATCTTATACTGTCATTTTTAAGATGCGTTTGCTTAACCCTAAGTAACAGGCACTTTTTTTCTCCCTTTGATAGTTGCTGAAACCTCAATGATAGTGCCATTCTAGCAGCACCAGGTTGAAAAGAAATGCTCAAAGCTGTCCATATGCAGATATCTGTGAAAAAAAAATGTGAACTATTTTGTAGCATTGAAGGTAAATAATTTGTCCAAGACCACGCGGTCAGTAAGGGGTGGAGATGACTTGTAAACCTAGATCTATCTGGCCACAGGCTTTGCTTATAGCCACCCACATACCCACTGACTTATACACTCTCCTGCTTCCCATTTCTGCCAGGGACCCTTACCTGCTAGCCAAGTGAGGAGACAAGATCTTCACCTTTTGACTAATAGAATGCAGTGGGCCATGTATAGGACAAGCCACTGCATATGAGTTTGTAGGGGGTGTATGTGATCATAGACAAATTCATTAGAGGAGGTCAACCAGAGTCTGTTGACTACTGTTAACTGTTTATCAAAGGTAGACTTTTTGGGGTAGGAAAAAGGAGAAGGGAGTTTGGGAGAAAAACTTAAAGCTGATGTCATAAGAGGCACTATGCCTATCGGATTCTGTAGCAACAAAGGTCCATCTCCCTCATTTTGGTAATGGGGACAAGGTCACCCAAATTTGATTTCCACCCAACTTCTCAGAAACCTGACTATTTATGGAATACACCTGGGATATGCCTGCAGGCTTATATATTGTTGTTTCTGAACTTGACAGGAAAATTGGCTTTGATTTTGTTGAAGGTTTTCTGTTTTATTAATGTTGGATTTTCCTTCTAGATAGGAAAGCAGCTCAGTGATGTGTAAAACTTTCATTTTCATCTCTCTTTTTTTCCTCAGAATTTCATTCCATTTCATCACCTGCTGCTTCCTATCTAAGACTTTCCAGAGATGGATGGCAGTGTCCAGAAACCATTTTCTTACTCTGCTTATCTTGTTTGCTTAAACTCTGGCCTGGAGGGGCCTGCCTCTCCCTTGAGGAAGCCTAGGATTTTCACCTGATTTTGAGCCACCACCACACAGCAAACACCTTATGTTTATCTTTCCAGATTGCAGCATTTAAGCAGATCTTTGGAGGTAGAAAAGAACATGTGTTCTTGGGAGAAAGCTTGTTGGAAGAAGTGCTTAGATTTCAAAACCACATGGCTGTTTTTACATTCGAGTTTTGCCACTCATTAGCTGTGAGACCAAGGACAGGTTAACCAACCTGCAGGTTAACAAACCAAGGCGTAAACCTTGGTTTCTGTACATGCAACAAGGAAATAACAATGCTTGCCTTACAGGGTTGTGGTGGGGATTAAAACAATAAAACTAAAGCGTTCAGCGTAGTACCTACCGTGAAGTAGGTGCTCAGTAAATGTTTCCTTTTTCCTTCTGTCTCCTTGAACAACAACAACAAAAACTCAAGTGTGCTCTGGTTTAGCACTAATCTTAGAAAGGCGCTAACAGGTAGGAGGAAACATCTCATTTTCAGAGCCTAGTTAATCAGTCTCCCAGTCCCAGTCTGGCACAATAATGTGTAAAAGAAGAAAGGAGCAGAGCCTTAGATCAAAGGAGGGTAGAGCCTGAGTGGGAATATAAGATGCATCTACATGAAAGAGCTGGATGCCCATCAGGCTGGCCCATTGAGAGTGAAGTACACAATGGCACTCATCATTGATATAAAGAGAAGGTCTTTGAGGAGGCTGGATTGGAGAGTACCAAGAACTTTGTGGTCGTTGGTACCAATACCACAAAAGGATGGGAGAGGGGGCCTACTCTGGAGGGGACATTTGAGGAAGAAAGACGGTTTGTTCGCTGGGAAGCCCAGGCCACATTGGAGAAGTCATGTCAGGGAGGCAGCAGAGTATGGAATGAACACTGAAGTGAGTGGCTAGAGGGAGCTCTCGTGGATGGCTGATTAAGGAAATGACATCATTCAATGATGTAACCTCAGCACCTAGCACAGTGCCTGGTACACAGTAGTTACACAATAAATAGTTACTGGCTAGATGAATGTCTGTTTGGATGTCAAGGACTCTACCAAGTATCTCCCCTCCTGCCAACCCCCACTCTGGGTTAGGTGACCTCCCCTCTGTACCCGCAGGGCTCCAGGTGTACTTCTCTGTCATAAACCATGCCCCACTGGGATGGCCTTGTCTGTTTCTGGCCTGTGACCTCCATTTGACTTCAGTCTTTCTGAGGACAGGACTGAACTCTGTATCCTCAGCCTGGGTGGGGAGCCTGGCTTATGGAACACGTGGGTTAGGTTAATGGCCAAAACATGAACTGAAGGATAGGGAGCAGCTCCCAGATAGGAACTGAGAAAGAGTAGAGAGGAAGTTTGCAAAATTCAGAGGCCCTTCAGGGCTACAAATTACACTCTCTAATTACAGTGTAATTGTGGGCACCTACAGTTGTGGACCTAAACTCAACTAAGTTGACAGTAGGTCATATTTGGAGAAATTCAGGCTATTTAGTAACAAGATATTTGTGAAAAAAAATGAACTATTTTGTAGCATTGAACAAGGGTAGGTTCCTTGAATAGTGCCTTGAAAATCATTTACTTAAATGCTATCATTTTATGGATACTGAAAGTGTGACATCAGTGCCCAAGATTACATGGCTTAAACTTAGAGGGTAGGGTGGGACCCAGAATCCTGACTTGTGAATCTCCCTTGCTAGAGTTTTCTGCCTCATGCCAGAGCCTCCTCCTGCACAGGGATTTCTCACGCCCTCCCCACCCTGCAGCTTCAATAGGGATTTTCCCTGGACATACTGGCTGCTCTTCTCCATAGTAGGCATTTTTCCATGAAGCAAGTGTCATTATGCCCATGCACAGATGAAGAAACTGAAGCCATGCATATGGAGGAAGCAAACCAATACACATCCAAAGCAATGCACATCCAATGACATGGATGATCCAAAGCCACTCAGCTGTAACTGCTGGAGCTGAGACTTGAGCCCAGTGCTCCTAACCCCTGCATTAGTGCCATTCTACTGATGCCAGGTTGAAAAGAAGCTGTACACATGCAGAAGACACTTTTGGGAGCCTTTGCAATAGCAGATGTTTTATAGCTGAGCAGATCAAGCTGGGAAGAAATGGTCGCTTTTCATAGCCATCTCTCTGCACTTGTTGGCCTTCCCTGACAGTAGCAACGTTCTTCATTCTTAGATCCCTTTCATCACTAAGGGGATGCCACTAAACTGAATTTCTTAGCATGGAAATGTTACATTCCAGGGATTGATTTTCCTGCATAGTATTTCTAGAAAAGTTAATCGCCTCATTAGTCATATTTACATTTTATTTTAATTGCATCCTCGAGAGCAAATGTATTCATTTTTTTCCTATGTTATAGTTCTCTCTTTAACAACCCCTTAATAAAGCAGAGACAAGATCAGAGCACATGAAGAGCACTTTGCTTTCTTAAAATATGCCACCTCCCAAAAATGTAGGGCCCAATTATCACTGCGGCTATAAGCTAATTATCAGATACAAAATATGGATCACAACTAATTATCAGAATCTGACCTTATTTCCAAGTCATAGATTCCTATAAACTAGGTTAACATTAGAGATTTAAGCAGGAACTCAAGAACTGCAGTAACCCATGGAAATGAATGTTTATATTTCTAACAAATGGCTAAGGCAAGAGATGATTTTCTGAGGCTTATGTCTGGTGAAATTTTCCAGAAGTTCACGCTCTGCAAGGCCTTATTAGTAGAACATGGATGATGAACGGTCCATTTCATTAGTAACCTGAAACCTTCTATTTGGAGATAAAGATGACTGCTTCCATTTAAAAAAAAAAATTTCAAAAACTAAACACTCAGGCATGCTGTCTACAGAGTTCTATGCTAGGTGAAGTGAACGGTTGTGAGATGACTAAGCCAGTATCCCTGCCCTCAAGGGGTCAAATCAGGTAGGTGGAAATAAGATGTGTTCCTAAATCCCAGGCAGTAGAGCACTGAAATTCTGTGTGGGTAGCTGTGGGTGAAATTCTCAAGGGAAAGCCCTCATCTGGCCTAGTAATATTGGAACTGGGCTTTGATAGGTCACCAGGATCTCATTAGGATTTTATTAATGATGGAGGAAGCATCATGGATGGAAGACATGGCATGAGATGTTGAAAGGGAGGTGGACAGATGCATTGTATGTTAAAGGAATTTAGGAACAGTAATAGAATTTGCATGCCTGGAGCGGAGATCTTCATGGTGAAAGCTTGAGCTGGTTAAGTCTAGGAAGGGGGTGATATCTTTGGGAAGAGCTCTCAATTGTTTGTTTTCCTGGGAAGGAAAGGTCTATAACTTTTGTCATCTATTCAAAAGGGCCAATGATTACCCCAAAAGTTTAGACCTACTCTCCTGGTGAACAGTTTTTGTCAACTAAGCATTGTAGAACAGAGGGAGATATGCAAAATTTTGTGCTGGACTGACTCTGGGGGGCCTTGAAGGCCAGGGTTAAATGTCTAGACACTATTGGGACCCATGACAAAAAAAAAAAAAGGTCAGGTGGGGTCCAAGACAGAATGAAGGTGAGAGGGGGTAGGTGGGAATTGGATGGTGTCCTGCGAAAGGCAGGAAAGCCAGAGGGAGGCTGCTGTGTTTCCAGGAGGAGGGGGAGGGCCCTGACCAGCAGGGAGCAGAGACAGAGAAGACCCAAGAAGCCATGGAGGATAAGAAGCTATGGAGGATAAGGTGAAAAAGTTTGGCACCCAATTAGCAGAAGTTAGGCATGTAAAGACCCATGGCAGTAGTATGTGATGTTGGGGTGTGGGCTCTGTCATCAGATTCCCTGGGTTCAAGCCCCAGTTCCACTGCGTCCTGCATGTGCAATCTGGGGAAATGTACCTAACCTCACTGTGCCTTGGTTTCCTTAGCTAACATACTAGCTCTTGCCTCAAAGTTTTATGGGAAAGGATTAAGTGAGCAAATGCACAAAAACTACCTGGAACCACCCATGATAAGTGTCCTAAGAGTGTTAGTTCTGATTCCCAGATGGCTGACAGCTCCAGAGGGGCAGGGCTTTGTGTTGTGTGCACTGCTGCCCCCCAGGGCCTGGAACTGTGCTGGGAACACAAGAGGGACTCCATAAATGTGTGTTCAATGTGGAATGGGTGGCTCAGGGTGATGTGCCAGGGAATTAAGACACAGGTGTGTTCCTGATGGAGCTAAAAGTGCTGATGAGCAGGAGACTAAAGAGAGCTACATGGAGAGGGTTCTGGGGGGCCATCAGACCCTGCTCAGTCTTCCCCTCAAGCCTTCCTGTCAAGCCCTCACTCAACCATCAGCTTGCTCAGTCCTCTTGGTGGCCCCCTCTGAGGATGGCAGGGTGGATATAATTATCCTTACTTTTCAGATGAGAGGATGAGGTCAGGGCAGTGAAGAAGCTTGCCCTATTAAGACACCCACTTGGAAGCAGCTGAAGTGAGCCTACTCCCAGGCACTGATGGTCTCTTCTCCATTCAGGCTGAACCTGCAACCTTTCTGCTTTCCAAAATTGCAATGGGAGGTATTTGTCTATTAAGAAGAAATGTCCAGGGAAAATATTTTAAATAATGAAAAATAAGGGCTCTTAGTTATAAAGAAAGACCTCATTCAAGACATTAATGGTTTTGCTTAATGATGGAGTTAAGAATAACATCCTAATACACCGATCTGGGGAGGAACTGGCATAATACCCTAGCCCTTCCACTGACCATGTCTGTGGCAATTGATGAATTGCTTAATCTCTCTGGGCCTCAGTTTCCTCATCTGTAAAATGATATAATAAATCTTCTTCATGTGCTGTTAGGGGAATTAAATAACATGTTTGTAAATAACTCAGCGAGGTTCCTGGCATATAGGAAGAGTTCAATACAAGTTTGCCATCATTTTCTTGCATCGTTATGCCTTTGTTCTTATAGCCTGGCACTGAGAGAATAATATATGTACCGTTGTGAAAGCTGAAAGACTGGTTCTCCAGATGGTAGGAGAGTAAACTTGGTGGGGAGGGTTGGTGTGATATCAGTAGGGAAGAAAGCTCATGGAGTAGGGGCTGGGGGTCATGGGAAGAAGACTGCCTATGACTCTTACTATAGCTGCCTCACTGCCAACTTGATGGCTTGATGAGGAGCTGCTTTAATACGATCCCCAAAATCCTCTTGGAAATGAACTCCACAAGGGTAAGGGTGGGCTTGACTTTCCCAGGTAAGTGAAATGTGTAGATTCCAGGAAATCCCTGGTCCTCAGGGGTAGCCCCAGCTCTGACACTTCCTGGCTGTCTGAGTGTCCTGGCCCTCGGCAATGGGAAGGCCGAAGGATGATTGTCATCAGAGCCCAGTGGATACCTGGCTCAGGGGAGGTGCTTCACTTCTGACTGTTAGAGCCAGCCCTGTAATGTCTGGGCCCATCACCAATAGGGCTGCCTGATGTGGCATCCAGAGTAACAAGGCCTGCGGTTGACCTGATGGGTAACTGGTGTTAACCACAGTGGTGGGCAACACAGGGACCCTTTTGTGCTTTGTACACATAGATACTGAGTTCAGGATCTGATTTTCGTGGGTGTGCTATTTCTTTTATTCCTTCATCATTTCCTGACCATCTCTTAGGGTCAGATCTTGTGCCAAGCCAAGCAAATCCAGAGAAGGATGAATTTCTGCCTTCAGTGAGTTTGCAGCCTGGAGAGGGAGACAGAGGAGTTAACGATCAGGACCAGACATAGGGTCAGAGCGCTGGCAGAGGGAAGCCCTGAGCAGAGGGGCATAAGAGAAGATATTACTTACTCAGCCTAGGGGCCAGAAAGCAAGATTCCTCGAGGCTTTTCTGATTTCTCCTAAGCTGCCAATATTTCAGTTTTCTCAATTCACATGGAAATACTAATGTTGGTCATTTTCTCAAAGTGAGCTTTTCTGAATCAACTTCTATTTTGCAACCAATGTGGTAGGTAAACCCTCAGGGGAGAGGAATTAAAGGGCCGGCAGATA
This sequence comes from Homo sapiens, assembly GCF_000001405.40. Taxonomy (NCBI): domain Eukaryota; kingdom Metazoa; phylum Chordata; class Mammalia; order Primates; family Hominidae; genus Homo; species Homo sapiens. Next base: position 140,061,253 of record NC_000003.12, read on the forward strand.
AATGGATGTGAATGGACACATTTCCTTTATCTGGAGCATTAGTTGGTTTCTAACATAAGTCCATTTAGACCCCATGCTCTATAACACTGTGTAAATGAGAAAAGCTAAATCAAACAGCCCAGTACTGCAGTCTCAATTTGCCCACCCCTTTCCTACATCCCTGACTTTCTAGGAAGAGGATCTCTCTGGGTTGCCCTAGGAGACCTCATGGCTGTGGATTTCACACAGGAAGCTGGCTTACACCTCACCCCACCAGCCCTGCTTCTTTCCAGGTTTAGGGCAGTTGCTCTCCTATAGTGGGAGGTGGAAGTCCCCTGCACCACTCTCCTCTGGCCTGGAGTCCCCTCCAAGAATACGATAGAAGTTACTTTCCTATCATAACTCCTGCCGGGCTCTAAACCAAAGATAACTTTGCCTCTCTGAGAAATTCCACCTACATTGTTGCAGTTTACCCAGGGCAGGACACAGTTGCATTCTGCACCAAGGCAGATGGAAAATCTTGCCATGGCCTGAAAGGACCATGCTGTTTCTTGCCATAGTGCCTTTGCATGTGCTGCTTTCTATGCTTGGAATTCTTTTTACTTCCACACTTCTTCAAGAGTTAGCTAAAAGGTCAATTCTTCTAGGTGCTACAGAAGCCTGTGCTCGCTTCTCCTGACACTGATCACACAGTATTTAAAATGGCTGTTTTTGCAGAAGCTTCCTTTTATAGACTGAAAGCTCCTGTCTGCCAATAGTCTGCAAGCTGCAGGAGTGGCTAACCAATTATTATTATAGTTAGTATTAATATTAATAGTGGTAGTGGTAGAGTACTGTAGAGAAGTAATTTCAGGTGAGAACTCAGCATGAGTGAAATGCATCAGGTATGCAGGGAAGGCCAGGAGAGTGGTGGGTCCATGCCGTAGAGCCCCGGGTACTCAGTTTGCAAACTACTGGTCATGATGACGTCAGTCCTCCCTAAACATGTGAACATCCTCTTCTGAGAAGCACCTCTTTCTGGTTCCAAGTTTTCAATCTCAGCAAGTCTCAGGTAGCAGCAAAAAGAACCATACTCCACATTGAGGGGTCCCTATTCTACAGGCAGGCATGCCCACCCTCATGAGATATTATATTGAAGTATTCTATTATCTTTCTGAGCTGCTCAATACAATTATGAAGTATACACGTGTGTGATGTGGGTTTTAAGTGCAAAGAGAAATCAAGCCTCCTCACCCTTTTGTGTGGCTACTAAAGAATCATTTAATCTATTACCCAGTTCCATGTGAGCAGACTTCAGCAAAACAAATAATAAATGTTTGTAACCAGCTCCCTGGCTGAGCAGGCAGAGCTGCAGACTGCATAGATAGCTTTTTATTTTCCTTTTCCTTGCCCTGCCCTGGCTGAGCCAAAGTCCCTCTCCCAGAGCTGCCATGACTCATTATGTGACTACTGTACCCCTGTGTTTCCCCACTTTTTGTAAGCTCATGGTATGCTAGTAGGGTGGGAAAACTTGGGTTCTTGTCCCAGCTCTGCTGTGTGACCTTGAGTGAATCACATCTCTCCTCTGGGCCCATTTCCTTGTCTGAACCAGGGTTCTTAAACACCCTGGTTTTTATATGAGGGGTCTCTGTAGCAGTCTGATGAAGCCCCTATGTACATTATCTCAGCATAAAGATTCTTAATCAGCAAAATATAATACATTTGATTATAAAATAAGCTAATTATATTGAAGTAGAGTTATCAAAATATTAAAAATTGTGATCTTGAGATACATATGCTTCCTTCACACATTAAGTGACAAGATCTAGTTGTGGGTTTAATACCTAATCTAATTCTGAAGTAGTGATTAATGTAAATGACATTTTGAGATGTCTGGGGCAACTATGTCACATAAACACCAGTGATTTCTGTTGGTCACAATGTTCTAGATCCACAGCTAGGAGAGCTGTGGTCTGTCACCTGCATGCATAATGAAGGACATTCTATATTGCTATGAGATTAGTGAGGATCAAGTGTTTCCCACCTAAATTTTAGTACCCCCTGAATTCTACCCAGGAACTCCAGTAGTGAACCCTGGGCTAGATGGTATTGCTGGGCTTTTTTCTAGCTCTGGCACTTGAGTGGTGTCTGCTTTTGCAAGAGGTAGGCTGCCATCTCCCAGCTAGAACCAAAATGATAAAAGGGGAGAGGAGTAAAGCTCCTGCTTTCTTCACTCCGCGTCCATGCTAACTGAGCACCTGCCACATGTAAAGCTTTGATATGCATTGCAGTCTCCAGGGCTCACAGTCACACTGTGAGGCAGGTAAAGTCATCCTTATCTTAGGGAATACAAGAAGTGCATGTGGACAGAGTGTGGAAAATAAATCTTTTAAAAGTTAAATATGTAAATGATAATTTAAAACCCTGGCAGAACCCCAGCAGTCCTTCATTAAACAACCCCTTCCGTTGCCTCCTCTGACATAGGAATGTCTAAATCCCTACTATATCCTCCTTCAGTATCTTGTCACCCTTTTGTAGGAGGGGCCATCTTGCACCTTGAGCCCTGACATGGAGGAGGTTTCTTCATCTTTCTGAGCCTCAGTTGATTTATCTGTGAAGGGGACTAATAACTACTTCATAGGATTAAACAACTCAATTATGGAGTATCACACCCAGAACAGCACGGCCATTTGACCCTCTCTGGACAAGTCTAACAGTGACCCCTGGGTGCTGTTCTTGCAGCTGGAGTGCTTGTGTTCAATCCCAGAAGCCCCTGCCAGGGCCTTTGCTTCTGCTGCTCTGGATCTGTTCTGAAAGATGGAGCAGTAACCATTGGCTACCTTATACCTGCCCGGTGAGCAAGCGTGAACAGATAGCAGAGTACTCTGGGGAGCTGCCTCTCAGTCTGACTGAAGGAGGGCCTGCCCACTCCATTATAAGGATGGCTTCCAGCTGCTAAAAACACTTCTAAAACATCCAAATCACTTCCCTCCTCAGACCTAAGACAGGCCATCAACAGTTATGCAATCCCTTTTGCTGAAGAAGGATTGTAGGGAGCGTCTACTTATGCAAAAGGTTTTGATCTCCTTTTCCTGTTTCTGGTTTCATTGCTAATTATCACTAAAGTTTTAGGCTGGCCACTTCACCTCATCATGCTTCAGGTTCTTACTCTATAAAAAGTGGAGTAGAATGTCTTTCCTGCCTATGGAGAATCATGTTTTAGCACTTGTAATTAAAATCAAAGCAAAATAAAACCAAATCACATGGAAAGAAAAAAAGCATAGCTTTCTTAAACAACTTTGGGTACAAATGAAAATCAAAACCACAATGACCACCTATTACTAGAACAACCAAAACTTATGGGATGTGACCAAAGCTGTACTTAGAAGCAAACCCATAGCCTTAAATACCTTCTGAATCAATGAGAAAGAATGAAAGCATCCAACACAAGAAGTTAAAAAAGATTCATCTGAGGAAATTAAGAAGCAATAAGCCATAAGTATAAGTAGAAATTAATGTATTAGAAAAGAGAATAACATTAGAATTTATAAGTGAATCTAAAAGCTTATTCTTTAAAGAAACCAGTAGACATTCTTTTCTTAGATATAATTGAGAAAATAAGAGATAAAGCACAAAGATTAAAGATGACAAAGGGAATATCAAAAGCACAAAGATTAAAGATGACAAAGGGAATATCACCATGGATATGGAATAGATTAAGTCAAATTACAAGAAGATAATACATATAGATCTCAGCTAAGATATTGGAAAATCTCTGAAATGTATGGCATTCTGAGAAAGTATGCATTATCAGATTTGGCTCAAAAAGTTAACTTGGCTAACAACCATGGAAGCAATTTAAAATGATGATTAATGAATTATCCAAAAGAAGAGAAATGAGCTTCAGAGAAGAATCAAAACAGACTTAGTATTTTACAGGAGCAGGCAAAGGGATGGGGCCAGATAATGAGCAGGTGGTCTTCACCTGACTTCACCTGCAAGGGCAGGTGTGTGGAAGGTGAGGCCAGGTGAGCCGAAGGTCTGGGATGATTGGATTTGGAGACCAATCCACAGCGTCCTGTCTTTGAGGCTCAGGCCCTGCCTTCTGGGCCCTGCGTTTCACCTTCACAGTCATCTAGGGAGCCCCTTACCACTTACTCACCACTGAGTTTGACTGTCAATGGGAAAGGGTTTTAGAAGTTTTGAGCACTTGTTCAAATGCAATTTTAACAGTAACTTGAGGAGAAGAACTATCCTTATCTTGGTCAGGAAGTTGATTTATACAAAGCTATTGTGTTGAAAACTTCACAACTTCAGGTAATTCCTATGGACTTGAATGTGTTATCCTGAGAGGAGAAGCCAGGAGCACTGGGGGCAGAGAGAGTTGCCCTGGAAAGCAAATTCGCCTTTCTCTCTAGGTCAACACCCAGACTTAACTGGTCTCTAAGATACTATAAAGTCTCTCTAGACCAGAAGGTCAGAAGATGTGGGGATTTTAAAGGCCCACTTCCCTGGAACTATTAAATGCATCATAGGCTTTACTTCATTTGTTTAAATGGTGCTGTTGGCAAATACAGCCTTGGGAGTGAGGGGCACCTTATCCAATAAGTAGTAAAATTCTAGATGGAAATATTAAGCCTCAATGGGCTACTTTTATAATCCCATGGAAGGATTAATTTAATATGATCTGCCCAACCATGGTGGAAAGAGAAGGGAACTAATGGTTTTCATGTTTTCATGATTTTCCACCCATTTTGCATTCACTACCCCATATAACATTCACCACCACTGATTGATGGGCAGATATTATTATCCCGTTCAACAGAATTGGTAACTGAAGCTTTACGCAATCAAATAATTTGCCAATGGTTTTTCAGGTAGCAAGTGACAGAGATGAGCTTTGCCCCTTGATTCTAAGACCTTTGATATTTCTACTCCACCATCCTACTATATTTCAGACAGGCATAAATGCAGACAGAATATTTTGTGCATGTCTCATTCTGTGCTTCTCAGTGTCTGTGGAGCCCCCAGCAGCCTGTCTGTCTGCAGTCCCAGTGTGAGCTGCAGAGCAGCCTCCCACTTCCTACCTCTTAAAGGGAAGCACATAGCCTCCACCATGGTGTTTCTTCAAGACTCTTTCTCTAATCTTTACCTGGTGCCTGAAATTCTATTTATAGCTGCCAAACCCTTTGCTCCAGTATTAGAGGAAAGGCTTGGGTAGCCAATGACCCTGTGAAAGAAGACAAGTGGCTTTATATTAACATTAAAGTCTGACTGATTTTTAGGAGATAGTCCCCTGAGAGAAGCTCTAGAAAGGAAGAGGATTAGGGCTGAAAATACCAAACCTTTTTTACAGGAATGTTTCTGTGAGAAAGGAATAGGCCCAAACAGGAGAGGCTGCTGCATGTCAAGACAATCCACCATTTTACTGTTCTGCTACCTTGGGTGGGGGAACTCTACTTAGGCTCCCGATATATTAAGCAAAAGCAGTAGGTTGTTGGTTTACATTCATCTTTGACCACTATAACCTCCAGATCCCATTCTAATTCATCAGATGCATTACCTTTCACTCACAGACACTCACAGATGCTTAGGAGTCAGAAAACTATGGCAAAGAGGTAGCTGTGCATCACTATTCTTGTTCTTCTCTTTGCTGTGATCTCCCTGGACCAGTTGTCTGTGGCACTTCTGTCACTCACGTCTCTATGTTAAGGAGTTTAGTAATTTATCATTGGTGTATTTTAATCAGAGCAAGAGATGACATAAGTGGATTTCATCAATCTCAACGAAGAGGTTTGATCCCTGACCCTTTCCCCAACATCCAGTCTGTGTGATCTCATGATGGATGATATGAGGTGACATGGGGTAACAAGGAAGAAGTCTTATTCACTCAAAGGGGAATGTGGTGATAGTATACAAGCTCTCTGGGCCTCAGTGTCCTCCTCACTAGACTGGCAACCCTGGGACCTACTTGGCAGGGCCATGCTGAAGATCATGAGTGTAGAGCTCCAAGCAGAGTAACACATGCTTGGGGCTGAACAGCATTTGGTTTCTTACCTTTCTCAATTTGAAAACAAAAATAACAGTTATTGCTATAATTCTCTGAAACTGCAAAATTCGTGTTCAGCTCTCCAGCTCCATTGATGGGGTGATTCACAGCTTTCATCTGTTTCCCACAGATGAAACTCCCCCATGGTCTCTGCAGTTCTGTGCCGATATTGCCCCTGTAGCTCCAAGGAGGGAAACATCATACCAAGAACCTACTTGGCACAAAGGCTGTTACATAAATGCTCTTATTTAAACCTCGAGAAGGTCCATTCAAGTGGGCATTATGCCCATTTTAGAGAGGAGAAGGTGGAGTCTCAGAAAGGTTAAAAAATTTCCCAGAGATTCCACACTGGAAGAGGTGATGTCAGGATGTAAATCTGTGTGTTGTGGAAGATTAAGTGCCTGGATCACAGATGCTGTCACCCTTTCTGATCACAAGGGCTCCCCTGTGAGTGGTCATTTTAGGAAGGGATGTTTCCTGGGAGAGACGGGGCTGCTTCTATCGTTTTGATGCTGATATTTTTGCCTCATTGACTTTTCAGTAATGGGATTCTTAAAATAAGCAGTCTTCTTACCTCATCCTGCTGCCTTCCTAAAAAGGACTAAAAAAAAGTAGTAATGTGCATTAGGTTACTGTCTCTCTGGTTGAAAGGAAAATGCTGCCTCTTGTCAGAAGTGTTGGTAGAATCTTGGCACTGCGTGTACGAGACTTCTGTGGCTCATTCCAGGCTCTGTGCTGGACACTATGGACACAGCTCTGTTCTTTTAGGACTCCCAAGCCCGGGGGCAGTGGCAGAGAGTTAAATCCAAATACTCCTTGGAAGATGGTTTAAAAGGCAGCAAAGAGGCTGCTCCTGGGCAGAGCCAGACTTGATTCAGTTTTGAAGGAGGCAGAGTTTTCCCTGGGCATAGGCCACTCTTTCTCTGGGGACACATTGCAGCCAGGTTGGAGATGACACTGAAATTTGGTAGAAAGGGCCTGGAGCCACTGTTTCATAATCCCAGGTCTACCATTTATAAGCTCCACAAATCTAGACAATTCATTTAACGCTCTTTGGGCCTTAGAATCTTTACAAACAGACTCAATGAACCCTTTTAGAGTTCTTATAAGACCTAGAGAAACTGATAGCTGGAGGTTCCTGGCACTTGGTAGATTACCCTCCTACTCCAGATGGACTCAAACCCATGTCTTTGCCTTCTTCTTTCCATGCAAATGGACTTGAAAGAATCCCTGGGTACTTGGATTTGAGATGCATTCAATAGCAATGTGTTTTCTTTTTCCACTAAAGAACAATGTCTGTTGAATTCAAGCCCACCTTGTGACAGTTTGATTCCTGGGCAGGCATCAGCTGGAAGATTGCCTTTTAGAATCATCCTGACAAGATGACCAATTCCTGATGGAATATTCAGTTTCTGATGGAGTGGACAGTGTCTGAAATTATGGCCAGTTGGCAGGAGGCCAATTCCTAATAAGAAGACCAATTTCTGCTTCAAGAATAGGAAACTATCATTCATTAAACATCTACCATGGACACAGTGGTAGAAATTTATGATTGTATATATTTAAAGCACTGCATGAGACAGACATGTAAATGATAGTGATTAAGAGCCTAGGTTCTAACATCATACTGTCTGGTTCAGATTTCATTTTTGTCACTTCAGTCATATGACTTAACCACTCTGTGCTCTTTGATAATAATAGAATCTCTCTCATAGGATTTTGGGGAGGAATTTTTTCCTGCCACATAGTAGGTATTCAATAACATTTTGCTGCCCTTATTTTTGTCTACATCTTGCAGACAAGAAAGCTAAGGCTTGGGAAATGTCAGTGAGAGAGTCTTCCTCTTCCAAGAGGAAAATTAAATTTAAGTCTTGCCTGAGATCTAATTGTGGATTTCAGAGTTATCCTATCCTCATTCTCAGTACAGACCAGCTCTTTGCAATGTGAGGAC